>NC_000003.12:107947998-108251028 GCF_000001405.40 Homo sapiens
GGTTCCCTGTACTGCAGACTCTTTTGGAGAACAAGCTTAGTGCTCAGTGACAAGTATTACACATTTATCTGACACTTACTTATTGGTAGACCATGTTGCTTCTCAATCTAGTTTGAGAAAGGTGGTAGCCAATTGAAAATCTATTACAGGGGTGACCCTTATGATATGACATTACTTTAGCCACTATAATGCCTGATGATCAGCCAGTATCTCCCATCACCCCCAGATGGGACTGTCTAGTTGCAAGAGAACAAGCTCAGGGCTCCCACTGATTCTACATTATGGTGAGTTGTATAATTACTTCATTATATATTACAATGTAATAATAATAGAAATTAAGTGCACAATAAATGTAATGCACCTGGATCATCCTGAAACCATCCCCCCAACCCCAGTCCATGGAAAAATTGTCTTTCATAAAACCGGACCCGATGATGCCAAAAATGTGGGGGACCACTGCCTTAAAGGATGAGTAAGACTTCACCAACTGAAGCAGCAGGCATTGAGTACCTCAGGACCCTGCATCATCAGAGAACTTTTAAATTGTCTTGAAAAGACATATATGGCTGCATCAGAGAGATTGACTCACCTGTTTTATAAAGAAAATTTTTAAAGAAAAAAAGTAGATGAAATAAGAAGTTTTCTTGAATGCTGCCTTGGTGTTCTGCTTTAATCTGGATTCAATTATCCAGAAAACATCAGCCCTTCAAGTCTTTTGAAATAATTGACCTTTCATCTGCATCCTAAAGCATTTTTCTTGTCATGGTGTATTTTGTGAACCTTTTCTTCCTTTTCTTTTCCCTGCAGATATTCTGAGTTGCCCAATTTTGTTCATTTTTTTTTCCATAGGTAAAAAGGTGGTAGTCTCTTATTTTACCTCCATCTTAGCAACAGGGTTTGGAATTATTCTTCTCTGTCTTAATATTTGTATGTTGGGGGAAAAAAGCTAAAAGAAATGATGAACAAAATCGAGAAAAGAGGTTAAGAACATGTCGCTCCAGACTCTGGGAGCAGTCAAATCAAGCTGCCAGCTGCAACAAGAATCTCTCTAATAAGGAAATTAGAGCATGATCATTTCTGGCTATGTGACTCTGATTCTAAATAGGTTTTACAAATAGATTGTGATTGAACTTGGAAACATAAACAAATTGGCTTTGCAGAATAAAGGCTGAACTACATTTTCGTTAGAGAATTAAAATGCTTTTATGGGAGGCACTCTGGGAGAACGGACAGCTATTTTAATGACAGCATATGCATTTCTGAAACACGCTGGCTTTGTTGACTTCCCTTTGGAGAGTTGGGTTTGATAAGCTCAAAAGAAAGTTTCCCAAAAGGGTCCCTAAGAGGACAACTGATAAAGGCAGGGGATGGGGTACTGTATGTTTGAAATTCCCCATTCAATGGCTGGGAGGAGAGGTGCCATTTAAAAATAATAGGTTTAAAAATATCCAAAGCTTAAAAAATTCAGTCAGCTGTCTTCCTTGGACAATTCTTTTGTCTCTTGGAGGGTTGGGGATAGAAGTTCTTTAAGCTCTTCTGACACATTTTTACTTATAAATATTCATGCAGTGTTCCAGTGCCTCTCCCACTGATTCTGTGCAGCCTCCCCACCCTAGCAAGAGAGTCAGTGCCTAATTTCTCCTAAGGCCCCGGTTCAGCCCCAGCCAAGCCAGAGCCATTTGAAAACACAGAAGACTTTTCAGTGAAGATAAAAGGTTATACATGTCTGTGTGTCCAAGCTCGTATTCCACATGAGAGGATTAGTCTCACTCTCTGCAAACTCTCCCAGTTGTTATAAGTAGTCATGGTTTTGTGTGTTTTGTGCTTCACACAGTGAGAAAACAGATCTGCCAATTGGAAAGATGCTCTTTTTAATTTTCCTTTTGCTAAATCCACTGGTTACTTGCTAAGGCCTCATCCATTATTGAGTCCAAGTCAGCAGAATCTCTTTGCCAGTAATAGGTTCGTACATTTAGAAACATAAAATGTGAGACCTAGCAGGGACTACAAAGGTCATTGACCTGTTGGGTAGGAATTTGGATATGGGTCATGTGGAGTATATTCCATTATCTCAAAATGCTCACATAATGGAATCTTTTCCTGTGTGCTAACCCTACATCCTTGTGTGCTGTTTTCCCCACATCCTAGGTATGTGGGCGGGAAGTGCATGAAGTCTAGAGCTCCATATACACACTCTCCCTTCTTATTTGGATGTGGGTGTAATGGTTAATTTATATGTCTACTTGACTGGGTTAAGGGATGCCCAGATAGCTAATAAAATGTTATTTCTGGGTGTGTCTGTGGGGGCCGGGGTTGGCACTGTGGCCGGCGGGGGCGGGGAGTCTGGAAGAGATTGGCATTTAAATCAGTAGACTATTCAGTCTCTGAATAGTGAACAGGCCTCATCAATGTGAACAGGCATCATCCAATTAACTGAAAGACTGAATAGAACAAAAAGGTAGAGGAAGGGTAAATTCAGTCTCTCTCCTCTTGAGCTAGGTCATCTGTCTTCTCCTGCCCATGGATGTTGGAGCTTCAGACTCCAGGACTTACACCAGTGCCCACTCCTCCTCAGCCTCCTGACTGAATCACACCACCGACTTTCCTGTTTCTTCAGCTTGCAGATGGCATATCGTGGGACTTCTCAGCCTCCACAATCATGTGAGCCAATTCCCATAATAAACTCTCCTCTTATGTATCTATGCACTGTATATTCTATTGGTTCTGTGTCTCTGGAGATCCCTAACTAAGACAGTGAGGTCTCTCACATCCCCAGGGCCTAATTTCCCCCATGAAGTGCTTTCTGGGCCCAGGCAAATGAGGATGCACAGCTTATTTCTACACTTAGGGCTATGGCTTCATTAAAAAAAAAAAAAAAGCTTCTTAAATTGTATAGGGCAACCAAATATTTTGCTAAAAGATGCTTACATTGAAAACCTATGAAGTCTTATGTTTTTATTTCAGAGATACTTTATTTTCATTAATGATTCAGCCTTAAATGGGTATTTAGCTCTAACAGTTCAGTCCCCTGCTGATACTTTTTCTGTCAAGCATATAGAAATTTATAAATGAATTACCAAGCGAACTCCTTATTTAAAAGGAACACTTAAATTAATTCACTGTGAAAATAAAATTTCTGCTCTCCTTAACTCACCCACTCAACATAAACAGTTTATTTTCTTTATAGCATGTTTTATTAAACAACAAAACACAGAGAACTGGGCATCCTGTGACCTAGATTCTAGACACAGTTCTTCCATAAATAGGTGAATTTGGACAAGTCATACATAAAAGGATGGATTAATGCCAAGTACATTGCAGGGTGAGCTTCTCAAACTTTACCGTGTGTACTCGTCAGAACTCCCCAGAGAAACTGAAGCAATAGGAAGTGTATTGGAACCTTCCTCAAATCCAAAGTGAACTAGTAGACTTTTTCACAGAACCTGAGACAGAGTGAGAGAGAGAGAGAAAGAATGAGAGAGAGAGAGAGAGAGATTTATTTTAGGGAATTGAAATTTATTTTATGAAATTTTAAGGAATTGGAGTGTCATGTAATTGTGGGGATAGGCAAGTCTGAAATCTGTAGGGTAGACTGCAGATCCAGGGAAGAGTTGCAGTTAGAATCCAAAGGGAAGGTCAGTCTTTTTTCTATTAAGGCCTTTAACTGACTGGATGAGGCCCACCCACATTATGGAGGGCAATCTATTTTGCTCAAGGTCCAACTGATTTAAATGTTGATCTTATTTGAAGAATTTCTTCATAGAAAATTCTAGAATAATGTTTGAACAAATATCCCGGTACTGTAGCTTAGCCAAACTGACACATTAAATTACCCATCCACCATGCCGAAGAAGCACCTGGGGAGCTGATTTCTGGGCTCCATCCTCAAGACTCAGATTCTATTTTTCAATTCTAAGGAACTCCCCAGTGATGCTGAGGCAGCGCTTCCAGGAGTTATTCTCTGAGAAGCATGGTTTTGGTCTGCTATTGTATGATCAAGAGCTAGGCTGTTCTACAGGTGAGGAAACTGAAGCCCAGAGTTAAGAAGGGGCTTGTCCACGGGAGCTTGGATAGTTGCAAATTATGACCCAAGTCTTCAAATCTTAGTTGGGCTCTTTCCACTTAACACACTGCCTGCCATGTAGTGCAAATGAACTTCCTTAAAATACAGCCTTGTAATTGAACCTCCCTCAAATCCAAAGTGAACTAGTGAAACTTTCCACAGAACTTGACAACCTGGTCCTAACATTCATGTGTAAGAGAAAACGGCCAGGAATAATCAAGGAAATTTAGAAGAAGAATAAGGAGGGAAGACTCATACTACCACATCTGCAGGTGTGTTATAAAGCTACAGAAAATATAACAGTATGCTATTGACAAATAGACCATTGGAGTAGAATTGAGACTCCATTGTCAAAACATAAATATTTGGGGAGTCCATGGCAGAGGTAGCATTATGAGAAAAAGTTAAGCTATCAATAAATACTGCTAAAAAGTGGCTATTCATGTGAGAAAAAAATAGACTTCCTACCCATACTACACTTAAAAATAAATTCCAGATGGATCCATGTAGAAGCAAAATTTTAAAACTTTTAATAGAAAATTTAAGAAAAATGTTTTTATATCAGGGAAGATAAGTGTTTCTTAAATGAGACATAAAAAGTACAAACCATAAAGTAAAATAATAATAAGCCAATATTTATTAAGCTATTCTATGTACTATACAATATTCTGAATATATAATCTAACTAACTCTTGTAATTCTCATGAAAACCTATGAAGCAGTTATTATTATAATCTTCATAAAAGACAGAGGCCTAGAGAGACTATTATCTTCCATATCTTGTGTGGTAAGTGGTAGAGGTGTCAGTTGAACCCAGGCATTCTGGCTCTATACTACCTCTCAAGATAGAAACATTGATTACATTCAAGTTAAAATAATACATATTAAATGAACTAATTAAAAGTACAACCCAAATACAAGGAGAAAATCTTTTCAATGCATGCAACCATCAAAAGAATATATATATATATATATTTGCAAATCACTATGAAACAATCCAATAGGAAAACGGGCACAGATTATGAAAAGCCAACTCGTCAAAAAGGCACATAGCCAAAATTACATGAAAATATGCATGTTAGTAAACAGATAAATCAGTATAATCACTTTGGAGGGCAATTTGGCAATATCTACTAAAGTAGAAGATATACATTCCCTATAATCTAGGAAACCCTTTGTGTATATAAAGGTAGTGTTGGCAGAGTTGCTATAGCAAAACACTGAAGGAAATAACTCAGTAAAGAAATGGTTCAATAAATTGTGAGATAATTACATTTTGGAATGCATCTAATACATCTAGATGTGTCTGAACAGATAAAGTTCAAAAAGAAATGTTGAGTGAAAAACAGGTAATTTGAACAGGATGTATACCGCATGACAGCACTTGGACAGATCCCAAAATCTCATAAAATCTTACTATCTATTGTTATGGGCACATAACATTGCCATGCATAGATCAGCTTCAGAATAATGGTAATTCTTGGGAGATAGGGGAGTAGGGAGGTGTCGTGCCAAACCCCTATCAACCTCAGTAGGGATGGCACCAGATTCAAGAGGCTGAAGAAGAGACTGGGAGCCAGCAAACAAGACATGGGGTTTTACTGGAGGCTTACATACAAAACATGGGGTTTTACTGGAGGCTTACATACAAAACATGGGGTTTTATTGGAGGCTTACATACAAAACATGGGGTTTTACTGGAGGCTTACATACAAAACATGGGGTTTTACTGGAGGCTTACATACAAAACATGGGGTTTTATTGGAGGCTTACATACTGTCAAGTGGTGGTGGGCTGGACAGGAAAACCACAACCACTTGCAAACAGCATGCAGCTGATACGGCATCTTCACTTAATACCCTCCCCCTAACGACCTTTATCTGGCAACCTTCATTTAACCCAAAACTCAGGGCCTCAATTCCCTAACAGCCCGTGTTCCATGGGACAGGCAGGGGGCTCAGATGTTCCTCATAGACAAGGAATGAATCTCTGGGCTGGTCACTCCTGGATTCTCTAACTCAGAGCACACATTCAGGTGCATCTGCCAGATAGGGTCATTCTAAGGGTACGCTTAAATTAATGCTATTAGATGTGTTTACAGGAGGAAATAGACAGGAAGAGAGGTTTAGCTTTATCTTATTTTCTTTATTTATGAAAAAAAAAAAAGAAAAAGAAAACCTTAAGGAGACATGGCAAAATGTTAAGATGTGTTAAATCTGGGTAGTGGGTACCTGAGTGTTTTTTTTTTTAATTTTGTATATATTTGTAATTGTTCATAATTACATGTTTTTGAAGAAATAAAAATATGATCACCACTTTCATTATTTTTAATACACTATTGTAGTTCTTTTTCCTGGTGATTAAAATGCATGGGCTTTCTCCTTTCTGCATATTATTTTTTTTAGGTATCCTTTCTACACATTTTTTATAAAATCCTAGAATAGGAAGGAGATGTAGAGAACATTTGTTCAAATCTACTGCTTGACAAAGGCACTTCTGAATTCAAGTTGGTGTTCCAGGTAAAAACCCTTGCTAGAATTTTCCTTTATGCTTAATAATCTGGAAGATATGGTTTTGGTTAACTATTTTGTTTCAACTAAGTCAATGTCCATGGATAATGAGTTTTTTTTTTAATGCAGACCATAATCAATTACACCTAACATTGATACTATGCTGAAAACACAGTTTTATCTGTAATGACACAGTGACTGCGAAGAATCTCAGTGTTATCATCATAGTCTTCAGTTATTATTTTGGTTATATGTGAAAGCACCAATTGAAAGAGAACTGATTGGCAAAATGTCAGATAACCTGGAGTAAGGAGAATACAGGAAGAGGTGAGAATTACCCTTTATTGAGGTATTGTAGGTGTGAAAGTTGTCAGAATCAGAATGGAGTCAGTCATGTTAAAAAACCAACACACAAACAAAAAACCCTAACATATATAGCTGGAGAAGGCTATGAAGAGAGGGTTCTCATGCTCGTATGCCCAAAAATAAAACCACCACAAAAGACTCTGCAAAAACCACAACTTTGTGCAAAAGCCACCATAACCTTACACAAAAAATACTTCTGCAAGGACATCTGCCCAGCAACTGCCTGTCAACCTCAGACAGGCGCCACCTTGTTATTGATTTTTGTAGCCAAGGATAATTGCCTCAAAACAATTCTGTAATAGTCCTCCTCATTTCTTCTTTAAAAACCCTTGTCTCCCTTTACTTCCCTTAATACGCATATAATTTACTATGGCACGTGTATTCCCATTGCAATACTCGATTCCCAAATAAACATAATTTTCTTTTAGAGAGCCTCTCTCTGCTATTTAGGTTGACATGGGAGGTGCTTTAGATATTTGATTTTCTGCTAATCTTGCAGCAACCTGTAAGGTAGATGTTGTTATATTCTTTTTTCAGAGGTTCAGAGAGATGAAGTAATTTGCCCTACCTCCTGTTGAAAAACATTACCTCAAACCTGAAAATAGGCAAAAAGATGCCTATATATCCTTTCAATATCAAACTGGGCCCAGGGGATTATTAATTCTATTGGAGACTACACCTTTGTTTGATTTACTGTTTACTATTGATTAGGACGAGAGTCTATGAATCTGTGGTTAGCTGGTAGATTTTTGTTTGATAAAAATGCAAATGATTTCTGTTCAATAAAAAGTATAATGTCAGAGGACATTATCTATCTACCTATTTATCTATCTGTAAATATACATTTAGTCTTTTTGATTCTGGAATCAATTTTAAAATCCTAATGCTTCCCTCATTAATAATAAAATTTTACGTGTATCTTCGTATTTTTCTACGACAAAGTTTTGACTTACTATAATTTATACACTGAAGATCTTACAGCTTATAACTGGGAAAGCCAGTATGCAAGCCAGGGCTTTAGCTCTAGAGCTGATGCTTTTGCTCCCACATCCACTCTTTCTGGCCATATGTAGTATACTGCATTACTGAAAGCTTATGTTGAACTAAAAAGCTAGTCCTCCAACGTAGGGGTAGGGAAAAATCTCATTATCAGAAAAACAGTCCGATTTTTCATTTATCTGAGAGGAATGAGATGGAGAAATCCTATCTCTGGATATGAATCTCCTAATATATAAAGACCTTATCACTTGGACCCATACAGTTGCTCCCTCCTGTAAGTTTCTTCCCTCTCCCCGTCCAATAAATAAAGGAATAGAATAGATTATCCACAATTTTGTACTTCGTATACCCCTTCATAGTCTGGGTTATATTGAATGCGTACTGTAAATGACTAGTCACTGTTCCCACCCTCAGCTTCTATCACCATCCCTACGCAACCAATTTCCAGCTCTATACCAAATCCCTATAACCTAAGGCATTTTACAAAAATAGCTATATTCTATAAACTCCAGGAACATACACTCACAAACAGATATGGTAAAATCACACTTGTTCAGTTTAATCAAGAAAGTTTGGACTGAATTAGTGAAAATATGGAATTGTGGAGTATTTTTAAAGAACTGAAGTAGTATTAATTTCAAGTATCTATATGATGGTATTTCAGTTATAAAACTATGCATGGTATTTGTCCTTGGGGACTTAATTAATGGAAAGATAAAAGTGGTATGTAATCAGCTTATCAACAGAAGGAAGAAATGTGAGCATTTCTTAAGTGATTGCAAAGTTTGTTCTCTTAAGCAGGTTAAACAACTCCCAGTTTCCTTGTAACCCTTTCCAGATTCAAATTAATGCAGAGTATCATGTCTTCATAAAAAATATCGACTGAGCTCTTTCAAATCCAAAGCAAGGATGTGTGAACTAAAGAGGTTTTATTGCTTCTACATTTTTTCCTGTAAGTTCCTTCAATTAAAGGAGCTAATTACTTAGTCCACATCCCTGGTAACACCATCTTGAAACAAAATGTTGGACAAGGTCTCCTGACAACCAGTGGCCACCACCCTTTTGCTCAGAAAATGGGGGCTACTGTTGTACCAGCCGGAGCCCAGAGGACACAGGCGGGCAGCTGGCAGCACTGCCTGCTCATGCTAATGATCCCAGTCCAGCGCTTCCCTTCTAGGGAAGAAGGAGGACAGAAGTGGATGCCAAGTTCTTGCACAAGGTCAAACGTTTCTGGAGGAAAGGAGCCAAGGTTAGATTAGCAGTGAGAATGACATAGGAAGCTGGGTGGAGAAAAACACCGGCTGAGGGGGAAAAGTCTGGAAACACAAATGGAGACAGCAGTAAAAAGTAATTACTAACACATTTCCCAACTTGGAAAGCCAGCCACATCCCACACCAGGGCCAGACTCAGAGCTCTTCTGTTCCAAGGAGGTTGGAGCGGGCTCAGGGACAGGAAAGGATTTTGCAAGCCAGCCGCCTCCCTCTCACTGGCTTTGGAACTGTGCGCCCTGAAAAGTGGAATTCATCTTGAAAGAGAAAGCAGAGGACACTTCTGCCTAAATTCTCCATTAAGATACACATTTTCCATACATACAGTGTAGCCATCCTTTCAGTACTACTCAATAGCAAAAGATAATCAACATCGAAACAAAGGAAAGGGAAATCTTTGAGGAGAATGTAAGCTTTTGCAAACCTAAAATATCTTCCTTCTCTGCCTTTTATCAACATCACTGGAGAAGAGAAACTGTTTGTGGGAGGGACAGACCCAAGGAAAGGAGGAGGAGGAGGGAAGAAAGGGGGAGGGAGAAGAGAAGCAATGCTCTCTGGTGTCAGGGAGAAATTCACGACTGGATTGACTGTTTTGACAGTTGATTTTTACTTTTTTTTCCCTCCAACTTCAGAACCATGACAGACAATTGCTGAACATCAAACTAAGGAGTGAACACTTCATCAGATCTGCTTGCCTTAACAACAAAAATAGCCAAAATGTTAAGACAGTCAAACTAGATTGATTGTTTTTGATACAATCTGTGAGTGGTTGACCCAAGAATTCTCAATCTAATCACGCCTATAAATACAGAGACTGTATCCACAGATGCAAAAGCAGCCAGAGGACAAGTGAGAAATTCGTCAGTCACCTGGATGCCTCATCTCTACAATGGCACTGAACAGCATGTGAAGAGACACCCGCAAGGGTCTGTGAGTGGCTTCTGGGCGCTGGGTCTCACAGGAAGCATCTACTTTAAAAGCTGGGAATGCTGATCCTTTCAGTTTCTATCAAGAAGACAAAGTCTGGCTTATAATAGAAAAACAGATTCCCCCAAATCATTGTCTAGAGGTGTTGAATCACACATGAATGTCAGCAAATGATGCCAACTATGGATCACTTTCCTGGGGACTTTATCTGGTGTGAACCAAGAGAATCCTACTTCATGCATTTTTTTAAACATCCACAGATAACTGTTGTGCTGTGTCATAGACCAAAAGGGAAATTACATTTTTCTCATAATTGGATTTGGTACTTGTAGGCTTTCCTGAAGACAAGGAAAAGGAAATTTATTTTAGATTCTTAAAAAACCTTGAACTAAAAAATTTCAATCAGCATATCAGGTGCCTATCTGAATTCAACCACCACTGTGGCAGAGATGGATGACTTCGTGTACCGGTACAGGAGAAAAGGGTTCCTGAAGCTTCATTCTTGTTTGTTTGTTTGGTTGGGCTTTTTCTTTTCATTCTGAGTTCTAAAAAAGTTATTACTTGATAGCTTGGTGGCAATGCAGTCTGTGTTGAGAAAATAGGAATTGATTAAGAAGTGAGAGACTGTGAGAGACTGAAAATGAGTAAGAAAAAAAAAAAGCCTACAAAGCATTTACAGTGTAATTTTCCAATACAGATTTGAGTAGATACTGCATGCACTTAGAAACAGATGCATTGTCAAGCCTTTATTATTGAACAAAGAATAATTTTTGAGTTTCCCCTTTTTAAAAAGAACCCAAGAAAATACAATGCTAAAATCTATATATTAGCACAGCATTCATTTGAATGCCTAATTGCTTGAGACTTGCAAGATTCAGTCTCAACTGGTGGAGGTCCTGACATAGCTAGCATATGGCTGGATGCTAAGGAAGAATGGTTGCAATGATCATTTGTGGAAACAAAACATTAATCTATAAATATCAATTTGCTGGGCTAATTACCAAGGATGTTAACTTGATGTATTGATTATTACAAAATAAATCTGTGGATACATTTAAATGTATGTTTGTCATAGTCTGTTTTGCATTGCTATAACAGAATACAACAGACTGGGTAATTTATTTAAAAAAATATATTTTATACATCTCTGGAGTCTGGGAAGCCTAGGGTCTAAGAGCCACATCTGATGAGGGCCTTCTTGCTGGCTGGGACTCTCTGCAGGCCTCGAGGTGGCACAGGGCATCACATGGCAAGAGGGCTCGTGAGAGACAGCCAAGAAGGCATTTACAGCAAACCGACTCTCATGATAACTAGCCCACTCCCTCAATAACCCATTGATTCATTAATTCATTAATCCACTAATGGATTAACCCATTCATGATGACCTAATTACCCCCAAATGATTCCACCTTTAAAACTGTTGCACTGGGGACCAAATTGCCAACACATGAACTTTTTGGGAACACATTTAAACCACAGCAGTGTTTAAAACCTGGCATCACATCTCCTTAATATGTTTTGTATTTTATAGTACCTCCTACTTTCCTTATTTAAATTGATCCACACCACAGTCCTTTGAGGTAGACATTTCCACTGGACTATGCCAGCTAATATACATTAATATGCTGGCGTGCTTGTATTTCCTTACATCTTGAATTGCTAAGAGCTAAGCTATTCTTTACACAAGAGTGGTTGCTAAATGAACAGGAAAAGGATGTGACCCAAACACAATCCACTCTGAGGCCAGCAAATTATCCCTTTCCTGAGAATTTGAACCAAGAAATTCCCAAAGAGTAAGAGAGTGGTGAGAGCTGATGTTGAAATGTCTTAATGTAGAGAGATGTGGCAGAGGCCATGATGCTAGCTGAAGTTCTAAGAGCAAAAACTATGAGTCAGCGGAAGTGATAAGGAAGAGACAAAGAGACAGCAGAAGGTGATTAGGGAGTAGGAGGGAGAAAATGAAAGGTAGAGAATAGCCAAGTCAGATAGATTCAAGAGCACTAGAGTGAGATTCCATGACCTCCTACTGTTAAGGTCATGAAGATCCACCTCCAGTTCCGGGACAGCTGTAGTTCCTGCTTTTAGTCTGCTTTTCTTTTTTTCTGGCAACCCTTGGTAATACGAATGAGTCTCTATTCCTTGCATTCAAAGGAGTTTTATTAAAAAGCATTGTCATCCTCCATATTGCTATTGAGAAAACTAAAGCAAAGAGAGATTATAGGTCATAACCACACAAGCAGAAAATGGTAGAGCCAAGACACATGCCAAGATTTTTCTAGAATTGGTGCTGATTCCAGTGTATCATACTATAGCAGTTTCCAAAAATGGCCCCCAAATCCTTTGAACCTCCATTCATCAGAAGGTGGTGCCTATGTCCCCCTCCCAGGGGTCTGAATGGGGTCTGTGACATCTCCAACCAATGGAGAATGGTAGAGGTAATGCTGCATGATTTTTGAGGCTAGGTTAGAAAAGACCAAGCAACTTCAACCCTGCCTTCTGGGAATGTTTGTTTTTGAAACCCAGCTACTATGTCATGAGGAAGCCCAACCTAGTCCATGTGGAGAGACTATCTGGAGAGATCCTGAGACTACAGTGGGGAGGGAGAGAGAAAGGAAGGGGGAAAGCGGGAGGGGACTCTGGCCAGTTCTCAGCGGCTCCAGTCTTCCTTTCCTCTCTCTGGCTGTCTTCTTTCGTCTCCCACTATTTTAAGTCCAACAAGTGTTTGACTGCAAGTACACAAGAGACTCAAACCAGATTCACTTGAATGACACCTTCCTGAATTCCTGGATTCCCACAGAAACTACCAATAAAATGATTATTGTTTTAAGCTATGTTTTGAACATAGCAATGAACACTTGGTCTGAGCACTGTTACCAAGTATGTAATATGCTACATCCAGAACCTAAAAAGGCCCACCAGGCATTATGCTTCCTCCTTAGTGGTGGGAGGGGTAATATACAATACTTTGTTCTTTGCCTTGAGAGGGTTGTCATGGCATGCCCAAACCACTAGACCCCATCAAGAAATTTCCTTGATATTTCAGGGCCCTCAATCTTCATTAGATGTATTTTCCACATTCTGCAATTCATATGTCTCACCAAGTCCTCCAAAATGCTTGTGACTTCCTGCTTAAAGTGGAGAAATGTATGGTTCTCAGGAGCTACTGGTCTGGTCACTATACTAGGAGAGAGGGAAAGAGTTAACATAGTCCTGGGGCAAGATCATAAGTATATATTGCTGTTCATTTCAGTGCAGATCAATGGCTGCATGCCATGTGTGGTGTATAGGAGAAAACCAAACCAAAGGGCTTTTTCTATTCTCCCACTCAACAATCAACAACAGATCCCACAGGATGAGGGCTCAGTCCCACAAGACTGCCCCACACTTCAGATGGTAATCACAAGCTCAAGGTTGTCTGACCTCTGCTTCTGACCTACTGTCTGTAAATCAGGGCTCCTGTGACCACCTCCTTGAGTTCAACTAATTTGTTAGGGTAGCTCACAAAACTCAGGGAAATACTTACTTATGCTATCTGGTTTACTATAAAGGATATTACAAAGAAACAGGCGGATGGAAGATATACACAGGGCAAGGAATGGGAGAGGAGGAGCTTCCATGCCATCTCTGGGCACACCATCCTCCAGGGATCTCCATGTGTTCTGCTATCTGTATGCCCACTCAAACCCTGTCCTTTTGGGTTTTTATAGAGGCTTCATTACACAGGCATAATTGATTATATCATTGACCATTAGTGATGAACTCAACTTTCAGCCACTCTCCTTTCCCTGGAGGTCAGGGGCTGGGGCTGAAACTTCCAACCTTCTAATCCCATAGTTGGTTCCCTGATAACTGGCTCTTATCTTGAGGCTATGCAAAAGCCCACCAAGAGTCACCTTATTAGAGCAAAAGAAGCTCCTGTCGCCCAGAAAATGCCAAAGGACTTAGGAGCGCTGGGTCAGGATCCAGAGTCAAAGACCAAATATTAAAATACAAGATGCTTGTAGCACCCCTATTCATCAGGAAATTATGAAGGCTTGAGGAGCTCTGTGCCAAGGACTGCTGGCAGAAACCAATATGTGTATTTCTTATCAGTTTCACAGCATGTATTAGACACCGTGTTAACTTGCTCTAGCAAAGACACCACAATTTGTACAGCAGCTACAATTGGGGCTGCTACTTGGTAGAATTGTCGGTTGCCCAAAAATTCATACCAAGAAGCCACATGGCTTTTATAGATGTAAGACTGGTCAATTAAATAGGGATAGGGTGTGGCTTCTAACCCTGCATCCTTTTGATCTTCAAGATGGACTCTAATCTCTGTCATTTCCTCCAGGATGCAATATTGTTTTTGATTTAATGTGTTGTCCAGAGTTGATGGAGTAGTATCAGAGGCTTCTTTGGGCTTTCCCATTATAATTCTTACCTTATAGGCCAGAAAACCAATAGAGGGGTTCTGTCAATTGCTTCTTCTAATTAGGTATTCAGAAACTAGGGAAATGACCACTGGTTGGGCCCATACACGTAGTTGATCTACTATGAGCCAATTTTTATCCAGAGTCCTCATTTGCACCCTTTAAAATAGGTGTGTTTGTGTGTGTGTATGTGTGTGTGTGTGTGTATGAGTGTGTACCTGATGATGCTTTGGGCCCCCAGGTGTTAATGTTAACACTCAGTTCTTGAAAGGCTTAAGTGTTCCCCTTTCCCCAGTACATTGTTACCTAAGTAGATGATTGTAGATCCTTTTGGAGAAGGACAGGAAGAATCATTAAAAATTAAAACTTGCCATGATTTTGCAGTCTCTTTCTGATGAGACACAGCCTTTCCTTCAGTCATGTGGGCTCAGGGTTGAGAACAGGACCAGGTACAGAAACTCAGCAAGAAACTGTGACATTTTATTGGGACAGCAGCCCTCAGCCTTTGTTTCTTTTTGTTGTGTAGATTGAGAAATAACCACGTTGCCTGTTCATTGTATCTTGACCCTGGAAACGCTGTTTTCTATTAACTGTCTCTATAGCACTATGTGAGTCATACCACCCTCCCCCAGCCTGGCCACTCTTTACAGTGATTGAGCTCACCTTGCTTTTGATAGCTAAGTGCTACCATCTGTTCTCTATTTTGTTTTAGGCATCTATCAGTGCTTTGCTATCTGAAAGCCCATTTTGGGGACAGCATCTTCCAAAATCAATCCTGATCTACAGAGGTCAGCCACGACCGAGATTCTTAACAATACTGGTCTCCCTAGTGCATCCCATTTAACTTTGGTAAATGGAATGTCCTCTGAACTCTGTCGCAGAACATAATCAGCTAACAGGTTTTCTGACATTGCAAAATATACCTGCTTCAATATGCTCAATTTCCATCCTTTTCTTCATCATTTGCCCCAATAATGTTGGTATGTCTCTTGAGGTTTTTGCCAGGGTCAGGAATTCTGTACTAAAGATGAGCACACCAATAATAAAGTATCCTTAATCCAACATTATATTCTACCTCCTTTAATCCAGCACCTCCAAGAAGCCAGTCCATTTATATTCTGTTGGCCTTTGCCAGTAAATGTTGGCTAGGTCCTTCAGCTCCTTAGTGTACAATCCCTTTCTTTGCTTTGCAATCCCAGCACTTCCTCAACCGAGTTATGTTGTGGCTTGACCCTACATTGTTATTCTGGTGATTAGCAGGGGAGATGGGGTGAATTCTTAGGGTTGCATGTTGTCTTGCAAGGCAGAGGCTTCTGCAACAACTTCAAGTAAGGAGGAAGCACTAGCATTTAACAGAAAAGAAGGTGCTTTTCTTTTTACTAGTCCCAGAGAACCCAGAAAAATCTGAGATTTTAGATTCCTCAGCCTAAATCTCATGGTCCCACTCTTTCCCACTTGACTTTGGTGCAGACAACCTGTTGAGCTGAGATTTCAACCTCCAGGAAGCTCTGCTACTCTTCCACTTAAATTGTGGTCCTGACCCTCAGCTTTTTCTGTCTTCCTGCTGCAGAAGAGTCTTGAAATACTGCCAAGGAGGTCCTCTGGCTTCCATACTTGGTTTCCCCTGTTGGTTAGTTGTCTTCAGCTTTTCATTGATTTTCTCTAATCCATGGATGGCCCCTAGCAAGTCTTCCAAATCCAAAGTCCTAATAGTTTTATTTACCACAAAGTTCTCTGATGCCAGAAATACTGCACTTGCTACTGTATTCCCTTCCACCAATATCCCATCCCAGTTCACCCCATAAACTTAACAATTGTACTGCAAGTACATGCCAAGGGCTATTCATGCTTCATATCCCACCAATGGTGGAGTCATCATTTCCAGGAGGCCCAAGTCTGCTCTCTCAAGCCACTTTTGGTACCATCTTTGACAGGTCAAGTTTTCAAGGAGACAGACTCTGATAGTATTAGATTTCCATGCAGAAGGTTTATTGAGAGCATACTTTTGAGAATAATAGCCATAAGAGGTAAGGGAAAAGTATTGGGCCTAGTAAGAAATGGAACTGTAATGCAATTACAACAAAGGCCTCAGCCAAGCTTATGAGGACTTCTGGAAAAGAGATGGTCTGTCAGAGCTGTTCTGCCCTGAGGAAGAGGTGTTGGACTTCTCCTTTAGCCAAACATTCTTCTGCCAGAGAGGGGAGGATGATCTTGGTGGAGGCAACTATCTGGCTGTTGCCAGTTGCTAGAGAGGAACTCAGCCAAGAGTGCCCAGAATCTAGGGAAGTGGGAACTTTGGTTCGAAAGAGGGATCTGATTGGCACACCATAACTTCCATTATAAGGATCCACAAGATAAAAACTATTTTCCAACTCTGATTTAGGCCTACAAAACACTCCTGACAGATGGACCGTGTACCCCATTTTAGACATGGCAGAGCAACAGAATGGGCAGAATTAGAGAGTGGCAATACCGTGAGACAAACACTCTCAATAAGAATTCTAGGTCCTGACTTCCTATCTTCCATTAGGTGATTCTGAACATTTGGCATTACGTGATCCCACAGCACAGGGGAAGTGGTGCTCTAGGCTTTCCAGGAGGTTCTCAGATCAGACTAGATACATTGCTCAAGTCCAAATGCTCTGTGAAGTAGAGGAAAGCCTACCAAAGCAACAAGGTTTGGACTTTTATCATCATTTGGGCCACAGTCATAGGTGGCATCAGGGTGTTGTGGGGAAATCCACTGCCCTTGTAACCAGAAGATAAAGATGTTTGGAGTCCAGCCCTGGCTTTGCCGTTCCGTTCGTTAGCTAAGTTGTGGTGAGCAAGTCACTTAATCTCTCTGCATCTCAATTTTCCAATTGTGAAACAAACAGATAATATGCCATAGTTATGTTACACTCATTTTTCACGTGGCTGTAACAGCCAGAGGAGCAACGTTTATGAAATAGGAAGCACTATTATTGTTTTGGTTAAAAGGGGAATTTCTTCAAGGATTGTAACAAGGGCTCTAAATTGACTTTATTTTTGTACCTCACTAGCTTTGTATTCCTAATGGGCAAATATTTCCAAATTATGCTTACTATTTTACATTAAAATGGTTGTTTTCTCCTCTCTACAGGATGCTAAAGGTAAACCCAAAAGAAACCTTGCCAGCTGTGCCTCACTGACAATCAGTCTAGGATGCTTTGATTTGGAAACCTCCCCCGTGATGGTATAGAAAGGACCAACTTCAAACAAATCACTTAATAATAGGAGATGGCCACTTTCCACAATAGCAACCATAAGTAAAACCATGCATAATGCTCATGAGTTTCCCAGGAAGGCAATCCTTTAAAAGAGAGGGTGGAAACAGGAGGGGTAAGAGAGTGAAGAGGGAGTCAGGCGGGACTGACAATGATACCTTATATTCATACAGATTTTTCCCTCCATTGATTCCCAAGCATTTGGCAAACTTTAATTGGCTAATCCTCACATATCCCTTTGAGTTTAAGTAGGCGGCAAGTATTATCTCTAATTTTCAAATGGAGGAATGAAGGTACAAAGAGCTTAAGTGCCTTGCCTAAGGTCACAAACATGAGCTAGTGAGAAAGCTGAGAACCAATAAGACTTACAGGGCCCCTAACTCCTAATCAACAGCCTGAACTCTGAGGCCTCACCCTGCAGAATCGTTTGGTCTTTTCTTGATCTTTCTGAAGCAAAATCCTTGACAATTCATTTTACTAAAGGCGGAAGATATGGCATCTTTATTCCAATATAGCACTTGCTTTGGATCAAAGGAAAGATACATATTTTCAGGCGTGATGAACTTTTCCACAGTTATGCAATGCTCAATGCAGGCAGAAAAGAAGACACGTGTGTGTGTGTGTGTGTGTGTGCGCGTGTGTGTTTCATTTTCAAGAAGGACATTGATGTCCTTTTCTGGTGCTGCACATTCTTTGAATCCAGCAGCAAGGCAGGGCCTGTGAACAAAACCCTTTCTATTCACTTCAAACTGAAGTATCTTTGCTAGACATTCTTTAGAGAATTCTCAGCTTTGTCTAACAGATTACCAAGGCTTCTCTTCAAACTACCCGGCTGACCCCTGTTCATCTAGTAGCCTTAGTGTTGCCAGGAGAAACAGATTGTCCTCACAGGATTAAAGCTTGCTGTGGGGTGTAAGACAGTTTTGTATCTTAAAAAATATATACCCTGGCAAGAATTGCAAAAAGTCTTTAGGTATACATGCAAGCAGAAAATCTATGAGTCAACAATAACAGAATTATTTCACCTTATCGAGACTCATAGAACACTGGACACTTTAGAGCCCAGTCTTTGTGTGAAGAAAATGAAATTTTCACCCAGGTGTGGTTAAGTGCAGTGTTGTGTTCAGGAAACCCTGCTCTTACTGTGGCCCTGAGCCTCATCACAGTCCTGAGGCCCTCGGCTCAAGGCCCACAACACCGGTGATGCTAGCACGTCCTCCTAAGGAAGTAAAAACCTGAGTTCCTCTGAATTGGAAGTGCAGAGGGAGAAAGAATAGGGGGATATTTTGGAGGGAAGAAGGGAAGAGAAAAGGCAAATTGAAAAAGGACAATTTGTGCCATAACAAATTGATAACAATCCCCAAGCCCCATATTTAAGCCAAATTACACCCAATTTCCGATGCGAGAGTGAACATGTAGTTAGTCCAAGGCTCACTTCTCTTGATCCCAGAGGTCCCAGGTTGAGGGCAACTCTGACAATCACTATATCCAAGGCCTTGGGTCACATTTTTGATATTTATGGGTCTTAGTTTCCTCATAAATCCCACAAGGGAATGAGGGAGTCTGAAGGCTCTCTCTCTTAGTCTCTGAGTGACCAGCAGCCAAAACAATCCCTCAGTCCTCCTTTCCTCTTCACTTCCTTGCTTCTGATTGGCTGGTAGCCTGTGCTAATGCCCGGATACTATTCAGATGGGTTACCTGGCCATTTTGTTTCTTGCCTTCTAGGAATCTCTTCTTCCCTCCGTTGGCTGCTCAGAGCTGTTTAGGTCCATCTCCTGGGAAAGAGGGAGAGAGAGTACTTGGGGGAAAGGCAGGAAACTGTCTGTGTTGTTGCTCATGCCTGTGGAGCAGGCCCTTTGCGTATCTAAGTTCGTGGTACAGATGAGGAAACTGAAAGTCAGAGGAGAGAAAATTATTTCTGAGATCACGCAGTCATAGAATAGAGTTAGGACTGACAATGTAAATTGTGGGGCCAAGTGCAAAAGAAAATTGTGAGGCCCCTTGTTCAGACATTATTATTTTTATTTATTTATCTATCTATTTGTTTACTTATTTATTTTTTCTATTCGAGACAGGGCCTTCCTCCGTCACCCAGGCTGGAGTGCAGTGGCATGTCACAGCTCACTGTAGCCTCGAACTCCTGAGCTCATGAGATCCTCCCGCCTTAGCTTCCCACAGTGTTGCAATTACAGGCATGCACCGCCACACCCAGTCTCAGATATTATTAAAAATTTCAGGACATGACAGCAGAGCATGAAACCAAGGACAGGAACCTTCTGCGTTCAGGCCCTCTGTGAGTGCTCAGGGTGTAAGTCACCCGGAGTAGATTCAAAACATGAACCCTGCTGTCTCCTGTGGACATGGTGTCAGGATTTCCTCCACTTGCTGCTCCTAATCCACTCCCCACACTCCTCTACCTTGCTCTGTGCCCAGGAAGTTGGCCTCTCGGACTTGGCCTCTGGCTTCTTGTTGGCTTGCCTGGAGGGTGGGGAAAGTGGGAGCTTTCTTACCCCTGGGCTGCTGTTTAGTGGTTGCTGTGTTCTCTCTCTCTCCAGCTCAGGGACCAAGCTGACAGTCAAGGCTCCTGTAGATTTAGGTAATGACTCCCCTCCCTTACCCCTTCAGGCCTAAGAGTCCTCTGTTCCTAGTCCCAATGCTCTTCTCCATCCTTCCACGCTGTCCATGCTGTTGCAAATAGTCCTCTTTTAAGAGTGACATCTGTTTTCTTACAGGGTATCCCACTGGGCTTTCCCAGTGACTCTTCCCTTTTCTTTGGGAAACTGTACACTGCTTTTTCTTGGGAGAGCTCCTGTTCTGCCCCCAGGTACCCTGAGGTCACAGGACTTGAGCCTGGTCAATCAGCATCCCTGGTCTCCCTTGCCACATTGACTCTTCAGGGAGGACTCCTCTCTCCCAGGGAAGTTTCTGTTAGAATTGATGGAGGAGGTAAGGGACTGTCTCTTACCTTCTAGGAGTCAGCAACTTTTTTCTATAAAGGGCCAGATAGTAAATATTTCAGGCTTTGCAGGCCATATGGTCCTGTCTCATAGCCTTCATTATTTGTTTGCTTTTTCACAACCTTATAAAAATTTAATATCATTTTAACTTGCCAGGTGTGGGAGTGGGGGGGTATACAGAAACAGGCTACTAGGCCAGTAGGTTGCTGACCCCTTAGGGTCATATTAGAGAAAAAATGAGACAAAGAAAGACTCATAGCCCTCTTTTCTGGTAGAATAAAGGAAGCCAGCACACCACCATTTAATGAGGTTTCATTATAACCAAATACATGCAAACATGTAAGTGTGTAGGTGTGATATAGATCCATATATACACACACACAGCAAGGAGAGAAACTCCTGGAAACATTAAGATCCCCATTACAATTCATAAGTTTCTGGTTCTATAACTCTTTCTTCTACCTGTGAGCCACCCAGCATTCTTCCTAGTTACCAAGCCAATCTGAGCTGGTTTGAGTTGGTTTTGTATTACTTGGAAATGACCAAATCCCTGCTACCATATCATACTATCTCCAGAACCCACAGTCAGCCCCTCCTTTGATTCTAGTGGTTGCCAGAGCAATTCCATGCAGCCCATGAACTACATAGTTCTTGGTCAAGGCTACTTGATGAGGCCCACTCTGGCTGAAAGTTTCATACCGTGAACATATATATCTTCTAGAATGGAAAATCGGAAAAATAGAAAATAATTACAAAAAATGAATGTGGACTGAACTCCCTTTGCACAAACATTTAGAGTGATAGCTCACAGTTCAGGGGGCATTGCTGCTTCCAAACAGGGTCTCCATGGCATCGCATGTGGGAACCAGAGGCCTGGGACCAAGAAACCAAGACTTTACCAGCAGCAGCTGTCTCTGCCTCTAATTCAGTCAGTCCTGATGAAGTGGTAGCTCTCTGGCAAGTATGCATTGCAAGTCATGTTCAGAAATTGCTGTTGCAAATAGCCTGGTGTCCTGCCCACGCAGCTGAAATAAAGGGGCATCAAAAAGGCAGGGCCTGTGGCATTCACTGAAGAGGGGACGCCAGGCGTTACCTGGACCAGCTCCATCAGTGCAGGGACTGATTTCCAGAAGAAGGCAGATTCCCATGGTGTGTCTGCTGGGGAATCTTTTTTCCTTAGAAGAAATGTTTAGGCAGAGAAATGCATAAAAAGCTAACATATAGCCTCACCCATGACTAGAATAAAAGGGGCTGGAGTGGTGAACTGTTTAAAATAATTCTTCCCCTTTTTCAGATATAGGAAAGCAAAATGGTTATGAGACAGGAGTTAAACATAGTGATAGTGAAACTCAATGTCAAATATTCTACCTCATTGTTTCCATTAGATGAATTCATATTTGATTTGGCTATGTGCCAAGATTTGGGTTGTAGAAAAAAATGTTGAACACAGGAGAGATTGTCCTGAAAAAAGCATTGTGACTGGGTGGGTTGGCCCTTCCAGGAAGCCAGGGAGTGTTGACTAGACTGCAGCACTTCCCAAACGTTAATGTGTAGGAACTTCCCGGAGATCTTGCTAAAATGCAGATTCTGACGCATTTCTAACAAGCTCCCTGTGATGCAGAAGCAGCTGATCTGTGGGTACATTATGAGTAGCAAGGGACTAGAGGATAATAGTGTCTTAATGCTGGTGGCATTTGTCACTAATAAATGTTAACAATAGCTACCATGTACTGCGTGCCAACTATGAGACATGAAGTCACAGAGCTAGTAAGGAAGGTTGCTAGAAACTGTCTCTGAAATGTATGCTCTTGCCACCACTCCAAGCCGGCTCACTGCAGGGTACTGGGGTGAGTGGGAATGCTCTAGCCCTCACAATCCAACTCGAGACCCAGACCCCTTGCAGCCCGGGAGCCGGTAGTCCAGGGGTAGCACCTGGAGCTCCCCTCTGAGCAGACACTTGGCCAAGTTCAGTGAAAAACATTCCAGGCTTAAAAAAAAAAGTACATCTGGCATTTCCAGACACGGATGAACAAGCTAGCCTTTCTGCTCAGCCAATCTGACTGATTGTGCAGAAGTAGGGTATTAGGATGAATGAAAGTAGGAAAATCTTGATCTGATTGAAAAATGGTTGTTTGTGTACAAAATACAGTCAAATGATGAACTGCTCCTCCAGGGCAAATGCAGGATGTCTTTGTGCTATCCACAGAGGATAGAAGTTGGTACTGAGTCCTGCCTTTGTTTCTCCACTCGACAGTTAAGAAAACATAGGGCCATGATGAACAAATTATCCAGATGGAAATTGTATTATTTGTCCCTGAAAAGAAGCCTGGATCCCAGAAACTTTTGTGATGTGAGTTTATTGTCTCAGTCTTTGTGCTGATTGGACTCTGGACTGGAATGATTAGGAAGAAATACAATCAGCTTTTCAGAAATGTGTACCTCTGGAAAACCTCACAAAGGAGTTTATTTTCTCCCCTCTCTCTTTGGCCTCCTTTCTGAACAGCTTTTCTTGTAGAGCTCCAGGCAGAAGCAGCTCCAGGCAAATTGGGACTCAAGGGAAATTTCTCTCTGACATTTTCCCACCTCTTCCCATCTGGGTTCTTTCTTCCTACCCTCCACCCCCTCCAGCCTCCTCTACTTCCAATACTGCATCCCATCCACTGGCACAAGGTGTGCATACATTTGCTGGGGGTGGAAGGGATGGGAACAACTACTTGGGTATTGTAGTGATTCATATTTATTTTCTATTTTGATGAAAAATTACCCATTATTTCTTTTTCAGAAGTAGAATCATGACTTATGTTCTATAATTTATCTAACTGATTTCATGTGCAAATTTTAATCAGATTTCTGACAGTTACGTATCACTTTCCTCTTCTGGAAGGATGATGGTGCATGTCTCCCGCTTCTGCCCACCTGTAGCCATCTCTGGGCTTGTAGTTCCACATTGTTCCTCCCTGGGTAGTAATTAGGTACCTGAAGTATTTACTGATGAGAATTCAGGCTGTCCAGACTCCAAAGGCCATAAGGCCTGTGAGGTACTGTCCTGGTGGAAAGGCCTTGAAAGACAGTTAAAGTGGATGGCCCACGTCATTTGCGTCTCTGCTCCATCAGCACAGGGCAGTGTGGGAGACCATGTGAAGACTGATGATCAAAAGCCTCGAGGGTTTAAAGAGTAAGTTGAGGCTCCCTTCTACCGAGGAAGACAGAACTATCTGTGATGAGCACACTCATTCAGCAACAAACTTCATTGAATGGCAAATTAACTGGAAATATTTATCAATGGTGGGGGCAGGGCTGGCCAAAAATTATGAAACTAGTCAATAAATCATGGTATTGCCATGACAATAAAGCCATTAAAATAATACGTTAGAGCTGCATGAGCTGTTAGGCAGAGGTCTCTAAGCATATTGTTGAATGAAAAAGGTAAAACATGCGTAATTTGCTGCCATTTGCTCTTCAAAAACCATAAGTATATCATACATATATTTATGTATGCATATAACATTTCCGGAGTAATACATAAGAAAATATTAATAATGATTGTCATTGATAAGGGAAGCTAGTGTTTTTTATAATACTCTTGCTATTATTAATAATAATATTAGTTGATATTTATTGAGTACTTACCCTGTAGCAGACAGTGTTCTAAGTACTTGGCATGTATCACCTCATTTAAACATCCAAAATCCCACAGGACAAATTTTAATTTACCTTTCCATAAACTTTAGTTCATCTTTACCTTACCTTTGTATAAATGGGGGTACAGAGATGCCAAGTGACTTGCCCAAGGTCACACAGGTAGCTGTTCCAACTACTTGGGAGGCTGAGGAAGGAGAATAGCTTGGGCCCAGGAGGTGGAGGCTGCAGTGAGCTGTGATTGTGCCACTGCACTCCAGCCTGGGCAACAGAGTGAGACCCTGTCTGAAAATAAAAAAGAGACAGAGAGAGATAATACTGCCAGATCCCAACCTCCTTTGATAACCATGAGATAAAAGATTCTTGTGGGTGTTTAGGAATGAGGCCTTTACCAAAAGGCAATAGGAGACATGGAAGAAGAAGAGCATCATCAAATTTGTGTTTCAGAAAAATGTCCCTGATTGAAGGATTCCACAGGCTTTGGAGATGTGAGAAAACTGGAGGCAGAGAAAATAATTAGGAGGTTGTTACTAGAATGCCAGTAAGAAATTATGAGAATTTAGAAGAGAGCAGTGGGGAGGTAGAAAGGAGATTAAACACGATGAAGGAGATATTATTAACTTATGTGTCTATCAACTGAGACGGAGGATTTAAGAGAGAACAGCTACGAATATTCCCTTGGGTAGAATTTGGTGACTTTGGATAATGGAGGCACTTGCCACAGGGATATAGAATGAGCAGGTCTGAAGTGGGGAACAATGATGCCATTTTGGACATCACAGATTTGGGGTACATTTGTCACATCCAAATGAGGATGTCTGATAGGTCAGAAGAGAAGCTGAATTGGAGATGCATATTTGAGAATTATCCAGGCATGTGCAGTAGTTGAAGTCAAGGGCATCCAATGAGTCTAGCTGACTTAGGCAACTGATGTGCACCTCACATTGCCTCCTTGGGCAAAAAGAATCGTTAGGTGAATCATCTGAAATTGCCAATATTTAACTGCTTTTTGACCAATGAGAAAGGAATTTCAAATGATTCATACTAAAAGTAGTCCCATCTTTATGCCTTATTACTTTATATCTTATATTACTTTCATTCTCACCATCTGCAAATAGGGATTTAGATCATCGATCTCCTGCTTGAGTAGAGGGAGGAATGGAAGAGGCAGGTGGGCTGTGGGGTGGAAACTGGGAAGTAAGACATCATCCTTAAAATATGAGGGTCTTGGCAGAGTCAGCCAGGAGAAGGTCAGCCCACAGTGAGACAGGGAGCTGTCAGTGAACCGTTCCGCTATGCAGTTAAGGAGGGATTTATTTTTGGGATAGAGTTCCTACAAACCTTAAGGAGAAACAGACCCTTCTATCTTCTTTATAGGGAAACCCAGAGAGATAGGAAGAGAGTTGTTAGCAAAAGAGCAGTGTGCAGGTAGGTCAAAAGCATTTTGGCTTGAAGAAGCTAGGTGATGAGCCGATATTTTCCAGGCCTGAGCTTACCTTATTAGGAATGGTCCAGCCTCTCTCTTTAGGCAAAGGAGAAGAATTCAGCAAGCCAGCTACACCTTAGAGCAAACAAATGTGCCCTTGCAATCCAAGTATAAGGCTTCTCTGCATAAAGATTCGCATCCTTCTAGAGTACTTTGAGAAAGAGGGAGTTTATCCAATGTTTTCTACTGAGCTATCTGCTGGGCAGATGTTCCTTCATATTATGTGTTCTTTTTTGCTGTTCTTCCGACCACATTCACATTACTGATGGTCACAGCCTCAAACACCTGGACTCCAGCCTCCCTTAATAGAAAGCTGCTTTCCACATGTGGTCAGTAATAAAAGGATAAATGTGGAAGTTAGCCACACTTCCCTTTACTGTCCTTACTTCTAGCGTCCAAAATGCTACTATATGGGAGAGGCAGCATCATTATACAAAATGTTCCTTAAGGGTTGTGTATAACTAAAAGGACGTTGTGCTGGGGGACAGGGATTTTTATTTTGCCTACATGTTTTTTAGGGAAGAGAATGTTCTACGAATATCTTACATTTCTTCAAAGTCAGGGTCCTCTGAACAAAGATATTTACAGCCAAATTGAGAACACTTGTATAAGGAGATATTCCAAGATAGTAAACCTTAGAGAGGTTTCCCTCTCTGGAGATGTTTCAAGGTAGTATAGATAAAAGCCTACATGTCCTTCACCCAAAGAAGGGCAGCTTAAATTTCAGAGTAAAGATAATACTTTTGTTTCTCTGGATAGTATGATGTGCAGGTCACTCGCGGCTCTATATAAGACCAGAGTTTGCTAATTGTGGGGTTTCTCTCCAATAACATACCCCACTGTGCATATAGGTGCCATTTGGCCTTCACTGCATAGCTCTGTGGGGGATATTACTCTAACCTGCTGATTTTGCTAACAGTAATAAAAGATCTTTGCCTCTGACCCAGAGATCTCATATTTTATGTATGTGTGTGTATACATATATATCTATGTATTTATATATATATATATATGTTTATTTATCTGTGTGTATGCATATCAATCTGTTAAATTTATACATTGTATATATGTGTGTTTGGGCATCACAGATTTGGGGTACGTTTGTCACATCCAAATGAGGATGTCTGATAGGTCAGAAGAGAAGCTGAATTGGAGATGCATATTTGAGAATTATCCAGGCGTGTGCAGTAGTTGAAGTCAAGGGCATCCAATGAGTCTAGCTGACTTGGGCAACTGATGTGAGGTCACATTGCCTCCTTAGGCAAAAAGAACCATTAGGTGAAAACTGTGGCCAGCTAACCTGTTAGCTTGGAAGTGAGACAAAATCTCTGACCCTTCACAAATTCTCACTTAACAATTTTATATGTAGATCACCTCCAAGCAAATCTGCTCCCCAGCTAGAAGGAGTACCCTGACCTAGAATCCATCCCATCCTTCCCTCAGGAAACAGTGGGGATAGGGACTTTTAGGATACTTCAGAAAGCATTTTTTGCACTCCAAGTCCAGGACTATTTGTGGTGTTTCCTATAGGATGAAGTACAGATTGTCTCCTCACTATGCAAGCTCATCCAATAGGTTGTCACTGAATCAAGTGCATCATATTCTTGCAGGTAGATAAGGTCCTAGAGAAATCAT
The DNA here is from genome assembly GCF_000001405.40 of Homo sapiens. Classification (NCBI taxonomy): domain Eukaryota; kingdom Metazoa; phylum Chordata; class Mammalia; order Primates; family Hominidae; genus Homo; species Homo sapiens. Next base: position 107,975,507 of record NC_000003.12, read on the forward strand.
TAATTATCAGAGACAGAAATTTCTGAATCTTAACTGAGGAGGAGACACTCTTTCTAATGGCAGCACTAATTTTGCACAACTAACTCTTCCTCTAGCAACCTTAGCACTTGACATCTACCTGCAAAGCAGACTTCAGCAACCCTTTGTTCCTCTTCCAGTTCCAGACCATGCCTCAGGGCCTGCAGATGCCAAAGAAAGGACCACTCCTCAGGCACCACCACATCATGGCAACATCTCAGCAGCTCAAAGACGTGGCAGCTGTGTGTGTGTGATTGTACAGAAAAGCTTCAGCAGCTTTGAAATTACTGTGTGCTTGTACAGAAATGCTTTCTAATTACAGCCCGGCTTCCCCTCCCCACCTAGAACATTCTGCAACTCCCAACAATTCTCACTACTCAGAGGTTCAAGCAGTTGAGGGACTTTAAGCTCTATTAACTTTATAGAAAATCTATGTCTGTTTGTATGTCTTTCTTTTGCTGAAGCTGTTTCATTGAAGTCCCCCCACACTTTCAAAATTTAAAAGGAAGCAATGCTAACAGGAAGTAATGCTTTGTAAGTAGGTCATCATATTTCTGATCAGGGCACACTTAAGAAAATTTATTTTGTAGAGGCAGGTTCTTGCTGTGTTGCCCAGGCTGATCTCAAACTCCTTGCCTCAAGCGATCCTCCTGCCTTGGCCTCCAAAAATGCTGGGCATGAGCCACTGCCTGGCATCAGGGTCCACTTTTGATGCACTCAAATTATTACCTCTCCAATCCCCACCCCCTCACCGCCTCACATCCCCACATATACATAGTTGCTTATCTCCATCTAACAAAGCCAGCCTGCACTGTGCATGAGATAGTGATCTATATGGAAGATTCCAGACTTGCCTTTATGGAGACAGCAAGACTGTTCTGATGACCACCTCCGTATTTATTTTTCCTCCAGGATGAAATTTACTCTAACTTCCCAGTTGTCTGCCCTGTCATCCACTAATAGAAAAGATCTTGTGTTAATCCTACCTTTTCCGTCCAGGAAGGAAAAAAAGAGCTCATCCCAGCCTGTTGTGCAGCACCACCTGCCCGTTTGTCCATAGCCAAGCAATGATGGATCTGTGCTAGGGGGATGAATGGGAATTGTGTTTATTTTATGAGCTGCAGAAAGTTGGCTAGGGAACCCAGCAGGAGGCTTAACTGGAAAAAAATGATTTTATCTTATGCTGTGTATCTGCTGTCTAGAAAAATATATGGCATTATCCTGGCTTGAAATTGGGAAAGAAAATAAAGGAGGACGGACTTTTTTTTTTTTCCAAATACTGGATTTGAGGGATTAACTTCAGGTAGGTCTTTCTCTGTTTTTGGGGATGACCTGCTCAAACCAAGGGCCCTCTGCTCAAACTGGGTGGTGGCAGGAAGGGAGTGTGAGCCACGCAGGGACAGGGGCCTGGCAGAGGGTCCCCAGGCCAGTGCTCAGTGACCTGGAGAGAGTCCCACACTATTTGCAACCTTTTGGATGAGGGGAGGGTGCAGCTGTCCTCAAGAATTGAGAGTTTTTCTCATGGCAATATTATGATTTGTTTTCTCTTGGAAGTCACCACACTTACCTTCATGAGAATTTAGCTAAACAATTTAATATGGAACTGCTTTAGAGGATGTTATAAAGAAAAGCTCATTGTTGAAGTCTGTACTTTTAAATTTGATCGATTGATTGATCCATTGATTGGTCACAGTGTCTGAGTTGCTTTCTTGCTAAAGCAGTTCCCCTAAGTTTTACTTTGCACAAGGTCCAGATTGACTCAGGTTGTGAGAAGAGGGTTTTGGTGTGGACATTTGAAAAATATCTCACTTGCAATTCCTGGCTGGAAAACTACTGGGAAGGGGGACATAGTGAGAAAAGGATCTTATTGATGAAAAGAAACAGCGCCAACAGAGTCAAGGCCAGATGGGATTTCGTTCTTAATGTAGTAACTGTATGTCTTGTTTCTCACTCTCTTTACGCCATATGAGAGGCGACAGATACGGCAGAAAAATACAGAGGGCAATGGCAGTAGCGTGGGAACATTAGAAAGACAAGTAAAAATCGTGCCTTTAAGTTGCTCTTGCAGCCCAAGCAGTGGTCCTTGACCATGACGGAAGAGCTGAGGACCCCTGCTAACCCTGGTAGCATCTTTATACAAATTAGAAAATGTCCCCTTTCCTCCAGGAGGTCAGGCAGGGTGAGAGAGGAAGGGCTGAATTTCAGCCTCTCTGCAGTCCCTTGGGAAAATGCCCTTGTGCAGTAACAGCCTGTAGACCTGGGAGAGAAGCCCCCAGTGGCTGAGGAAAGACTCATGAACTTGAATGTCTTCCCTGGGATCAGTCTTCCTGGGAGTCCCAGCCCTCCTGGCTGGAACACAGCTCCAGGACTTCTGGGCAACCCAATTAGATGAGGGCAAATATCACAGCCACAGAATATCTTTTTATTTTTTTCTTCAGTAAGAAGCCCTTTCCCCTCAGAGGCCACTGTAATTAACCCAAGAGAGAATAAGCCATGCTTCCAGCCCAAGAAGCAGCTGCCATCAGGGTTTGACATATTTAAACTGAAAATCTGTTTTCGGGGCTCACCCAATGTATATGTCCCTCCATGTGAAAACCTTATAGTTGGTGTTTAAAAAGGAAAGAAAGAAAAGAAAAGCCACATTTGTAGTCCATCTGCCTTTATCCCCTTCCTCCTAGATCCACACCAAGTCTAACCATACAATATTCTATATGAGGGAGTTTCTCTGCTCATTAAGGAATTAGACAATGACAATCCTATTGCCTGTGCCAGGGTGGGCGCCGGCTGCAAGCTCCTTTGTCTAAATGCCACAAATTGTTACAGTTTTGCTCTGCACTTTGGGTGTTGGCGTCATCACCCTTTAATTGGCCAGAAGACTCTGCTGTAACATTCAAAAGGAATAACAACATTCTCAGTCCCTGTCCAGTTTTCAATATAATTATTTGTCAGAATCATATTAACCTGCTGTATGACAAACCCATAAAATAGATTCATTTAGGTCTCCAGGAGTCCTCCCTCATTAACTCTGATATTTATAGCCATGGCTTCAGTGCTATAGTTCTTCCTCCTGTGAAACACTGAGCAAGGATGTCAGATTTCTCTGGCGCTATTAGAGGAGTTGTTTGTTTTCCAGTGTTGCAAAGAGGAACAGAAGAAACCTAGCCATGGGTCCAGGCCCCTGCGAAACCTGATTGGCTCTTCTGCCCATTCCTCTCTTTTTAGGGAAGGGGAAGAGAGCTAAAACTAGACGCTTGCACACAAATCCTACACATTTAATAACTTGCCCAAGGTAATAAGGTAGAACTAATTAGACTGAGTTATTCAGAAAGCTGGTTCTGAAATGTGACTTCCTGGGATCAAAGTCTGGCTTTACCACTTCCTAGCTTGGGTAAATTGCTATATTTCCTTTGACTTTGGCTTCCTGATTTTAAGAGAAGGGTAATAATAGTTCCTAACTCATGGGGTTTTTGTGGGGGGTTCAATAAATTAATGTTAAGTTATTAGAATAATCTGTGGCACATAATAAGTGAAAAATAAGTGTAACTTAAAAGTGTGACTATAATTAATAACATTACCGTGAGCCACAGCTAAGCCAAGTTTTCACCTGCAGGTGTATGCCCTAGGCCAGTTGGCTTCACATTGTGTTTTAGGGATCCCTGGGATTGGGTGGAGATGGCTCAGGCTCCCCAGAGATAGAGGTCTCTTAGCTGTGGACAGCCTGGTGGGTAAAACTCATCAGAAAAGACACCCCCATCCTCCAGCCAGAGCCTTGGCATTTTTATCCATTCAATGTATTGGAATTCTAGATAAGTTCTCATTTAAAGAATGGGTTCTAAGCTCACAACAAATGGAAAACTGTGGCTCCAGATATTTGTGACCTGTGCAAGTTCCCCAGCTCATTTTAGTGGCCCTGTGAGCACCTGTCCCTGCTGCTTGCCAGGAGTTCCTCATGGAACTGTGACCATGAGGCCCAGGGAAGTTTCTCTTACTTCTAAATCTTGGGGACTCGCATGGCTACAACTTTGATTTCCTGGCATTGCCAAAGGCTAAGCGTGCTTCTAAGGGGTGTAAATGGCTGTGTTGGAAATGTTGTCCAGGACAACCATGAAAACATGAGCTTTGTTCCATCAGGATTGACAAAGATGGGCTATTAATAATGACAGGGTCTGATTTCATCGAGGTATTTCTCATGCTGCATTCTTCATGGCTGAGCTTGTTCCAGAAATCCAGGGACCATTGTGTTCTCAGATAGTCCACCTGTCTCCCGGAAACCAAGCGTAAGGCATTTGCAATCAGCTCACATTCCTGGCGAGGGCCTTGTTTGACTCCCACAAAGCCCTTCAGGATTGATTCATTAATTCTGAACAATAATGAGAATGCAATGAAGCTCTGTCCACCGATACCAAACAATCTAAGTAAAACACCAATTTCTTCCTGTCATTCATTTCCTCAGAATTTTAGTTTCTCCTCCATACATGTGTTGGATAAAGCCCAAACCTTCAGCCTGGCTTTCAGGCTGACCTAATCAACATTCTTTCTCCCTGCTCCCCCAAAACAAACTTTCTGATAAAACAAATTGGTTTCATCCCCACCATCCAAATCATCTTTTCTCCATCCTCTCCATCTTTCCAGAACAGATTCATTTTCTTAAAACCCATCCCTGGCCCCTTTTTGTTTCTGAGACTCCCTTGACTATTGAAAACAAAATAATTAGTTCCGTCTTTGATCTACAACTGTGCATCCTATCTGCTTTGCTTATTTGGGCCCTTATTCTGTGATGCCAATTGCAGGAGTAAACGGATGATGAACTGGACCAAGGGTCTGACAGGGTCTGATTTCATTGAGGTATTTCAAGGAAGATTGGTTGCAGTTACCAAGACAGGATCCCAAAGAGTGGCAGCTGACCAGGGGACATGGAAGGAGGCTAACCCAATAATCCAGACACCAAAATGTAAATCAGAATGCTCATTATGAAGAGACACAGACCACTCATATCAGCAGAGTGCCGGGTCCCCTGTCCAGGCTCCTTTCTCCTTGCATCAAAATGTCAGGGAAGCTTAATTGGTCATTAGGAGGTTGAGTAGATGTTTTTAACAAAGAAGGCAAATAGTCCTGTAAACTATGATATGGGTTACAGTGAGAGCTGGTTACATACTTCTGCTCCCTAGCAGCCATGAAGACCCTAATGACCAAATGCTCCAGTCTCCCAAATTCAGTGTCTCTCTCCAGTGAATAGTGTCATACCAACAATAAAAGTATCTGCCTCTCTGTTTTGACATTTTTCTAAGCCCCCAAGACTTTTTCCCTCCTGTGACTCATTAATTTTATTCTTTTATTCAAGAAATATTTGTTGAACATCACCTACTATGTGCCAAGTGCTGGGAATACAAAGGTGAACAATACCCTAGATGCTTTCATGCCACTGGTTTTACTATGGCTGAGTTTTGCTGTAGATTTAAAAGCCATTCTTTCTTTCTAAGGTGATTTTGGTGTATCTGATCTGATCCATTTAGGCTTCAATATTGATATCCAGCATAGCACTATTACCTAACTTTCCTGAGTGAAAATCTTATTGCTTCAACAATATTTTAAGCTCCTAGAAGGCAGAGAACAACACTCTTTCTCATGGATCCCTTGTGGTATCTAGGATAACGATGGGTACATAATAGCAGCTAAATATGTGTCTCTTTATAAGAGACATCATGTTTCTTACTAGCCATAAAAAAGGGAGGCAGTCTTATATGATTTTATTTTAGATTCCCAAACCAGTGGTACATAGGTTAAATCCAGCCAGCAGATATGTTGTATTTGGTCTACACAGTGTTTTTGTAATTGAGCCAACATTTTAAACAGTTAGATTTCATATACACACATGTGAGTGTGTGCACATGCAAGAATTCCAAGCTTCTCTGGATTTTCAGCTTTCCTTAAGAAACTGGAAGACCTGCAACCCTTGGCCTTATACCTGATAAGCAAAAATGCTGGCATGAAACTATGCCTGACCACTTCAGGGAGCAAGCCTTCCCAGTATGTTGCAGTCCCTGTCACTCCGTGTCTCATCACACTTAGCCTGCCTCACTTACATAACAGCCTCATCCTGAGGCACTTGAATCTGTGACCTCTGTTGTACACAAAGCCAGGGATATAGGGAAAGGGGAGAGGAAATATCCTCCTCAACACACTGCAAAAGAACAACTCTGCACTGCTGCTGTGTTTCCTGGCACACTGGAGGTGAGGACAGGCTCGCAAGCTGTGCAGTGCACCTTGGCCAGGGGCGATGCTTACAGTGAGCCTTCTCTGGAATGTTGGTTATTCCTGCCGGGCAACATACTGGGGCTCCAAATGGCCTGTCTCCTCTTATCCAAATGATTCCAACCTGCTTCCCAGGCCTTTGGCCAACTTCCCCGAACCCTGTCTCAGCAGCTTCTGGCTCATTGCTCGCTGACACGGCCACCTCTGCTCCTGCCAAGGAAATCTGCTGGCCTTTGCTTCCCCTCCCCACCTCCATCTCACTCAGTTCCTCCTCAGGCCACAGGCATGCCTGAGTGGCAAATGGCAGCAAAGAGGAAGGTGAAAAAGGAAGGAAGAACGGGAGGAAGGGAGCCCGAGAGAAAACATTCAGAGGAGGGAGTTTATGTACATTATCCAAATGGATGTCAGGTCCCTGTCGACAAAGATTTTAATTGTGTGTGGGTATGTCTGTGTGTTGTGTGGGTATGTAGGGTGTGTGTGGTAGTTTATGGGGAGAGGGAATAAAAGGAATAGTACAAATATATTCACAACTATTATTCAAACTAGGGGGAAAAAGCTATAAAGATAATGAGCTTGTGACACAGGAGGCAAACATCATATACAGGTGGAGCTGTTTCCCTGTCAAGACACCAAATATATATATGTGTGTGTGCATGCCTGTTTATGTAGAAATACACACACATGTATGCATTTCTTTTTTAGATTATAGGTTATTTGCCTATTATAGAAACTTGAGAAACAGAATATTTAAAAAAGTAAACATAATGGAATAAAAATCAGAGACCCTTATCACTCAGAGATATAATTTTTAATCTATTTCCCATTTCTATGTATACTGCATATTATTTTATATGGCTGAGAATTTATATTGAATATTAAATTTTGCTAGCTTGCTTTTTTCCTTTTAAAATATCAGACCTCAATGATATTAAAAAAACTATAACCATCATTTTAATAGTTCCATTACATCCATAATGTGGATTTTCATAATTTACTTAATCTCCAATGTTTAAGCATTTAGATTGATAGCACTTTTCGACTTTTATAAGTATCATGCTAGTGAACTATGATCAAGTCACTGCACTCCAGCCTGGGTGAAGGAGTGAGACCCTGTCTTTTAAAAAAAGGAAAATAACACACTAATAATAAACATCTTTAGGCATCGATCTTTGCATTTAGCATTCTTTCTTTCGGATAAGTTTCTAAAAATGGAATTACTGGACAAAGAGTAAAAGTGACTTTAAATTCATGGGGTATGTATTGGTAAATTGCTTTCCTAAAGGTGATACTACTTTATCTTCCCAACATCCTTATATAAAGGTGGACACTAGAAGGATTGCTGAAATTTTCTAGTGGACACACCTAGCTAAGACATCTAACCATCTACAAGAAGGGGTTATTTTATCATATAATTTATACATGACAACAGAATATGTCATTTAAGAATAATCAAAGTCACTAGCTGGAGTTTGCCTATTCCACACCTGCAAATCAGTCTTTCTAAGAGATATATAAGAAACTCCTGGGTTTGTTCTCAGGTACAGCTCTAGGGTCTTCACTACTCCCTAATTCCATCTTTGGTCCCAGCACAAACCCATAGCATGTCACACAATTGCTTGTGGAAGAAGTAGCACCGTCTCTGCCACTGCCAAAGATGGCTGCCTTCCTACCATCCTAGTGGCCAGAGCGGGAAGTCCGTCACTGCCACAGAAGTGCCTTGCAGAGCCTGTGGGGCCCCATTTTATTTCTACTGCCAGTTTCATTACCAAGTCTCTCCCAGTCTTCTTCCAATGTGTGATCATTGTTTCCCCTCCTTTCCATACCAAACATCTCTCTCTGAAATGGAAGAGAAGAAATATCCCTTCAAGTTTACCATAAGTAAGGCAGTGCTGTCTTGTGCCTTCAGATTTTTTTGTATGTTTATTACTGCTGTTATTATATTTTGCTCTGTATCATATAGCCCTTTCTCCTTATAACTTATGGAACTGGTCCAAATGAGGCTGACTTGGTAGCCAATCTGGCATCCGCTATTGAACCTGCATACCTAAGGAAGTTACTGCTTAACTCAACTCTCCTGCTTCTGCCTGGAGGGAACACTGCCCATCCTGTACACTGCCGGAGGCTGGGTGAGGGGAGGGTGTTTAGAGGTAAACTTTGTTTTCCTCTGGCTTAGGCATTTTAGAGCCAGGGTTCAGTGGTCATCCTCAAAATGCCCAGTCAATTTTCCATGCCGCGAGGCCCCTTGGTATCCGAATGATGGCTTGAAGTTTGCCCACAGGCCTAGTAGACATCCTTGAAGTTTCAACTTGTATAGACTGTAAGCCCTTCCTGGAGACTCAGTTATGGACCATTCAATATAAAATATGCAGTGTGGTTTTGATGTTTAAACCCAATCCCTTCCTCCTAAGAAATAGTAAAACATCTCTTTTCCTATCTTTTCTTAGGGATTGTCATCCTGATTCTCTATCTTTTGCTAATCCTTTTGTATTTTCATTCAGTTTGTTTCAAATTGGTCATTTCCATTGGTCAATTCCAGGAATTTATATTATATATAAAATAAATATGTTTATATATATATTTTTTTTACATTCACCATTTTACTATAAAGGATGCTACAAAGATACACATGAAGAGATGCATAGGGCGAGGTACAGGGGAGAGGTGTGGAGCTTCCATGCCTTCCCTGGGTCCACCACCTGCCAGGAACCTCCACATATTCAGCTATCCAGAAGCTCTAGGAATTTTTATATTAATTGCAAAAAGTTCTCAGTCTCTCTGTCTCTGAGCTTCAGCTATCTGAATTTGGCAACATGTGAAAGGTTTTGATACCTCCTCCTTCACTGGCCAGAAGAGAGCAACTTGAAGGCCGAATACAGTCTGAAAAGAATTCCCTATTGTTTAAAAATCATGGCCCTATGATGAACTCTAAGTCATAACATCGATCATTTCTCTAGGATGCAGCTCCCTAAAGATTTTACTGTCTAACTGAGCGAATTGTCAGGGAGATGTTCCCTACACCCCAGTCTTAGAAACTCTGGGTCTGGAGTGATGACAATTCAGCTGATAACACAAATTGCTGTGATGTCCCTTTTGGGTTTTCAGTTTTCTATTTTTTTTTTAAAGCCCATCCATGAAGGTAACCCATGTAGGTCTCTTTCTTGTTAACTTAAAGACCCTACCTAATAGACTTGAGGATTAAATTAAGTTTATCTGTTTTTAATTTTTTCCTCATTTTATAATTCAGATCTATTACAAGAAATTTTAAAAAATCAGTTAGCAAAAAATAAAATCAATAAAAAATTGCCTGCAATTTACCAAGATAATTTTTTGCATATATTCTGCCAGACATTACATATATATGTGTGTATATATGTATATATATATATGTGTATATATGTATATATATGTGTATATATGTATATATATGTGTATATATGTGTATATATATGTGTGTGTATATATATATATATTTAAATGAAAATAGGATCCTACAGTTTGGTAATCCTTTTTCTTTTGTGTAAAGAATAATGTCTGCTTTGGATTAACATTAAACTTGAAAGTGACAATTCTTCAATTTTCCCCATAGTGAATAGATTTTTCTGAAAGTCAGGTAAGAACAAACCAAAAATAAATGCAATAGCTTATAGCATCTCTAGGTTGTGTGCATGTTGCACTTCTTCTCCTCCTCATTTTTATAGTACTGGTAAATGTAGAGATGAGATGACAGGGAAGAAAGGAAACTATACCCTGTCAGGTCATCATGCTACCTCTACCTCTCTCTACACTGGGTCTTGGCTTATTTATTTTTGACCAACAAAGGAGCCTCCTCTGGGTAGCATGACAGGCCTTTTGTAGCTTTGGGATCTTAGGCAGGCACCAGTTAATCATCACATAATAACAGGAAGTGGGTCCTACGGCTGCCTCATGTCGGGCTGTCTCGTTTTCACTCAACTGGGTGTGGTTACGACATGGAAGTGATGACCAGAAGCTCCCACCAGAGTGAGGGGTCCACCCTCTTGATCCCCTGACACAAATACTTCACCCACTTTCTCTGTATGTTGGAGTCCAAGGCTTGACAGACCCTTTTTATTAAATATTTCAGTTATTTTACTGAGTGTTCTCTACCATCATTTTAGGTGGTTTATAGAGGTGAACTTGCTACAACTTCCTACTTCATAATCATCACAATCCATATTAAAAAATATTTCCGCAGCTGTATTGCATGAGACACAGCTTACACATACTTTAAACACTAATATTTTTGGGTAGTTTAAATTGTGACACTCAGACAAATATAAAATGAATAAATGTTATTCATTTATTCATTTTATATTTATATTTATAAATAAGGTTTTATTTATTTGACTCTAGCTAATGAGGAAGCAGTAAGATGTTACAGCTGGTTCCAAGAAGAAGCACATATATATGCAGGAATGCTGAAATGAATAGGTGAAAAACTGATGAATATCCTCAGAGCAATAATCAATTGCATTTCAGCAGACACAATTCACTGCTTTCCTTTCTATGGATAAGAATATTTTGCATGATCAGTTTTCCATAACTTACAGAGTTGTAAAATAGCTCAGAGACAATGAAAGTTAGACATGACCCCTAGACAAGACACTCAGTGATCCTTTTTACCCATTTAAAAATCTTTCATATTTCTAATTGGAGTTTGTGCGCCCCTGCCTTTGCTGCAAGATTCTTTTCAGTGTAGCTATTTGCCATTAAGCAACGTGGACGCAAGCAAGGGAGTAAATAGTACCCAATGGAGAAGCTGCTCTCATGCAAAAGTTTATGGCCACACCCTCTTGATCACCAACTGGTCCCTAAGAGATTGGGAAGAAAAAACAGTAAGAGGCTGGCTTGCTTAAGTGAATTCCCTTAATGCCAGTGAAGTATCTGAGCAACCAATGGGATTCCAGATAACACAGGGAATAGAAGCCTAACTTGTCCCGTCAGATCATCCTGTTCCAAGAACCTCATTTTCATCAGGGTCAGAATCACTTTCGATGGAGTGAAGCTGTGAGGTCAGGTTGCCCTATTAGACTGAGCCAGAGGGTGACTACAGAGTGAAATCAACCAAATTCACACATTTTTTAAAATACACATTTTCTTACAACCTAAACAATTTAAATGTTTAAATCATTCCCATCAGCATCAGCTTCACTGGGATTGTTATTAATACATCTTCCAATTCTACTACTACCATTAAAATAACCTTCAAACAGGCCTGCCAATGCTCAGCTTAAATCATCTTTAAAAACGTATGTTTATAGAACTACCCAGAGTAATGTGTGGTCTCTGGAAACCATCAAGGGGAAGCGTTATGAAATTTTCTATTGTAAGCAGCAGACCAGCTCTCCAAGGGATTTCCCAGACTGCCCGATAAAATCAGGCCTCCTGGACAGGAGGTGAAGTCCTCACAAAGTACAATAGATACTTGTTTTGGCAACAATCCAGATACTCACCATTAATAGCTTCTTCTAAGTCAGTTTGATTATAGCTTGATTGGGAGAAAACACCCTCCCTGTCTACTTTGCCTACATGAAAGGCATGAAAGAGGTGGGGCAGAGGAGAGGCCTTCTATCATTCTCTAAGACCTAGAAATCTACTTTCACCGGAAGGCACAGACTTCACAGAAGAATTGAGCAAGAGCCAGCGTGGAAATATTGGACAGCTTCCCGGCAACTCTTGAGTCAGGTCATTATTGTGCAGTTTCATCACTTTGTTTGAAGGGAATTCCCAGGACTTCAGGCGTATTCAGGTTCATATGTTATGCAGAAATGCATTCCAAAATCAAAAATACGGTTACTGTGATTTGGGACTTTCTACCCCTATACTTCCTGCTATTCACTAATATAATTATGCATGTTTTATAATTAGAGTATGTTAGGATACACATTTGCATCTTGTATGTGGTTGGGAATACATTCTCAAATCTATTTGTGGGCCCAATAAGCCATGTGACCATGGCAAGTTTCCTCATGGCTCTGTATGTCAATGTACTCATCTGTGAGCTAGAGGCAGGGGTACCAGATGGTCTTTCAACTCCCTTTGACTCTACACATACATTTCCATCTACAAACTAAGTCTGAATTCCTTTAGAAAAGGTGTCAAGAGATTTGTGCCTGGCCAAGACCTTGGAGGATGATGGTGTTGCACTTCGTCTAGTTATTCAGGTAAAAGTAATGACTACTTATATATCTTTTTAGGGTCCCTCTGCTAGGGTTAAGCTTCATGAAGCAGACATGACATCTTTCTTGCTCAGCACTGTCTCCCCAGTGCCTAACACAGTGCCTGGCACATGCAAAGCCCTTGGTAATTATATGTTGAATGAATGAAGGTCACCAGGAGCCTGGATTCTTATCTGCTCAACCTAGGTGGTGAAGAAGCCTGGTGAGACTAGGATTGGGAAAGTTCCCCCAGCTGCTCTGACCTTAAAGGCAGAAGAAGACTCCAGACAATGGTGACCACCTTCTGGGGCCTCTTCTAGCAGCTGAGGCTGCAGGATCTGCAATGCCCAATCCCTAAACCTTCCTAGCCATGTCCTCACACTCCAGGACTGACAATATTAACACATCCCCTGCAGCTCTATGCTTGCCTGGGCTCTACCTGCAGAGATGCTGGGTGGGACAACGTATGTCAATGCTTAGGGGATTCCTACATGATTTTGATGCTGCCTCTCACCTCTGCACTTTGAACCAGGCCTGCCAGACCAACTCCAGTTCCACTCACAGTGCTCCACATGCATCGCTGCAGCCCTGGGCACTCTCCTGCCAATCCCGATGCAACTCTGGCAAGTCCAAATCACTGTAAGGATCACTGCAAGGATGCTCAAGACAAGGGAACAAGTGGGGCCTGGAACCGTGCCCAAATTCCCCTCACTAGCAGTGAGCCCTGCCTGGCATAAAGTTTTGCTCAGCAAAAGGAAAGGCAAACACGGAAGGGTGGGGTTAGAAAAAGCCATAATCCAGATGAGTCACTTTTAATACTTTGCATAAAGGCAGCCCTGCCAGAAGCATCTTTTTTTGGTTTTTCTTTTTTAAAAAATTCTAAATAGTTAAGTGTCCAATATATGCTGGTCAGTCAATACATTTTATATAAAAGTGCAGGATTTGAGCATTTATGTAAAGTGCAGAGCTTACTCTGTTTACCACTGCCATGTGTAAGCAGGGCTGGCCCATTCCCCCTTAGTTACACTTAAAATTTCCTCTTCCAGGCTCAACTCAGAGAAGGAGAAGCTGCAAGAAAGCTCTGCTTTCCCCTGCATCTTGGGGCAGCCCTGTTTGCCTCACAGACAGAGAAGAACCGAGCCCTATATGATATTTTCACCTAATACGAAGCTGAACTTTGGTAACAGTATTAAGCTTTACAATGTTCCTTATGGTCTCCACATTTTGTTTCACTCTTTTGAAATCTGTGATCTCCACTAGAGATCTCTAAATATAATATTCAGAATTTGGAATATCAGCAATTGGAGGTCACACTAGCATTGTGATTGAATTGGGGCTGGGTGGCAGAGAGAGAGTTCAGTTGTACTTGGGCAGGCTCTTTGCTTGTCTATAGGGCTTTAAAGTTTCCCAGGACTAAACCATTTGATTAGCATATGATTTTTCCGTAAACATTGTCCACAGATTATGATCAAAAGTAGTGTGCACTTAAACAAAGACCTGTTAGAATGAACACATTTTCTTTCTTTCCTTTGCTGAGTCTTTCCTTAGGCTCACAATCCTAAGTCTTGGGGGATGTTTGACGATGTCAACATCCATTTTCAAATGTCCAGCAACTTCTACATGTCATCCAGATGGGATGAAAATTAACAAAATGCATCTGTTTTGCAAACTGCTGAATGGAAGATTTGTAATTATAAGATATCTGAAGTTTATGGTTTTGTTTTTTTTTTTAATTTACTAAAAGTCTACAGGGAAAGGAAAACATTGAATTTTAAGTGTGTGTGCATGTTGTCTGTGTATGTGTATGTAAATTGTGCAAAGGATAGGGGAGGGCGAAAGAACCAGTGATGGCAGAAAGTGCTTCCCTTTTAATAATAAGAAACAAATGGAGATGATTTGGTCTGGGAAGCCTCACTGTACTTCTGCAAAGTCATTTGTATATTGGCTAAGTGATTTGCACACTGCTGGGGCTACCGGCTCCCTGAACTGCATTCCCCCAGGCCTCTCTTTTTGCTCCTGCTCCTGCCTTCTTCTTTCCACTAGGAATACGGTAATAATTAAGCTAGCAAGGAAACACGAGAACTAAAGACTCAGTGGCAGGTGCTCAAAGTCACCTCTTACTCTTAACTCCATAAAGATCTGGGGACAGATCTGCCTTGTCAGCTTCTCAGGAGAAGAGTCAGACATTAATTTCTCTCTTCTAGAAAGGAAACCCATTCGAGGGATTATGAATGTTACTCTGTGTCTGGGTCTGAAGTTTAAATCTTTACAAGCATGCAGTTATTAAGATGCCAAGTTGCCTCACTTAATTACGACCTTTATTATGGTATCGAACACTTTAAATGCACTATTTATCACACCTGAAGAGAAGAGCAGTTCTGCTTTAATGGACCACACTCAGTGGGCCATCTATTGATTATCTTCTCTACTGAATTAATTCCTAGTAATCGCCTAGTGAGCAGTCATTAAAGGAACGTCTTCCTGGGCATACAGGGTTGGGGTGGATGGGGTCTGATGGGCCTTTCAGACGGCAGCAGCTTTTGTCCCCCCTTACTGCAATTTCAGCCATGTCCTTATTGAACTCAGTTCTTGAGACCAACATGGTGTCTTCACCGTAGAAAGGCTTTGTTTATAGGGAGCCACCAGACAGAGCAGGACAAACCAGTTCCTTCCCTATGAGCGGCTTTTAATCAAGCGAACTGCACTTCCCTTGCTCCCCACTGAAGATCCCTTCTGATGTCAAAGCAAGAGACTATTCTGTTGAAGAAAAGTCCAGATCCAGCAGAAGGATAGCGCTTCAGGAGTTTTCATCATGAGATGGGTGTTACATGACATACACGCTCTCATTTCACTGAATTTAATTCAATCATTGAATGAATTTCTTGTTCAGAATGTAAACTTCCAAGTATGTATGATGAGTCCAGTTTTTAGTTGAGCTACCTGAGGTCCAGAGAGGTTATATATGTTGTCCAAACAAAATAGGTGGTAGGTGGCAGCCCTGTCCAATTTCAAGGAGGAAACAGATTTAGAAAAGCAGCATGCCGAGTTTCAAGAGGGTCAAGGAAACGAGATCCAGAGCTGTGATTTTGCCTTTCCCTTGGGGAGGAAAGAGGTCCCCGCGGACCCATTATCTCCCAGGTGACCTGGGTTCTCTTGTCCTTTTATAAATCCCATTCAAGAGTCACTTTATAGCACTCAGCAGAGCCTGCTTGTCACAGGCACTTCAGCCTTTTACAAATGAACTGTTTTCTCTAATTTAATTCCACTGCAGTGCCCAGCGGCCAGTGTAGAGGTAGATTTGCAAAGCCAAATAATGAATAGTCTGGTTGCCTTTCTCTTTTCAGACTTCCCATCCCTGTGCTGGACCCTAGGCCACCTGCTCCCCTCCCTGACCTCCTCTTCCTGAGCCAGGCCACAGAGGGTGGCAGAATAGGGACTGAGATGATTTTAGGCAAACCACCAAGTCAGGGACTCTGGGCTCCCACAGGCGCCACACTCAGCCTAACACAGAAGTTGGTGGAGCTAGATTTGGGCAACCTAGAATGACTCTAAGTTTGTGTTCATGACCTCCAATCTACTTCTATGCATCCTTTTCTTTCCTTGTGATATCTTACAATAGCAACAATAATGGTAATTTTTCAAAATACCATTATTAAATGCTTATTGAGAACCAAGCACTACGCTTAATGCATTACATGTATGACTTCATTTAATTCTGACAACAACCTAATGAGTTAGACATGGTTGTCTCATTACTAATGAGAGTCTATGACTGTCAGCCCTCGCTGTACTTTATAATCACCCAAGGAGTTTTTTAAAATGTGGACTCCCAGGCCTGCCCCATAGAGGCTGTTTTAGTTGCATGGGGGTAGAGCCTAAGAATAAATGCAGCTCCTAACAGGGGCTGAATATTGGAAACACCTGGAGGGCTTTAGAAACATACTGATCCCTGATCCCACTCCCACATATTCTGATTTGGTTGAGCTGAGATGAGGTTCAGGCACAGGGATTTTTAACGTTTCCCCAGGTGCATTTCATGTATGGTCAAGGTGGAGCTCCACTGTACTGGGTTGAATAATTGGCCTAAGATCTACAGACTTTGGGGAGTGAAGCTGGGATTAAGACTGGCCAGCCCCAATTTGTGTGTGATACCTGTCCCTTTCACTCATCATTCCAATACCTATTATTACACCTGTACACCGATGAGTTCTGGTACCATCTTAAACCCCTACACCTCTTTCCTATTTGTAGAAGGAAACCACTATACTCCATGGAAATTATTTAAGGATCCTGGAAGCTGGCAGAAACATTTTGGAGGTTAGAGGGAGCAGGAGCCCTGCCCACTAAGTTTCCACACCTGCCTTTATGCGTAACATCAACGCCATGCATCCTGAGGGTCACTGTGCTCAGTGGCTGCTAGGACCAGAGCAGAGACTATGTGTGCTTCAAGTCCAGGCAAAAACGTCCTCTGAGACCACCCTCCTACTCCTCTCCTCCTGACATGATAGCTGCTCTCACTTTGCAACTTAATTCTCACTCAAGGGGTAAACAAATTTTTAAAAATTCTAATAGAGTGGGCCAGGCACGGTGGCTCACGCCTATAATTCCAGCACTTTCGGAGGCTGAGGCAGGCGGATCACGAGGTCAAGTGATCAAGACCATCCTGGCCAACATGGTGAATCCCGTCTCCACTAAAAATCCAAAAAATTAGCCAGGCGTGGTGGCACGCACCTGTAGTCCCAGCTACTCGGGAGGCTGAGGCAGAAGAATTGCTTGAACCTGGGAGGTAAAGGTTGCAGTGAGCCGAGATCGTGCCACTGCACTGCAGCCTGGTGACAGAGCGAGACTCCATAAAAAAATAAAATAAAATAAAAAATTGAATAGAGTTAAACTTAAAAAAAAGTTGAAAAACTCTCATCTCAATGTTTTAACCCTTTGAAGTCTCCCACCTTTGATGTGGATCTCCACTGTTGTTTTTGTCCCAAATTTAGCATATAGCACTTGTCACCCTGGCCATACTTGGGGCTGTCCCAGCTGGGCATGGGCTGCCAATCCTATTCCAAGGTCTGATGGGATGACAGGTTCTCCGGAAGCCACTGTTTAATGGGAGACCTACACAGCCCCTGCAGCAGGCGTGGTTCCCACCAGGCATTTCTGGGAGTTTCCAGCAACTGTCCTGCATTTCCTCACAAAGGAACTCTGTCCAACCTGTTTTTCTTCTCCCCAGCCCTGTCCTTCTCTGTGCAAACCCGGAAGCCCCCAATAGGGTGGCAGGAGAGGATGAGGTACAGGCACTGGGACTCCCACGCAGTGCCATGGCTAGGTTCTGCTCAGGGCGGGGGCCCTATAGAGATTTTAAAGAACACTGCTCTCTTTCAGGTGTTATTCACATCATTCTTCCTCCCTGGGACCCAGACAAAAGTCAGTGGAGCTCTGGGCTGGGGACAAACCCAGGGGCCAGGAGCTGCCTGTGCCGACTCAGCAAGTTCCCCACCCCTTCTGTTACTAATGACTAAGTAGTCATCAGTCTGGTGACTCTTACTCTCTTTTCCCTTGGGGAAAGTTCTCTTCTGGGAAACGCTTCAGTTCCTCAGACAGACTCCTAGGGCCCCACGCCCCAGCCTTTGCCCCCCTCACCCTGTGCCTTGGGCGCACCAATTTGCCCAGGCTCATACTGATTTCAGCTTAGATGTGCCCAGGGCCAGACCCCAGGGACACTTTTTTTTTTTTAATACTTTAAGTTCTGGGGTACATGTGCAGAATGCGCAGGTTTGTTACGTAGGTATACACATGCCATGGCACACTTTTGAAATTGCCCTGTGACTGAGAAAGACCCTGCCTGCATATTGGTTCACTGAAGCTGTATCTTCATGACTCCCAGAAAACTAATAGCTGAGAAGTTTACTGAAAGAAGAAATTAGATAAAACTCAGCACATCAGCTGCATTCTTCCAGTTGCTCATGATGAAAAACCTTGGCATTACCCTTCACTCCTCTCCCACCCCACATTCCACGGGCCAGCAAAACCTCAGAGTTGGTCCTTCAAATCACATCCAGAGTCTGACCATTTCTCACCACCTCCACTGCTTCCAACTTGGTCCAAAACACTATCTTCTCTTTCAACAGCTTCCAACATCTCCCTTCTTGCTCCACATTTGCTGCTCTGTGGTCTAATCAATGCAGTAAATTGATGCTGCCAAAATTAAATCAGATCATGCCACTCCTCTGTTTAAAACCCTCCCATCAATGGCTTTGCAACTTGGTGGAGTAAAGTCAAGTCTTTACAATGAACAATTGGCTACAAGGCCCTGTAAGATCTGGCCCTCTGGAACCTCTCTGAACTCCTCTTCTGCTACTCTTCTCTAGCTCATTACATTTCAACCACAGGGCCTCTGCACTGTTTGCTCTGCCTGCAATGATCCTCCCCAAAGTACAGACATGACTCGCTGCCTACTGGGCTTTATTCAAATAATTGCTCCATTGCATTGCATTGAATTCTAAATCCAGGTATTTGACTTTAAGCTTTTGTTTCTCATTAATCAATTAAACCTGCGTAAAAGACAGAGGAAAACTGCCCATAAATCTGCACAGGTAACTCCTCTCCTCCCCCACACTCCTTTTTAAAGATGTTGTATTTGCCCACATGTGGTTTATATATTATGGCACATAGAAGAAATAGGTCCACTTGATAATAAGAATATCTCAAGGGAATATCTAGATGAACCCTGGGCAAGTTCTGACAACCATTTATGACCAACAAGAACTAACTGAAGTGTGAATTTATTTTGAAAAATGGCTATTAGCAATGAAAATGTCAAGGAAATTCTGACTTTCTATAACTGGACTAGATGGATTCACCTTTTTACAAAGCTTCAGCATGCAAAACAGGTTCTGATCTTTCACAAGGATTAAAAACCTATTCAAGGCTATGGCTGGAAGCCCATGGCAGCAGTAGGAATTTAATGGTTTTTAAATTATGGTTTTGGATACCTCTAAATTATTCTTAGAACCTGGGTAAGGCCAGCCTGACCACTTGAATGTATTCATTTTCAAGTTAGAATATTTCACAGATTGGTTGCAACATGGAGATACAAAATTCATACACATATGCGAGGTAAAGAATTCTGTGCCATCTCAATTTGTAATTGTCTATATTATATATGGTTAATCTATGATTAAGCAAGAAGAAATTTAGAAAATGCTGGCTCAATGCCAGCTTGAATTATAGACTCCAAGTTAAGACAGAGTTTAAAACTCAAAGTGTCTTGGACCCATCGTTCCACTCATTAGTTGAGTATTTCTGCATATTTCCTCAAAATCTATACTCTAAGTCTTCAGAATCTGGCACCAGAATTTGAATCTATGATGGTTTCCTTTTATGTACCAGCTGAAATTCTTAAAACTAACAGTCTCAATTATAACCTGAGGCAATGAATAAACACTTGACTTCATTTATATTTACATAATGGTACCCTATAGTTAACCATGTAATTAATCAGTCTTACAGAACAGTACATTCAAAAGGAAGAAAATGGAACAGTTTTCCACATTTGTTTCATACCCTACCTACCACACAGACAATGTCCTCCTTTGATACAGCAGTCATGCTGCCAACAGAGAGTAGTTTGAGGAGGAAGGCATGCCGTCCTCTTTAGGATAAACTATGTCGAATGAAATGACCAGCTGCTTGCCTCTGGCTGGGTTGAAGAGAGGTGAAGTTTAAATTGTAGTTATTTTTCTAGCTTCATCTATCTCTCACCTCTTCTTTTTGTTCTTTATTTTTACCTTTCCCCTCTTCCAAATGGGCATAAAAACTGGAAAGGCTTGAAATTAGCTGGAAAATCAAAAGTCTTGAAAAGCTGAAACATCAAAAGAAAGGAGATTCTACATGTCAGTACTGCCTTTGAGGTTATTTCTAAATTATCTCTATGTCCATCTACTTGCTTTTCCTTCAAATTCAATTAGTACCATCATTTCTTTCACCTACCATGTGCTAGGCCTAATGCCAGTCACTGGAGATGTTCCAAAAACTGAGACAGGACCAAGAGACGCATCATGATACAGGGACACACATGTGAGCAATCATGACATCATGGTAAATCACCGAAGACACGCAAAACTCAAAATCAGTCAAATTCTCATAGTTTTAAAAACATTATATAGCAAGAGGTAAAGTGGGCATTTCAACCCACTACTGAGAATTAAACATCCTCAACGGTTCCAGAAGATTTCCTGTGCATGTGTATAAATAAAGCCATGTGTTCATGTGTTGGGGGTCCCCAAGATCACTGCCAGGTTCTCTGATTTGCTAGAAGGACTCAAAGACTCAGCATATAGTTTTACTCCTGGTAAGATTTATTACAGTGAAAGGATATAGAGTGAGATCAACAAAGGGAAAAAGTGCGTGGGGCAAAGGCTGGGAGAAACCAGGCACAAGCTTCCAAGGGTCCTTGCCCAGTGGATTCGCATGGAACATGTTTAATTCCCCAGGCAAGGAGTTGTGACATGTGTGAAATGTCTACTAGGGAAGCTCCTTAGAAACTCAATGTTCAGCATTTTACTGGGGGCTGGTCACACAGGCCGCCTCTAACAGGTATATATCAAAATTTCAGACTGTGCCACAGGAAAGCAGATGTTCAGCACAAACCACATGGTTCCTATAAACAGTTTGGGTGCAGTGAGCCGCTCTTACCAGTTGGTAATGGCAAGAACTCTCCTAACTTCCAAGTTCCCAGATGCCAGCCAAGAACCTTTCAGAGGATAGCAGTCAGGCCTCTTGTGTTAAATCTTTCTTGCACAATTTATCTGTACATTTTATACGAAATGCCATTTTGCTCTGTCTGCGAATTTTCTTTTAAAGATGACACAGATATCTTTCCATGTTAGTTCATATAGACCTACCTAATTCTTTGTCATAGTTACATAATATTCCATTCATAGGCAATTTAACCATTCTTTCATAGGTAGATATTTGGTTTGTTTCCAATTCTTAAGCTACAAATTATGATGCAATGAGCATCATTAGACATATATTCTTCATGTAGTCATGCTTGTTGTTTCTGTTACATAGGCTTCTAGAAGTGATATTCCTGATGTCATTCAATTTGTAAAGGAAGGCCACCATATTGAAATTTTAGCATTGAAATTTTAGGCCAGGCACAGTGGCTCATGCCTATAATTCCAGAACTTTGGGCAGCCAAGGTGGGTGGATTATTTGAAGTCAGGAGTTTGAGACCAGCCTGGCCAACATGGTGAAACCCTGTCTTTACTAAAAATACAAAAATCAGATGGGCATGGTGGTGTGCACCTACAATCCCAGCTACTCGGGAGGCTGAGGCAGGAGAATCACTTGAGCTGAGGAAGTGGAGGTTGCCATGAGCCGAGATTGTGCCACTGCACTCCAGTCTGGGCGATAGAGTGAGATCCTGTCTTAAAATAAAATAAAAATAAAAAAACAAAAATAGAAATTTTAGCATATGTATTAGATATAGAGAGAATGTCAGAAAAGAAGACAGTGAGGAGGCCATTGAAATAATTCGGTGACAGTTGATCAGGGCCAACAGAAAGCTGTGGCAAGGAGCATGGTGAGGAGCAGAAACAGTGTAGACTTAGAAGGCAATATAACAGCCCCTGCTAATGGATGGGAAGAGGAGAGTGAACAAGGATGAATTAAGGGTGACTCCTACTTATATCGTCTGGTGGACAGCAGCTAGGTGGAATGCAAGGAGAGCAATTATGAAGCAATTGTAATAATTTAGAGAAGAAATGGCAGGGGCTAAGATTAATTCCTCTTTGCTCACTCTCCTCTTCCTGTCCATCATCAGGGGTTGTTCTATTGCCTTCTAACTAAGTCTACAGCATTTCTGCTTCTCCCCATGGTCCTTGCCACAGCTTAGTTCAGGCTCTGATCAACTGTCACCCAGATTATTTCAATTGTTCATTCATTCACCCATCCATTCATAATATGGAACATCTGTTATGTGTCAGCCACTCAGTTGCTTATCATTGGTGCAATTTTTTTTTCTTTTTTCTATTCTTCTTGCCAAAAACATAGAAATTGATGCAATATAGATTCCAAATAACTTCCAACTAATTTGGCCATTAATTAACTTCACTGCTATTCAGTTGTGAATGGCACAAAGTTTAATAAAAGCTGCAGTGAGTGATGGTGCATTAGGTCCCAGATGCTTGAATAATTTGCACACACTTTGGAGTAAAAATATGAGAAGGGAGAGAAAAGAAATCATGAAAGCAAATAAAATCTCTTTTGTGTCTAGGTTTGAAGACAGACTCCCTCCCACACACGCATTTCAAGCAAATGCCCTTAGCAAACGTGAGCAGGTGATCCTCCTCCTTACTTCCACCAAAGAGTCTTCTCTCCTGCACAGTTCCAAGTACCACTTGTGTGGGCCTTCAGTGTGATGTGAAAGAGAGAAGCCAGAAAGCAGTTCTCTTTATTTTTATTTTTTTTAACTGACTTGCTGTGCCCATCACATTTGCCCTCCTTTTTATCCCGTGAGCCTGAACTGCAACTTTCCATCATTTGAAGCCCAGAGGCATAAAATTGCAATTTGAATGATAAGGAGAGTTTTATTTTTATAGGGTTTTATGTCGTGTTTAATAGAAATTCATGTGCTTTAATGCATTTTATTTCACTGCTTGTTTGAGTTTATATTGGAATCTGCCTTCTGATAAGTTTATTTGACTAGGCAGAGAAGTCCCAATCTGCATTCGTTCCTACCCAATTTATGTAAGGAATGTGATCTCACACATTCTTTACAAATCTTTTTTTCATAATTTCTGAGGCCCCAATGGAATCACTTTTTTCCCTTTCTTACAGACTTAAATTTCTTTATTCTTTTTTTAATTCATGGACAAAGTCAAGTTACATTCTCCCAAGAAGATATATAAATGGCCAATAAGCACATAAAAAGATGTTCAACGTCACTAATCATTAGGGAAATGCAAATCAAAACTACAATGAGATACAACTTCACACCCATTAGAATGGCTATTATTTAAAAAGCAGAAAACAACACGTGTTGGTGAGGATGTGGAGAAATTGGAATCCTTGTGCATTGCTGGCGGGAATGTAAAATAGCACAGGTGCTATGGAAAGCAGTATGATAGTTCCTCAACAATTAAACCTAGAATTACCATGTGATTCAGCAATTCCACTTTCATGTAGAATTTTTCTACCCAAAAGAATTGAAATCAGAGACTTGAAAATATAATTGTACATTAATGATCATAGTGTTACCAAACAGAATCTGGATCTGCCTGCCTGGTGCAGTAGAGCCAAACATCCACATGGAGGTTTGCAGAGAGAGGAAGGAGGGCATTCATTTGCAGGGCACCATGCAGAGAGAATTGGGAATGTTTAAGACCTGACCTCCCTCATAGCTTACAAGCAAGGGTTTTTAAAGACAGGGCTACATTTCAGAAAAGCAAAAGTCACAGGCAGAATTGTAAATCAAATACACAATGGTTCTGTGTTGGTTTGGCCCAGGAAAGCAGGCTATCTTGATGTGAGGGCTTACAGGTCATAGGTAGATTCAGAGATTATTTGAATTTCAATTGGTTAAGCAAATAAAGCCTTGTCTAAAACTTTGGGTCAGCAGAAAGGAATGTTGAGGTTTGGCCTGTGGGCATGACTCTCCAGGCGTGTTCTCTCCAAGGAGAAATTTAGAACAAAAAAGTGGCACTCAGAGTTCAGTCCTCAGTGCCCTCTTACCTGAGGTCTATGTGACCGTGCTCAGCATTTTCCATCTGGCGGTCCGGCTTTCTGAAAAACAACTCGGGGACACATGTCAAGATATTAGAGTTGGCTGGGCACGGTGGCTCACGCCTGTAATCCCAGCACTTCGGGAGGCCAAGGCGGGCAGATCACAAGGTCAGGAGATCGAGACCATCCTGGCTAACATGGTGAAACCCCGCCTCTACTAAAAAATACAAAAAATTAGCCGGGCATGGTGGCGGGTGCCTGTAGTCCCAGCTACTCGGGAGGCTGAGGCAGGAGAATGGCGTGACCCGGGAGGCGGAGCTTGCAGTGAGCCGAGATGGCGCCACTGCACTCCAGCCTGGTCGACAGAGCGAGACTCCAACTCAAAAAAAAAAAAAAAAAATATTATAGTTAGTTTCTATAAGGAACCAAACAGCTTGTGGCTCTAACCTTTTTGGGTGGCAACTGTTTTATTATTAACCTTCATGCACATCAAGTTGCTCATTCCCTTCACAAGGCTAGCTAGGTCCCTGGAATTTCTCTTGAAGAAACTCAAGATTTTCCTTTATTTCCATCCTTGGGGTTGAGGAGGCGGTGGCCAGCAGGGCCCAAAGAGAGGTCCCTGCTCCGTCTCAATAGTGGCATTATTCACAATAACCCAAAAGATGGAAGCAATTCAACTGTCCATCGATGAAAGAATAGAGAGACAAAATATGGTATAAATATACAATGGAGTATTATGCAGCCTTAAAAAGGAATGAAATTCTGACACACACTACAATATGGATGAATCTGGAGGACATTACGCTAAGTGAAATAAGCCAGACGCAAAAGGACAAATACTGTATGATTCCACTAATATCATGTTCCTAGACTAATTAAATTCATAGAGACAGACAGTGGAATGGTGGTTGTCAGGGGCTAGGGGGAGGGGAAAATGAGGAGTTACTGTATAAATGATGAAGAATTTCAGTTTGGAAATACGTTAAAGTTTTGGGGATGGATGGTGGTGATGGTTGTACAATATGAATGTGCATAACGCTATTGAACTATATACTTAAAATGGTGAAAATAACAAATTCTATGTTACGTATATTTTACAAAAATTTAAAACATAAAGAAAAGTTAAATTATAGTTAGAGCTGCCTGGGCAGGCCTGCACTTTTCTCTACTGATACTTTTTCCTCAAGCTGAGGGCTTTTCTCTCTTTACTGTTTCGTATTACAGCTTCCTCCTCCTACCCTGTTGCTTTTAGCACCCTGTACCTTCTTCCCCCTTGACACAGAAAACCTTCTCTAAGGACAGACTCTGATACAATCAAATGATCCCCTGTAAGTATCTGAGCAAATATGATAGCTATCCCCGGCACATTTTCATGTTAAGGCTTATCTCTAATTGAGAATGTAAGATTGTATTTTCTGGTGAAGATGACCTTCTAGAGCCCCTAAAATCTCTATGCCATGGCCTCTGTGCTTTGCAGAGGACTGATGTATTGGTTATAGATTCATTCAAGAAAATAAAAGTCTCTCTAGGTATTTCAAGCAAGGAGGGATTGAATATAAGGAGTGAAGCTCCCAAGTTGTTATAAGGAAAGGAGGAACACAAATGGGAGTGAGGGTAGTATTGCTGCCTGGAGATCAGGCCTGCAGTTTACCTGTTTGATCCCTGTGTGAAGTCACTTGCCCCTGAGCTGCAGCCAGAATGAGAGTCCCTCTACCTGCCTCCTGCTCTCATGCCGTAGGCATAATCTAAACTGAAACCCTCTAGCAGAGAAGTCTGAGAAATGTAGTTTGCAGGTTTCTAGCCCTTGTGACTGGAGGAGAATGCAGAAAAATAGGGGTTTATACATGGCAGGTAATTTCCTGTACAAACCAGTGTTGTGTGGCAGTGGAAATGAGCACCTTCTCAGAGATAGTCTGAGCCCTGCATGATGAGTCAGCCTCAGGATCTAGAAGGATCACAGTTCCCAAGGCAGACAGGCTTGTCTTACCAGCCCTATAATCTTGGGCAATAACAGCAATAGCCACTTCTCAAGCCCTGCCAGGGAGCCAAGTGCTCTGTGAAGTGCTGTGAACTTTACGCCAACAAGCTTGTGACATAGGTTTTACAATTTCCATTTTACAGACAAGGGAACTGGAATCAGAGAGAAGAGGTCACATAGCAACTAAGTGGTGGAACTAGGGTTTGAACCAGGGTCTCATCAACTCCTCTGCCATTTAACTCTCTGATCTTCAATTTCCAACTCACAAGGGGTGTGATGAGATCCTGGATATCCATCTACAGTTTTACTGCTTCCTCATCCCTAGGAGTGTTGCACTTAACTCTTTCCACTGGCTTCTGATTTCAGCAAGCACCTCCATCCAGAGCATGCACTGTGTGGTCTCCTTCTCCTCTGTGACTCGGCACTGTCCTCTGCACAGATCAAGCACCAGACAATACCATCACCTTCCTGGTCTGATAAATGGACCCAGTCCTGGACTTAAGAAAAGTCGTAAGATTCAGAGTTGCTTCTGCCACTGGGCAACTTCTTCGCATGACCACCTGTATTAGTTTCCAGTGGCTTCTGTAATAAATTACCATAAACTTAGTGGCTTTAAACAAAATCAGTGTGATTTTCTCCCAGTTCTGGAGGCCAGAAGTCCAGAATCCAGGTGTGAGCACGGCCACATTCCCTCCAGAGGCTCTCGGGGAGAATCCTGCCTTGTCTCTTCCAGCTTCTGGTGACTCCAGCATTCCTTGGAGGTTTTGCCTCCATCTTCACATCGCTGGCTCCTTCTTTGCGTCTGTCTAATCTCCCCCCGCCTTACTCTTCAAAGGCTACCAGTGATGGCTTTTAGACCCTTTCCCCAAATAAGATACCATTCACAGCTTTCAGGGATTAAGAGGTGGTCGTGTCTGTGTGGATCCCATTCAGCCCACGCCACCTTCTTGGGACCTGGAAGAAAAGAAAAGTTTTGTGTTTTCTCCTCCTCCAGGAGCACCTCTTTAGATCTGGGTCTTTCCCCTTCATTCTGTAGCTTCTTTCCTTCAGTATCTTCCGGGCAGTGCCCCTGCAAATATTAGAAACTGAGGCACACACTAAAAAGGTGGTTATTTACCAACGCAGGTGTGTTGTCCTCTTTAGTTGGGCAAAGTTAATGAACTCAGTACTGCATTGTTTCCAATTCAGGCCAGACAACACTTCCAGAAGCTCCCTGATCTTGTGTCAGAAATTCCTACATGGTCCTCATCTCGGAGAAACTACCCAAATTAATCTTTCTTCTTTCTGGCACTCTGCTCTGGACAAAAATACGAGAGAAGCATCTCCAACTAACTTATTTCCCTCTGGCTTCTTCATTCTAGACTCTATTTCACTGAAAAGTGTTTCAGTGTTTTCTCGTCAGTTTCTGAACTGTGTGACCGTCATCCTGCATGGACCCTCATATTCCAGCTTCCTGTTTCCTCCCTCCTGCGTCTCCATCCCCAGCTCCCAGTAGCAGGAAGCATTCACCACATTTTCACTTCTTGTTCTTTTCCTAGGCTGTCATTAATAAAAGTGTGAAACACAAGCTTTGGGCTACTCAGTGATATTTTCTTGGCCCAGGAAGAACAGGGTGATTACTTCGGTTTCTCATGCAGGATTTGAGAGAAGGGGTTTCCACTCTGAAACCTCAGTGGCAAAATGACCGGCAGGTTCATCTCTCTGCTGTCTCTGCCCAGAAAAAGTAGCCAGAACCACGAGGGTCACCTCTCCCTATATGGGGTCAATTCTATAAGAAATGAGATTTGCAGGCCCTCACACAATGTGGCTCCTAATCTGAGGCAGGGTTCCTCTGGGCTCCCTTTACCACTTGGTAGATGTTCCCATTGGCTGTGACCTGGAGGCCAGGCCTTTTGATTCTCAATCTATCCACATGACTTATATAGACACAGCTCCTGTAAACACCACTGAAGGCTGAGTGTGGTGGCTCACACCTGTAATCCCAGCACTCTGGGAGGCTGAGGCAGGCAGATCATTTGAGCTCAGGAGTTCAAGACCAGCCTGGGCAACATGGTGAAACCTCATCCCTACTGAAAATACAAAAATTAGCCAGGCGTGCTGGTGCACACCTGTAGTCCCAGCTACTTGGGAAGCTGAGGTGAGAGACTCACTTGAGCCCAGAGAGGTTGAGGCCCAAAGAGCTGTAATCATGCCACTGCACGTCAGCCTAAGTAACAGAGCAAGAGCCTGTCTCAAAAATAAATAAATTAATTAATTAATTAAATTATTTTTTTAAAACACCGTTGAATAATAGCTTCCATTTGCAGGCATTTTCACATATATTTTTATTTGATCCTGGAAACAAACCAGTGAAGCAGTTGGCTGGATCTCACTGATACAAGAGCGGGGCGGTCAGGGAAGAGAAAGGCGGGTCCCTGGCTAGGGCTCCACCCTTGGGCCTGTGCCCGTGGACCTAGGTGAAGACAGGTACTCCTGCTTTCGTGCCCAAATGTTGCATTTTCCAAGACCACCCTGGCCCGCTACATCCCCATCACGTGCCTATAAAAACCCTGAGACCCCAGCGGGCAGACACACAAGCAGCTGGATGTGGAGAGAAACAAACGCAGCGGCAGAAGAAGGCACAAGTGGCTGGACGTCAAGAGGGGCGCGGCTGCGTAAGAGCACACAGACAGACACACACAGATGCAGGCAGGCCGGCAGGCCATCCACCGGCAGAATGAGCCAGAATTTGGACGGTGCGGTCAGAGAAGACCCCAGGCCGCTGAGCAGCGTGACTCCAGGGGAAAAACCACCTTTTTACTCCATCTCCTTTCTGGCTCCCGCATCTGCTGAGAGCTACTTCCACTCAGTAAAACCTTGCAGTCATTCTCCAAGCCCACGTGTGAGCCGATTCTTCCCATACACCAGGGCAAGAAAGCCTGGGATACAGAAAGCCTTCTGTCCTTGTGATAAGGCAGGGGGTCTAATTGAGTTGATAAACATAAGCGGCCTACGGACGGCTATGCTAAAAGAGCACCCTGTAACACATGCCCACTGGGGCCTCAGGAGCTGTGAGCATTGAGCCCCAGACCCTGCCGTGGGATCGGAGCCCCACAACTTGCCCGACTGTCTTCTTCCCCTAGGGGTTTTGAGCAGCGGGGCACCAAAGAAGCAACCGCACCCCCATCACATGCCCTGCGAGGGGGATAAGGGAACTCTTCCCATTTCATTACTAACCTCATTTTACAGATTAAGAAACTGTGGTTATATGATTTGTACCACAAATCACAAGTCACCAGCCTGTGTGTGGCAGAGCTGAGGCCCCAGTGCAGGAATTCCGGTTACACAGGCAGCTTGCTTTCTGCTCCTGGACTTGTCTTCTTGTTCCCTTTTTTTCTTTCTCTTTTCATTTTCTCTTTGCCCCCCAGACTCAGTTTCCTACCATGCAATCTTCCTCTCTATTCTAATTCTTTCTGCTATCATCCTATACTGGCTTCATTACTTACTAACTGTGTGACCTTGGGCACATTTCTTTTTTTCTTTCTTTCTTTTTTTTTTTTTTTTTTTTTTTTTTTTTTTTTTTTGTGACGGAATCTCGCTCTGTTGCCCAGGCTGGAGTGCAGTGGCGCGATCTCGGCTCACTGCAAGCTCTGCCTCCCGGGTTCACGCCATTCTCCTGCCTCAGCCTCCCGAGTAGCTGGGACTGCAGGCGCCCAATACCACGCCAGGCTAATTTTTTGTATTTTTAGTAGAGACGGGGTTTCACCGTGTTAGACAGGATGGTCTCGATCTCCTGACCTCATGATCCACCCTTCTCGGCCTCCCAAAGTGCTGGGATTACAGACGTGAGCCACCGCGCCCAGGATCTTGGGCACATTTCTTAACTTCACTGAGCTTCAGTCTCCTCATCTTAAAACAGGAATAATGCTGGCTTCTTCATAGGGTTGTGGTGGAGGTTTAATAAGATTATATACAGAAGGCCTGGTGCAGTGGCTCCTGTCTCTAATCTCAGCACTTTGGGAGGCTGAGGGGAGCAGATCGCTTGAGCTCAGCAGTTTGAGACCAGCCTCAGCAACATGGCAAAGCCCCGTTTCTACAAAAAATACAAAAATAGGTGAGGTATGGTGATGCACACCTGCAGTCCCAGCTATTCAAAAGGCTGAGACGGGAGGATGGCTTGAGTCCAGGAGGTAGAGGTTGCAGTGAACCGAGATTGTGCCACTGCACTCCAGCCTGGACAATAGAGCCAGACCTTGGCTCAAAAAAATATATATATATATATTTTTTACGTATATAGAGAGATAAAAAGAATAAGATAGAAATGAGAGAGAGAAAGAGACAGAATAATTAATAGTCTCTGGCACTTGGTTAACAGTGCGCAGAAATTTTCTTCCTCCAGTTTTTTAATAGCATGGACTCGTGGCTACGACTATGCTTTTGCCCTTCATTCACCTGTGTCGTCCTTATCATAGAACTGTTGGATTTGATTTATCAGGAGACCCTGGTTGTGCCTCTGTGACTATGAGCCGTGGCCAAATCAGAGAAGCCTGATAGATGTGGTCGGAGTGATTAATAGCAACCTGTCTCCAGAGATAAAAGAGTGGCGAGTGAGACGCATTGCCCTGACTCCACTTCTAATTCTGTGTTGTTATATGCGGCTGTTTGGCCAAGCGGAGGCACCACACCCACAGCACCGTATCTGGCTGCAAGCCCTGGATTTCCTGGGTCACCAAGATAAGATTCTTTCAGTGGAAAAGAAAATGATCTGGGGCAGTGGTATTTACCCAGAGCAGGGTGTGAGCACAGGGTGCATGTGCAGCTGCACTTCCATCCCTGACTGATTTCATCACTGGACAAAGTGTAAGCTGGAGAAGGCACAGGAAAGGCGTGTTGGTGCAGGTTTCACCCCTGTTCCTGCAATGCCATTATCTGGTGCTCTCCCAGTGAGAAATTCATCAGTAGGACAGGATGCCCAGGAATGTGAGATCTGAGTCCAGGGAAGTGGTGTCTGTTTTTAGACACTGTAGTTGCTAAGCTTCACCGTCTTCTGCAAATAAAACAGCATTACTTTGCAAAGCCAGGTACTTTCCTACTTCTGTTCCGCAGATATCTAAATGCCCTAGCATAAGAAGGATTAAACAGAAAAAAATCTCCGGATATATCATTGTGACTTACTAATGTTAGGATTTTCTTCCCCCAGCAACATGTCTTCAACATTGTCAGAGCATTTACTGATTGCAGTCAAGGGAAAAAGCAATGGTGACTATATCTTCTTTCTCAAGCCAGTTCCTAAATTCTTAAACAGAGCTTCTGGGACTGTCATCTGTCAGGAAAGGGGAAATTGAGGTCCTGGTCTGCTGGGCCGCTGGCCCTGATCTGAGCCTAGCAGTGGAATTGGAGAAAACACCACAGTTCCTATTTGAAATTATACAGTTGGATGATGTTTCTCTTGGCTTCAACTATAAAAGCTGGTGCCCAGAGCCAATTTTTGGCAAAACTGAGAAGTATGAAGGTTTTTTCCTTCGAACATTCCCAGCATCCTTCTTTAGCACTTTTTATCTTGATCCTCCTCCAACTTCCCCAAGACTTGTTTCTTCCTTTACCTCATCCACATGTGAACAGCAAAGGCTCAGAAACATATTGTCTCTATCTGTAAGTGGTTGATAAAATCTAGAGCAGTGCTTCACAACTGGAATGTAGGTATGAACCTCCTACTTTTTTTTGTTTGTTTTTGTTATTTGTTTTTTTGAGATGGAGTCTTGCTCTGTCACCCAGGCTGGAGTGCAGTGGCATGATCTTGGCTCACTGCAAGCTCTGCCTCTCAGGTTCAAGCTATTCTCCAGCCTCAGCCTCCCAAGTAGCTGGGACTACAGGCGCATGCCACCATGCCCAGCTAATGTTTTTTTGTTTTGTTTTGCATTTTTCATAGAGACGGGGTTTCACCATGTTGGTCAGGTTGGTCTTGAACTGGTGACCTCAAGTGATCAACCCGCCTCGGCCTCCCAACATGCTGGGATTACAGGCATGAGTCACTGTGTCTAGCCCCTACATTTTTAAAATGCAAGTTCAGATCCAGGGGTTCTGGAGTGGGGTCTGACTGAAGGTCTGCCTTTCTAACCAGCTCCCAAGTGATGCTGATGTTGCTGGTTTGTGGACAACACTTTGAGTAGCAAAGCTTTAAACCAATCCTAAGGGGAAAAAATGGGAATGAGGAAAGGTCCCTCTGTGGTTTAGGGAAATGTGTGTGTGTGTGTGTGTGTGTGTGTGTGTGGTGTGACTTTTTATCCTAGTGACTAGTTATATCCTTGTTCTGTCTCTAGATCACACGGTATAATTGGTTTGCTTGATCAAAATTTTAAATTAATTGCTTAGGTTTCAGTTCTCATTGCTGTGATAAATACAAATGATCACTTTTTAGAAATGTGTTTTCCCTTGAAGAGAGACAAATCAAGAGATCTCAGACTTTAAAAGTTTCTTACAAACCTTGTTTTCCTACTCTGTGTTTGGGGGCAGAGGTGAGTAGAGAGGGGTCCCTGGCTAAGGATGAAAGGAGATGGCCCAGTTGATGACTGAGCTTATGGACCGCTGCCATTCAATGCATCTAGTGAACTGCCAGAAGAAATAATTTGCCTGAGACACTGAAGAGCCTTCAGATGGAACTCATTTTGGAAAGCAGAAAGAATCCAGCCCACAAACCTGATCTAGGACCAAAGCCACAGTCCTCAGTGACACAGATTGGTCCTCATCCCAGCCGGACTGACTCAATTATGCTGTCACAGGGAGAGAAAAGCCTGTGAGCCAATACAAAAAGTTTATTTTCATGATGATTCTGGCTTTAGTGCCCTTTTAACAGGATGTAATGCATAAAAGAAGGAGGTCAACCTTAGACAGAGCCTCCCCATCTCCACGGCCGTAGCAGGGATACTCACTGCAGAGGGTGGCAGCAGACGTGCCCAGCAAAAGCAGTAGCAATGCCTGTTGGATTTAGGAGCATAGACTCCACCCTGCATGGAGTCGAGAGGGTGACAAAGGCCGGGAGATGGTGCTGTGTGGGGAGCTGGCCAATTTCATTCATGATCATAGGTGAGAAATTCTCTGGAGCCTTCCAGGAAGATTCGGGAAGAGGTGGCAGTGAAGGGGGATTTCGCAGGGACAGAGACCCCCCTATTCGCTATTAGGAATTAAAGCCTAGGGCTATTAAGCCAATGTATTCAAAATCCCAGGTGATGTATAAAACCAGAACATAGGCTGAAATCAGTGGTTTGAAGTCTACATATATGCTTCAGTCAGAGCAGCTCCGTTCTTTCTTATGGGACTTCCATGTATGATTCATTTGCGGAAAGCATTCCTAGGCTAAATACCCTGAGCAGGATGCTCTCAAATGGTCCGTCCACCACTAGGACTCTATGACTCTCTTCCTCTATAAGTAAGGAAGCAGTGGGCTTGTCAGAGCCAGGGAACCAGGCCAGGAGAGATTGTAGTTAAAGAGGGGATTCCCAGGGTCTGTGTTGAAAGAAGCATTTTGTGGTCAAAGAGGAGATTCCAGAAGTCTGAGCCTTTCATAGCTCAACAGCTCTAAGTGCCAGTGAAGTCCAATCCCCAGTAGACACAGAAGCACCCAGGACCATTGTGGCACCATTTCAGACAGGGAGAGAATCTTCAGGACAGGGGCCCAAATCCCTGGAAACAATGGTGATGGGCAAGGCCCCAGACCTTGCAGGCTATTTTAAGCCAGGAATTAAGAAGCTATGGCTCATACTCCTAGCTTTGCAGTATTCAAATTCAGGCCCCATCACCAGCTGGCTTCAGCAGCTCTGAATGTCCCCAGGGAGAGAGGCCATTTCTAAATTAACCAGGACCCAGATCAGAGACCTCATTCTACTGTGATTGAAATGTTCCAACTAATGAGATTTTTCATAAATTAGTTATTCATCATGGAAGAGGTATTATAGATAAATACCATACCTTATTGCTATTCCAATCTGTCTACCAACCATCTCTTTTAAGAAGAAAAATAGAAGAATTAATGTGGTTCTGAACAGTGATCTGCTTAATGATTTCAAGGTTTTTATCTGGAGAGGATTTCAATAAACTACTTTAAAAGAAGTGGAATGCAAAAAAAATGTGTGAAGGGATTGTATAATTGCTGAAAGGTTGGTTCTCTAGGGCTAGAAATCAACAAAAAGGGTGAATGTTATGGAGAGATTTTTAAGTACTTATTCAGGAGAAACTAAATAGAAAATCAATCAGGAAAATAAAAAATTCATAAATCCAATTGCTTCTAATTGGCTCAGAACATAGTACAGAATTCAAAATGTTTGGCTGTGAACAGCTCAGTCTCTTGAAATTATGACGCTTATCATAGGAGAGTACATTTGGGTTACATTTTTTTTTTAATCAAAGAAAACTCATCAAGGCCAGAGCAATCCTACAAATGGATTGCTCAAGCTGAAAAACTCTTCATCTTGACTATTTATGGAGAAATTTCTACTAAAGATTTACTCAAACCAGGGGAGAACATATTTTCATTTCAAGTCTTTAAACATTGATTAAGCCCCTATCATGTACATAGCACTAGGCTGGGCCCTGTGGAAGGCACACAAACTAATGAGCTATGATTCCTGAGATTTCACAATTTAGAAGGGAAAATGAATGGGCAAGTGCCTAATTAGCCTTAGGTAGGACGAGAACAAATGCAATCAGCCTTAATAATAGACATATCACCATATAACATGAGAAGAGAGAGGGGGCACAGACTATTTCTGACTAAGGGGATCTGAGACGTTTTCTTGGAGGAGGTAAAATCTATTTCAAGGGGTAAGAAGATATTCCACATGGAGAAAAGACTTTGAGCAAATGTTCAGTGGAAACGTGAACTAGGCTTAGGGAATTCAGAATATTTTATAATAACTTAAAATAGTTGGTACAAGGTGAAATCCTGAAGAATGTGACATTTATATTTAGCACTGTAATCTCTGCCTCTCCATCTCCAACTTTTGTGGGCATTTATAATTTGTGTACTGCGTTTATTTCTCTTGTTGGGATGAAAATATCCCAGTAAACATATACACCCTTAAGTGTTACTGACTCAATAGGTCACCCCTCCCAAGTAGTATTTGCTTTTTACAATCAAAAAGGTTTTTGAATGTATTAGTTTAAGGTAAAGAAGATTCAAGATATAAAAGTATTCATAATTTAAACAGTAAGGACAGCTTGAAGAAGCTGCTGGTCCCGTTTTCTTTATTGTAAGCATTTTCAACATTTCGAAGCTTGCCCAGTGTTTGTTTTGGTAATTACAACAGGGGCATGGGAAAAGAACCATGCTATTTTCTTCTTTTTTCTTTTTATTTTTAGTTTAAGTTCTGGTATACATGTGCAGAATGTGCAGGTTTGTTATATAGGTATACATGTGCCATGGTGGTTCGCTGCACCTATCAACCCGTCATCTAGGTTTTAAGCCCCACACACATTAGGTATTTGTCCTAATGCTCTCCCTCTCCTTGCCCCCAACCCCCAACAGGCCCTGGTGTGTGATGTTCGCCTCCCTGTGTCCATGTGTTCTCACTGTTCAACTCCCACTTATGAGTGAGAACATGCGGTGTTTGGTTTCTGTTCCTGTGTTAGCTTGCTGAGAATGATGGCTCCCAGCTTCATCCATGTCCCCACAAAGGACAGGAACTCATTCTTTGTTATGGCTGCATAGTATTCCATGGCATATATGTGCCACATTTTCTTTATCCAGTCTATCACTGATAGGCATTTGGGTTGGTTCCAAGTCTTTGCTATTGTAAATAGTGCTGCAATAAATATATGCGTGTATGAGTCTTTACAGTAGAATGATTTATAATCCTTTGGGTATATACCCAGTAATGGGATTGCTGGGTCAGACGGCATTCCTGAACTATGTTATTTTCTAAGACCTAACCTTTCTCTGGTGGAAGGGTTGCAGTCACCTGTGTAAAGATGATATTTTCAGGCAGGAAGGTTTGCCTAAGAAAACCTCTAGGAGTTACCTTAGTCTTGTGGAAAAAGCACACGTTTTAGAGACAGACAATCCTGGGTTCTAATTCCAGCTCTGCCTCTCAGAGTGTTGAGTCTCGGGCAAGTTGCTTTGCTTCTCAGAGACTAGACCTCCACGTGTGCAAACTGGAAGTGGTCACAGATGACCAAGCCCAGAGTGTGGCACAAAATCCTCTCACCTCACAGCAGGACGTGGCAGCTGATTTCATCTCTAAGCAAAGCCACCCCTAGCACAGAGGTAGTAGAAGAGATTTTCCAGAAGTGCTCAGGGCCACAGGCATCCCCCAGAGCAGTTGCAGGTTGAGGCCAGGAGCACTTTCTGCTGCTTGAGTGCAAAAGAGTTCCCATACTCTTCTCCCACTGCCCTTGCTGGCCCCCACACTCCCTCTTCCTAGCCTGTTTCTCCTAGCTGAACTGCTCATTTTTCAGATCTCCAGGGATAATTATTTCTTCCAGGGGAACTTCTCTCATCCTGCAGAAATGGGTTCGGTCTTATCTCTTCTTACTCCCATGGCAACTTCTAATTTACTAACATTCAATGTCTGTGTTCCTAGCTAGATTGTAAGATTCACAAGAGTAAGTACCAACTCAATATGGTTTACTGCCTGGCCTGTGGTAGACAGCCTTAAATATCCTTGAGTGAATTAATAAAGGAAGACAGAAATGAAGAAAGACAGAGAGAGAAAGAGTAAAGGAGGGAAGGAGGGAAGAGGAAAGGAAGGAGGAAGGACCGTGTTAAAATTCATTCCGTCATAACCAAATAGACCATCCAGAGAACTGAAGGGTGGTGTGTTCAGAGTGATGTGGCAGCCGCCAAGGAACAATCAGAAGTCATTCCGATTAGTATGCTATGATCTTTCTGAAAGAACAAAAAGGCAGCACCGGGGCCCACTCATTCTTATATATGTCAGCTTTGCTTTCAGCGCTCTTCTTGCTAAGGTTTAAATGCCAACATCATGACCCTGAGGCCCTAGGAACTCCATACAATAAAGTCCCACGAACTGACACTCTTCTACTGTTCAAGAGTGAGCCTCAAAATATCGTTCACCTGCTTTGCAAATCGACCTTCTTTTACTAATTAGGGTAGATGAATATTTTAAAATAGTCTTTCAGGAAAATATAGCAGAGTATTCCATCAGAGAACATTCTGCTTCCGTTTGCAATTCAAAATATTTGATGGGATCTGGGAATACAGAATTTGGATTGTTCTTTTCATTCTTATCTTGACTTCAGATAAGAAGTTCTCGCAAGGGGGAGAGTGAGGTTAGAGAAAGGTGAGGATGAGGTGATAGGAGATTAGCAATGGGATTTAGCATTCAATTCAATGCAAGGAACATCTATTAAGTGCTTACTGGGTTGAGTGGATTAAAATAATTCCAAGTGTCAGGCACAGTGTTAATAATAAAAATGTTTTACCCAATTATGGTGCCAGGTAATAAATGATCTCATTTAATCCTATCAGCTCTGTAGTTGGTATGGCACTACTGTTATCCCAACTTCCAGATGAGAAACCAGACACAGAGATTAATTTCAAAAGTGCAGAAAAAGCCCACAAAACTCCAGAACAACCTAACAAACAAAAAACACCATTTCCAGGGACTCTTACTTATTAAATGGTGAGGCTGAGAATCCAATGTGGGCATCCGATCCAGCCTGTGTCCTTGGCCACTGCGGGGAGCGGCAGGGCAGATGGAAGGGGAGGGCAAAGGAATATGGATGTGAAAGGAAAGACAGACAGAGAAGGGAGAAGGAGTGAGCAAGGCTAGAGAGAAACACGTTGTCTAGTGCTGCAGTCTGATGGTTTAGCACCCTTTAAAACTTTGTTCTTTAAATATTTATCCAACATTTGTTTAAATGAGAGGCTGAACTCTGCCTGGGAAAAGGGCAGAAGACAAGCTGCGCTCATTTGTGCCACTGTTCTAATTTAGCTCCGACCTCAAACATCATGGCCAACTCAGCAAAACAGAAGGTCTATGGGAAATAGGATCTACCACCTCTAAGTTGGCCCTCTTAACCTACCTCGTGCCTCACTCCAGCCACCATCTATTGTTCCTCCAGCATACCCCTTGAGGGTCTCATCCCCTCACCCATCCCCAAGTGTCTTAAGCTTTCCAAAAACATGCAGTAATCTCTGAGAGGAGATATTTCTCTACTAACAATTTGATGCCAGGTTACATTTGGTGTTTCTCAGAGAAGCTGCTCCAATGGAATGGCTCCAAGCCTGCTCTTGACCTACTTCTGAGATGAGGACGGGGAATTGCAGAGGGTCAAGTTCAAAATCACACAGGGCATTGGTAGCCATTGAAGGATTTAAATGGAAGTGATCTGGAGACAGTTCACAGAATCCTGCATGGGGCATGACTGGTAGGTCTGGAGACCTGAGGGCAAGAGAAATGGAAAGAACAATATTAGTATCTCCCAATCTCAAGTCTGCATAGTGCCTGACTCCTTTTTTAAAATAGTAATCATTTTTGTCGTTGTGGTCACCACCATCATCATAATTTTCAGG
This sequence comes from Homo sapiens, assembly GCF_000001405.40. Taxonomy (NCBI): domain Eukaryota; kingdom Metazoa; phylum Chordata; class Mammalia; order Primates; family Hominidae; genus Homo; species Homo sapiens. The sequence continues at coordinate 108,014,163 of NC_000003.12, forward strand.
GCTCAGTACAAAATGAAAATGCAGGCCCCCTAAGAATTTCAAGCCAGCGACAGTAAGTGGGGGCATTGCTCAGCCCAGGTCACATGCCCATGAAGCCAGTCCTTCTGGGAGTCATATTTTCTCTGTCCTAGAATTTTCTTTCTTTCTTTTTTTTGAGACTGAGTCTCTGTCACCCAGGCTGGAGGGTGATGGCGCGATCTCACCTTACTACAAACTCTGGCTCCGGGTTCAAGTGATTCTCCTGCCTCAGCCTCCTGAGTAGCTGGGATTACAGGCATGTACAACCATGCCCAGCTAATTTTTGTATTTTTAGTAGAGACGGGGTTTCACCATGTTGGCCAGGCTGGTCTCGAACTCCTGACCTCAAGTGATCCACCCACCTTGGCCTCCCAAAGTGCTGGGATTATAGGCGTGAGCCACCGCACCCGGCCAGAATTTTCTATAGTAACTCAGCCACTCCCTGTTTCAATTTCTTGTTTCACTGTTTGTCGACTTTACTCTGCTTTTTTCTGCTTTATAGTTTCTGCTCACTGCCTTCTTTCTGTATGTCACCTGGCCTCTGGCCTTGCTACTGACTGATGATTGTCTCCAAGTATCTCATTTTCAGACTCCATATAAAAGAGGGTCTGATACATTGAAATAGATACTCTAATCTAGTGGAGATCATTTTTCTTGGTAAGAGCTCTAGCAATACTTAATCTCAAGGTCATCACAGACTGACCTTGACTAAGGTGTCCACTCTTGGCCAGACTGGCACGGCACCTGAGAAGATGGAGGTCCCAGGTAGGGCAGGCGCAATTGTAGGAGTCTCTTCTCCAGTGAAAAATATAGGAGTGAGTCCTCTTCCAGGCTCTAGAGCTATAAAGAACAAGAAGAAACTTGGGGGCTGGGTGTGGTGGCTCAGGCCTGTAATCCTAAAACTGAGTACCTATTTTGAAGGTTTCTTGTTTCCTTTTCCTTCTGCAGCTCTTTGTATTAACCTTTTAGTAATGCAAATGTAATCTCTACCCTCCTTTCTTTCCACCAGGTACTCCCCTGCAAGGACTGCTAGCTTACCTAATTATACGTTTGCTTAGAAGTTCCAGGGACTGAATCTTAAGACAAATGAGGTACATTCAAAATTATCCCCCACCAGGAGACTGCCTCAAGACAATGATTAATTTACAACCTGGTCATGCCCACAATGGTGCCAGCCAGACCACCAGATGGCCTATTGCTCAAGATAAGTCCTCAGAGCAAGTCTTCTAGGTGCCACACCTCCATGCCCCTCCTGCATGCCCTGTGTACCAAAATTTCCCTTCTTAAGACCCTGCTTTCTGCCCAGAAATCTGAAATGGTTCCTTTAGAGGTGAGTCTGGTCACCTCCCCACTGCTAAGCTCTGGAATAAAGTAACTTTCTTTTTATTGAATCTCATCCTTGCCATTTGCTTGCAAAGCTGCAAGTGGTGAGCAGCCAAGCCTGCCCTTCAGAACAATCCTAGCGCTTTGGGAGGCTGAGGAGGGAGGACCACTTGAGGCCAGGAGTTCAACAGTATTGCTCACTAGACAACAGACAACAGATAACAGAGTGAGACCCCGTCTCTACAAAATATAGAAAAAAAAAAAAAAGAATTAGCTGGGCATGGTGGCTCATACCTGTAGTTCTAGCTACTCGGGAGGCTGAGGGGGGAGGATCACTTGAGTCTGGGAGTAAGAGGCTGCAGTGAGCTATGATCGCACCACTGCACTCCACAAGCCTGGGTGACAGAGAGAGACCCAGTCAAAAAAAAAAAAAAAAAAAAGGAAGGAAGGAAGGAAAAGAAAAAGAAAAGAAACATTACAGTCTTTCTTCCTGCACTCACAGGGCTTATACCCTTATTGGGGAGAAGGGACATAACCTAAATCTTGCTAGGAGGCATCAGGCAGGACTGAAATGAGAAATAAGAAATGCCGCTTTCTGGTTATCCTCGGCCATGAGGCCATCCCCTCTCTTCCTGTGATGGATTAGGAAGTCAGACAGCCCGTGCCGCCGCATTCCTGCCCCACCACTTGATTGTGCTGTGTCTTGGGCATGTTCTTTCACTTTCCTGTGCCTTAGTATTCTCATTTTTGCAATATAAAATTAGGATATTAAGAGTACAGTCCTGATCTCACAGAGTTTTGTGAGGTTAAATGAGATAATCAGTTCCTAACTCAGTAAGTGATTAGACCTAGTGTTTTCTACCATAAGCCATTCTCTCTTCCTCTATTCCTTTCTCCCGCTCCTCTTGAATGGGCATATCTTACCTTTTTCCAACCAGAAGGTCGATGCTCCTTCCTGTTCCTGGGATTCTGCTTAGGGTATTTCTACCACCTAGAATATCCTCCCTTCTCTCAGCCCCCTGTTTAAGCATGATCTGTCTTCGCAGCTCAATTTAAGTCCCAAGACTTTCATGAGAGTTTCCTTGATTGTTTCAACCCACATACAGAGACTCACGGAGCAGGACGGGGTATTGAAAGCACTGAGATATCAGGGCATAGCTCCCCCTTTATAGCTCAGGAAATGGAGGCTGACAGCCTCACCTCTCTCTCTCTCCTAATCTCCTGCTTCCATCACTCATCTGTATCACCCATCATGGCATTTAATCATCCGTTGCCTCGCTTCCTCCTTCTTCCTGTCATAAAAGCTTCTCATCTTAGGCATTAGGCCTCAACTCAAATGACTCTCAACTAAGTCTCCCTCTCCCCAGAATAGATCAATATTACCAGTTATTCTTTCTCATCACTACCTATTTTTCCCCTCAGCAGACTTCATTAAAGGTGATTTAGGAATTACTGCTGTAATTAGTTGCCTAAGCTTTTGTTGTTGTTGTTTAAAAAATCAAACATTTACCAGATGCCTAGGTGCCCACTATGTGTGTGGCAGTGTGCCAACTGTGGGGATTTGATGGTGAACTGGACAGATCTGGTCCCTGCATTAACGGATTTTACATATAGCTATGAAATTAAGAAGTGAGAATGAGCTCATAAACCTTTTGGGAACCCTCATGGACTAGAAGGAGCTTTTAAAAAAAAAAAAAGGCCAGGCACGGTGGCTCACACCTGTAATCCCAGCACTTTGGGGGGCTGAGGCAGGTGGATCACGAGGTCAGGAGATCAAGACCATCCTGGCTAACACGGTGAAACCCCATCTCTACTAAAAATACAAAAAATTAGCCAGGCGTGGTGGTGGGCGCCTGTAGTCCCAGCTACTCGGGAGGCTGAGGCAGGGGAATGGCATGAACCCAGGAGGTGGAGCTTGCAGTGACCAGAGATTGCGCCACTGCACTCCAGCCTGGGTGGCAGAGCTAGACTCCATCTCAAAAAAAAAAAAAAAAAAAAAGATAGTACTGGGAATTTCCTCCACACTAAATTGAAGCAAAGAAGTAAAGTAGTGAAGTGATTTCTACAGTCAAACATAAGCTGATAGAAATATCAAGTGTTCCATGTAGCATAATAAAGAAAATGAAATACCATCTTCCTTAGTCTAGGGTCCTCTTTCAAAGGGCAAGAGTCAACATTTGTTTTAGTCTTACTTGTCTACACTGATGTAACACTTTGTTTTTTCCAGTTATTTTTTTCACAAGAAACAACCTACGTCTTCATTATGAAGGTGGCGTGACCGCTGAACACCCAAGCAGTTGTCTTCCTTTGTTAACTAATCTGAGTGCAAACAAAGCCCTTCATTTGAAGGTCAAGAGTTTCTTTTGCCCTTTATTTAAAGGAACCAACTTCTTGTGAAATGGCACTAAATTATAAGCACCCGGTCCACTTAGTGTGAGACTAGTAATTTTATAGGCTCCAAATTGTCCACTTATGGGGACCTCCACCTTCTGCTAGCCTGTTTGAAAATACCCTCCTTAGAGATTACAATGCATCCTTCAAATGTTATGAGGTTCCAATTGCCTAAAGGGCATTTCTGCTTAGCAATCTCCACAGGCAATTCAATAACATTTTTCAAATAAAGTATGATCTTGTTACTCTCTTTTTATTCTTAATATCTGTTAATGAAACCTCCCAACTAGCAATCCGAGATGCACTCTTGACTCCTTATTCAAATACAAAATCCTGCTGTTTTTACCTGAACATCTCTCACCTCCCAGCCCCTAAACCTCCCAGCCCCTTCCTTTCATCACTCTTTCCCTTCCTGCCGTCCCTCCTTCCCCTGCCCTGGCCGAGACTGTATTATTTCCATTATCCTTGAAAGTACTTGAACTGTGGCTTCCTAATTTTTCTCAAGCCTTCACTCCTGTCTCTCCAATCTCACACTCCCATTGCACCCGAATGATCTGTTCGCAATTCCTGTCTTGTCACTTCTCTCTTTAAACCCCTTCAGTGGTTCCAATCATCACCCAGCAGTTTTTCTCAAGGGAATGGAGCTCTTTTATAATTTGGGGAGGGACACGAACATCTTGCTTATGCTGGACTGTCCATCACACTGAAAGACAGTAAGCTTCCCTGGCTGCAAGGCCACTAAATGCCGACACACAAATTTCCAAAGATGCCCTATGCCGCCTCAGCTGATAATAATCTCTAAGGGAAAAGTACGTACTTCCGAATATAGCTTGCAAAGCCCTCCAACACCTGGCCCTTATCTCAACTTCCAGCCTTCCTCACTGTTGCCTCACACTGATTCTCGTGAATAGTGGACTGCTGTGCTGTTCTCCCTGCCTGATGCCTCGTCCAGCCTCCTCCCCTAGATGATGTCTTCTCATTCTTCAAGACTCAGTTCTTGGTCTCCTTGAACAGGCTCCCTTTCCTTGTCTCCATGACTGCCGTTCCTCCCCCTACCTGATCACCAATTAGACAAGTGTGTCTCCCAGCTCATGCTACTTCTAAATGCTTCTAAAGGTTCATGTTAACTAAACTCATAAGGCATTAATAAATATAAATCTGCATCGCTGTTTGTTAATTTTCATGAGAATGAACATGAGAAACACCCCTCATGTCAAGTGACAATGCCGTTTATGCCTGATAGGTCCATGGGTATTTCTGAGGAAAGTGTGGCAGAGACAGATGCATCTTTCAGGCATGGCATCAAGGAGGCACTTGTTGTCTGTATTAGCTTCCTAGGGCTTCCATAACAAATTAAAACAACTATAATGTATTCTGTACAGTTCCAGAGGCCAGAAGTTTGAAATCAGTGTTCAGCAGGGCTGCGTTTCCTTTAAAGGCTCTAAGGGAGCATCCTTCCTTGCCTCTCCCAGCTTCGGTGGCTCCAGGCGTTCCTTGGTTTGTGGCTCTACAAATCCGATCTCTGTCTCCATATGACCTTCTTGCCTTCTCTGGGTCTTTTTTTCTTCTGTTTCTTATAAAGACATGTGTCACTGGATTTAGGGCCCACCCTGATGATGATCTCAACTCCAGATCCTTAATTATATCTGAAAGGACTTTTTTTCCAAATAAGGTCACCACCACAAGTTCTGGGGGTTAGGAGGTGTATCTATCTTTTTTGGGGGGCACTATCCAATCCACTACAATCTCCAACTCCAAGACATTTGTGGGATCCTCTTCATAGCAGAGCTCTGTTAGACCAGGTGACCTGAATATTGGCTTGAATGTTGGGATGGGTCACTGAGAATTAGGCTACCTTGTCACCTGGCAATGATTGGCAATACCTGTGGCCAAGCTCTTTGTCTTTTACTTTAATTTCCCTATACTGGCACAGCTCACTTTCTCTCTGAGTATCCTTCAATGTTAATTTATGGAGAGTCTTTTAAGCCTCTCACTGAATGAGATGTTGAGGTTGCTACAGAGGAAGCCTAATGGATTTCCTCATCTTCCTGGGGCCAATCTCCCTCATAAGAAAGATGATGATTACTTGTTATAATGAATGGTAAAGAAAAGTGGTGGCTTCAGAAAGGGAGCATGGTTAGGCTCTGTCAGGCTCAATTTCCTGAGCTGTAAAGGGAGGCCGCACCCTGAGGTCTACATGTTTTCAACACTGGGTACTTCTCTGCAAGTCTCTCTGTGTGAATTGAAACAATCAAGAAAAATTTTGTGAAAGCCTTGGGTCTTAAGCTGAGCCATAGAGTTAGATCAGGCTTCAACAGGGAAGAAAGACAAGGAAAGACAGTCCATCCAGCCTGAACAAACACATGGGGGCAGGAGTGGGAGGGGTACCTAGAGGAAAGGAATAGAATTCATCTGCTCTAGAGGAGGAGGCAGAACTAGTTTGGGAACAGAGGAGCAGGGTTAGGGTATGAAACAGTAGGAGATAAGGATGGAAAAAACCACAGATGCGCAGGGCTTAGAGGCCAGTCTGCTGCAAATGTGGAGTCATAGAGCCGTTGAAAGAGTTTCCAAATAGGAGGAGAAATAGGAGTTGAGGTTATTAAAGTGGTATTTGTTTCTTCAAAAAAATATTTAAGGCACAAAGAAAAGGTGACACCAGGAATGAGAAGCCAACTCAAGATACTGTGACAGTTGCCCAGGTGTATGACAGGGTGGGACTTGGAGTAAGGTAGTGATAAGGTTAGAAACCTATATGACTTGTTGGTTTATTAATTGGTCTCTTTAAAGAGAGAGAAATCTCAACTCGTGTGTTAGGAGGCTGAGGGACACCTAGAAATCGGGACATTTGGGAGTTGAGATTGAATGTGTTGAGTTGTGGTAATGTCAGGACATTCAAATAGAAATGTCCAGCTGTTTGTTAGAGATGGATCATTGCTACCCTGTCACTGCCACAGCAGTGTCCTGTCACAGTCTGTCCTGATGGGCTGTCTCTCCATTTCTCCTGGGAAGACAGCCTCCTGTTAACTCCACGAAGGCATTCTCTGTCTTATCTTCAATGTGACCTTTCCCTCAATTTATAATAGTGGCTCCTGAATCTTTTGTTGTGTTAGGATCCATTCTCCACTCTCTAGTCATTGAAAAAGAGGTAAAAGGGGAGGTCAGGGCAGCGTCCATTTATCTATTTGTTCAGCAGATATTTATTGAGTACTTACTTTGTCCCAGATACTATGATAATCATTGGGCATCTAAGAGTCAGTAAAACCAACTTGGCCCCCTTCAAGATGGGGCAGATAGATGGCAAACGAGGGTGAAAAGTGCAAGAAAGGAAAGTGCAGGATACTTAGAGCATAAAACAAGGAAGCCAAATAACTCTGTCGGGGGGGCTCTTCACTCTGCAGGTGCCTGCAAAGGAAGCAGAATTTAAGTGGAGCCCTGTGGAGTTATTCAGGGCAGGGCTGCAGGGTGGCACAACTCCAGGGGGCGCCTCTTACATCATATTCTGTCAATGGGCCCCTGGAGATGTGCAAGAAAATGGCCCAGAATGAGGGCTGGGAAATAAGGTGGGGCATGGGGCAGGGTTGGACTTTTTTGGCCAGAGGAGAATCTTGGGGAACTCATTGCAGCTCAGGTCTTACAGAGACCTCTAAGCTAATCAGAGTTGATACCAACTCATGCTAACTAAACTCATAAGGCATTAATAAATATAAATCTGCATAGCTGTTTGTGAATTTTCATGAGAAATTAGAGTATATCTGTCATGCAGACCAGAGATTGACAGCTTTGAGGTGCTGACTCATACTAACTAAACTCCCAACACATGAATATATGCAAGCCAGCATGCTGGCTTGTTAATTTTCTATGAGAAACAGAGTCTATCTGTCAAGTAGACCAGAGATTGACAGCCCATCCCCTCCTGTGTGAGGGGCTCCCTGGGAAGCCCAATTATCCCAGGGTTTCGTTGCGAGCCTGAAATCAGAGGAAAGAGCAGTTATTACACCACCTGAAGATTTACAGACCTCAGGTTCTGTGTCTGATGTATTCGCCGCCTGCTGGGGACAGGCTCAGGGGGCTTGTCGGGGAAAGGGGCAATGTGGGGTCTCTGCCCATGGGAACCTCTTTGTGCCTCTCTGTGCCAAAGCTCATTCACTCTCCTGATTCTCATACTCTTGAGACAGAGTAGGAACAAGGCTTGGCTTTGTTACTGGTGGTGAATCTGACTGCTCTGCAGCAAACTCGATCCTTGCCTCCTCAGAGGAAAGAATTTGGCCAAGGGGCAGAAGTAGGTTTAAGGCAGAGGGAGAGACTGAGGCAAGTTTTATAGTAGGAGTGCAAGTTTATTAAAGAGTTTGAGGGCAGGAACCAAAGGAAGTAAAGTACACTTGGAAGAGGGCCAAGTGGGTAACTTGAGGGGTCCAAGTTCCATGTTTGGCCCTGACTTGGGGTTTCATACATTGACATGGTTCCAGGGTTTTCATTTCTCCTCCCTTGATTTTTCCCTTGGGTTGGGCTGTCTGCCTATGCAGAGGCCTGTCAGCACTTGGGAGGTGCCGCACCTGCAGTGTGTTTACTGACATGCCCACTCGAAGTGTTTTTTCCCTTAGCAGCTGAGCATTCCTAGAGGAAGATCATAGACCAGTTAAATTCTGCCATTGTGCCTCTTAGTGCACATGCTTGAGCCCACTTGACCAACTTGTGAGATCTTAGCAGGAAGCTGCTGATTGTGAGCATCAGGTATTTTCTATCGGGAGACTGTCTTTTCCTGGCACCAACTGCCTGACCATCACCTGGTGATCACCTGACATTCCTTGGGGTGGGGGCCTCTCCTGCCCTGCTCATGTCTGCCTACCTACCTAGTCTAACAGCTTCAGGTCATTTCCACTAGAGCATTCTTTCATGCATTCCCACTGATCACAAGCCCTACACCATTACCTCACTGACATCATTAGGTTTAACCCTGCCTTTTACTTAAAGATGTCTAGGACTGGCCTTAGGAAATCCAGATATACAAACCAAGGTTGTGTAATGTTTCACCTCAGAAAGGAATGCTGAACAACTTATTTACAGCCTTGTTGCTACTGGTCAGACCATTGGGAGGCCCATTACTCAAGATAACCTCTGAAACCAAATATGCTGACCTGTATACCCTACCCCTCAGTGCTTTGCCCTTCCAAGTACAGCCTGCATACTCTATTCCTGATGTCAATTCCTGTGTTTTGCCTAATAAAAAAGCCCAATCATCTTGGAGAGCCAAAGAATTTTCTCTCCTGTGCTGCCACCCTTATGTCCAGACACAAACTCCAATGAAGTCTTGTCTGAGAAAACTCTTTTGGCTTCATGTCAATTAGTGCACTGAGAGCCCAAAAACCCTCAGTAACACTCTTCTTTTCAATGTGTGAATGCTAACTGGAGCCTGGGATTAGCCTATTGACCACACAACTTTATAAAATCAATGTTTGTGTTGATTTTAAGAATTTAAAATTAACAGGGGCAACTCATTGTTCAGGTTCTTGGTGGCACCTTCCTGCTGTCCTCAGTCCTACCCAGACTTACAAGCTAATTTGGTATCATGGATTGTCAGTAACAGCTTTATGGTTTTAGGGAATGCTGAATGCAAATCTGCCTGTAACCAGGTAAAACACAGGGTAGCTTTGGCCATTGTGTAAGTCATTTTGCTAGGATTAGAACTCACACCTACAGACTTCCTGCCCCACTCTGCTGGTGCTGTGAAGGCCTGACTAAACACTACCCTACTACTGTGGGGGCAGGTGCCTAGGCTCTGGCCTGATCTTCACTGTTCCCTCCTCAATCTGGATACTCAGTGTGGTCGCAGAATAACAGCCCCCTAAAGACCTCCACATCTTAATATGAACCTTACATGGCAAAAGGATCTTGCAGATGTCATTAGATTAATCATGTCTTGAGATGGGGAGATGATTGTGGATTATTTGGACCCAATGTAATCTCAAGCATCCTTATAAGGGAAAGAAGGAGTTAGAAGAATGAAAGAATGATATGTGAGGGTGGATATAGAGGTCAGAGGTTTGAAGATGCTATTCTGCTGGCTCTGAAGATGGAAGAAGGGGCCGTGAGCCAAGGAACGTGGCAGCCTCTAGAAGCTGGAAAAGGCAAGGATATAGATTTTCCTCTAGGGCCTCCAGAAGAGACACAGCCCTTCTGATGTCTTGATTTTAGGACTTCTGACATACAGAACTGCCAGATAATGAATTTGCATTGTTTTTACCCCCCTCTCAACAATCGGAAACAGATACAGTTGGCTTCTCCTGTCTTCAGGACTTACCTAGCAATGTTCACCTTGCTCTTGAGAGCCCCGTACCTCCATACACATGACAGTCTGTTGGTGGGAGACAAGTCACCAGAGTTTGTGCAGGGTGGAGAGTCATATTTCTCACAAGCTGTGCAGTGTTAAATGCCCCAGCTCATTGCTCCTCATGCATAAGTGGTGATTCCATGCCCTGGGCCAAAAATACAGTTCCGTTGTCACCGCCTGTGTCCGACACAGCTCTCCTGGGGTGCTGATGAAGATGTAGCCTTCCTTTGAAGCTAGTCATTCAGATCAGCTCTACAGGGGCCATTTGCAAGATGAGAAATAGATCCAAGATCCTCATCATAATGCAGGTTTTGTATCAAAATGCACAATGAACTGACTGGAACAGGAAATAATTAATCAGGACATTACAGAGCAGTTAAGTATAATTAATTCATACAAAAGAATGTGAGTGTGCAGTTTTAGCTGCTAGAGTGATTTTATTTCCCTGCAAATTTAGTTCAAGATAAACAAACATCAGAATAGTCTTTTCAGGTTTTTCATGACTCATGGGTTATTTCCTCCTTTCTAGTTACCAAAAATATTATTAAACTTATACACTAGCACCGCCAAGTTGATCATATTTTAGAAGAAAACTCCCTGCTCATAGTAAATGGGAAATTAACTCTATCATAGAAGTCACTTTCCACATATGTTAATAACCGTGTGAGTGTGTGTGCGTGAGGCAGAAACCTAGCACTTAATGCAGAATAAAAACTGGAGAGAAATTTTGATTTCTGCCCAAATATCTTAAAATCTAAGCAGAATGCATAAAAAATTATGTTGTGAAAACACCATCTGAGAATGTGACTTAATCTCAAGGGTAAACTTTATTGATATTGTGTGGGTTTTCCTTTCCTCTTATCTTTTTTTTCTCTTCTTGGGGCTGGGAGCTCTTTATAAGAAAAGAGGTGAAAAATGTCAGGCAATATGGGTTGGTGATGGTAGCAGCATTACTGGTCTTCTACCAGTTCTCCTCTCATAGTCGGGACACTCAAAAAGCCTAAAAGACATGCCCTGTGAGCAGAGCTTAATGTAGAGGTGGAAAAATTCATCACGCAGGAGTGCTGGAGGGAATATTTTCTTCTCTTTGTGGCTCCAGAGAGCACAGTGTGTTCTGTCGAGCTAGAAAAATAGAATTGGGCTGGTGTGATGGATGATGAGTGTTTGGAAGTGCCAATCCATCAAGGCCACAATAGAAAAGGCAGGGCTCCTGGATGGCTTTCATCAGGCCAGTGTGCTTCTCTCCTCCAATGGATCACTGTAGGATATTGATTCACTTCCAAGATTAACCTGATCACACATTACAACCAAAGGGCTGTTTGACTACCTATGTCACATAATGTTTTATTATGTGACAAATATAGACATGCTCCAATTTCTGATCTAATTCACAGTGTAATGATGCTCCAGTTTCTTCAGCCATAATTCTTTTTTTTTAAAATTTATTTATTTATTTATTTTTATTGATCATTCTTGGGTGTTTCTCACAGAGGGGGATTTGGCAGGGTCATAGGACAATAGTGGAGGGAGGGTCAGCAGATAAACAAGTGAACAAAGGTCTCTGGTTTTCCTATGCAGAGGACCCTGCGGCCTTCCGCAGTGTTTGTGTCCCTGGGTACTTGAGATTAGGGAGTGGTGATGACTCTTAACGAGCATGCTGCCTTCAAGCATCTGTTTAACAAAGCACATCTTGCACCACCCTTAATCCATTTAACCCTGAGTGGACACAGCACATGTTTCAGAGAGCACAGGGTTGGGGGTAAGGTCACCGATCAACAGGATCACAAGGCAGAAGAATTTTTCTTAGTACAGAACAAAATGAAAAGTCTCCCGTGTCTACCTCTTTCTACACACACATGGCAACCATCCGATTTCTCAATCCTTGCCCCGCCTTTCCCCCCTTTCTATTCCACAAAACCGCCATTGTCATCATGGCCCGTTCTCAATGAGCTGTTGGGTACACCTCCCAGACGGGGTGGTGGCTGGGCAGAGGGGCTCCTCACTTCCCAGTAGGGGCGGCCGGGCAGAGGCGCCCCTCACCTCCCGGACGGGGCGGCTGGCCTGGCGGGGCTGACCCCCACCTCCCTCCCGGATGGGGTGGCTGCCGGGCAGAGACGCTCCTCACTTCCCAGACGGGGTCACGGCCGGGTAGAGGCGCTCCTCACATCCCAGACGGGGCGGCGGGGCAGAGGCGCTCCCCACATCTCAGACGATGGGCAGCCGGGCAGAGACGCTCCTCACTTCCTAGATGGGATGGCGGCCAGGCAGAGGCTGCAATCTCGGCACTTTGGGAGGCCAAGGCAGGCGGCTGGGAGGTGGAGGTTGTAGCGAGCCGAGATCACGCCACTGCACTCCAGCCTGGGCACCATTGAGCACTGAGTGAACCAGACTCCGTCTGCAATCCCGGCACCTCGGGAGGCCGGAGGCCGAGGCTGGCGGATCACTCGCAGTTAGGAGCTGGAGACCAGCCCGGCCAACACAGCGAAACCCCGTCTCCACCAAAAAAATACGAAAACCAGTCAGGCGTGGTGGCGCGCCTGCAATCGCAGGCACTCGGCAGGCTGAGGCAGGAGAATCAGGCAGGGAGGCTGCAGTGAGCCGAGATGGCAGCAGTACAGTCCAGCTTCGGCTCGGCATCAGTGGGAGACGGTGGAAAGAGAGGGAGAGGGAGACTGTGGGGAGAGGGAGAGGGAGAGGGGGGAGAGGGAGAGGGAGAGGGAGGAGCCATAATTCTTGTATTTGGAATCAGTCTAGTTCCCAAGAACTTCAGTTTGATGCTCTTCAAGTTCTACCTTCACTATAGGATGTGGTTTTCAAGATGAAAGTTACGACCCACCAATGGGTTTTGAAATAAATTTAGTAGGCCACAACCAGTATTTTTTTTAACAAAGGAATCGAATAGAAAAGAAAGTATCAGGATATATAACACATGGCAAGGATGATAATATGTAAAACTTTGGTTTCAAAGACAATATGTGTGTCTATTTATATATCTATTTCACACCATATATGCTGACCTACACACCTACATGTTTGTGTGTACTTGGTTATGATAAAAATTCATTAAATGATGGTAAAAAAAAGTTTGAAAAAACAAATAATTCAATCTAAAAATGAGAAAAGAATCTCAATAGACATCTCTCAAAAGAAGGCCTACAAATGGTCAACAAGAATATGAAAACATGTTCAACATCTCTATTAGGGAAATGTAAATTAAAATCACATGAAATATCATCCAACTCCCATTAGAATGGCTGCCATCAGAAAAACAAAATAACAACAGCAACAACAACAAAAATCGAATGTTGGTGAGGATGTGGAGAAAAGGAAATTCTTATATTACATTCTTGGTAAGAATGTAAATTAGTACAGCCATTATAGAAAACAATATGGAGGTTTCTCAAAAACCTAAAAATATAACTACCATATGATTCAGCAATCCCACTACTTCCCCAAAGGGAAGGAAATCAATATATGGAAAAGACATCTGCACTCCCATGTTTATTCCAGCACTATTCACAATAGCCAAGGTATGGAGTCAACCTAAATGTCCATCAACAGAAGAATGAATAAAGAAAATGTGGCATGTATACACAATGGAGTACTATTCAGCCATATAAAAGGAATGAAATTGGTTGGGGGGGCATGGTGGCTTACGCCTGTAATAGCAGCACTTTGGGAGGCCGAGGTGGGAGGATCACCTGAGGTCAGGAGTTCAAGACCAACCTGACCAACGTGGAGAAACCCCATCTCTACTAAAAATACACAATTAGCCAGGCGTGGTGGCACATGCCTGTAATCCCAGCTACTCGGGAGGCTGAGGCAGGAGAATCACTTGAACCTGGGAGGCAGAGGTTGCGGTGAGCCGAGATCACACCATTGCACTCCAGCCTGGGCGACAAGAGCGAAACTCCGTCTCAGAAAAAAAAAAAGGAATGAAATCCTGAATCCCGTCATTTGTGACAACATGGATGAGCTTGGAGGACATTATGGTAAGTGAAATAAACCAGGAACAGAAAATAAATACTGCATGTTCTCTCTCATACATGAGAGCTAAAAAAAAGTTGGTGTCTAAGAAGCAGAGAGTAGACTAGTGGTTATTAGAGGCTGGGAAGCATAGTGGAGAGGTTGGTTAACAGACTTAACAGACACAAAATTACAGATAGATAGGGGAATAAGTTCTAAGTGTTCTATAGAACTGTAGAGTGAATATAGTTAACAATATTTTATTGTATATTTTTAAAAATCTAGAAGAGAGGATTTTGAACGTTCCCAACACAAAGAAAAGATGAATGTTTGCGGTAATAGATACGTCAATTACCCTGATTTGGTTATTACGCATTATATACATGTATTCAAATAGTGCTCTGTATCCCATAACATGTACAATTATTATATGTCAACTAAAAATAAAAGAAAAAACATTTGAAGGCTTGTGCTGTATGTTTTGAGCCATTCTAATGCCTGAATCACTTACAAAGAGATGCAGAGCGTGATGAAGCTAGTCTGTACTGGGAAAAGAAATGGCTAGAGCCAAAAAAAGAAAGGGACTTATGGAAGCAAACTCACAGTGGCTACTCTGCTCCCTACCATTGCCTCTGACGAGTTGAGGTCCCCAGGAGGTCTCCTCATACACATCGTTCTTCCCTGATTGCCTGTGAGATAACTCTTTCCTTTCTTTCCTATCTGTATACACAGCATGAGTTTCCATAAGCTAAATGGGACATAACATGATTGATTAACTAGGGGACATGTGTAGACCCTCTTCTGACCCATACAGAAGTAGAGTGTGTGGGCAGAGAGAAAGGCCTGTTGTGTAAGTGCCACAGCCTCTTTGTTGTGCTAAAAGCAATGGAAATGTCTAAGAAGTATTGTGATGGCCTAAGACGTCATTCTTGAGCAAGAGCTAGATGGAATCACATGCCATATTTTTACGTTTACAATTTCAGTGTTCTAGCTATATACTTAAAACTATAAACAATGCTTTTGTTACAGAGATTCCTGCAGTCCCCATGCCCCTCTTTTTTTTGTTAACTGAAACAAAAGTATGTATAATGCTGTTTTTGTTAAAGTAAGGTTGCCTGGGCACACCACCCTCACATCATTGCAGAACGCACTAAACTAGAGCCTGCCGTCGTTTGGGCCAACCCAACGGAATTGCTCTCCCTTGTAATCATAAGGACCTAAAACTGAACAGGTAACATACCCAACATCTCAGATTCATTATTTTTAATGTATTTTTTTTTGGTAGCTTTGGCATGGGACAGTCACATCAAAGGTGCTTGTTATGACCTAAGCAATCATCATCAATAGCTGATAACATCCAAAGAGAGACACAACCAGACATTATGCACCTCCTGATTATAGTACAAAAGAATGCAAACTAAGTCTGCACAACCTCCAGCTCTAAGTACCAATGCCAAGGAAACACAGGAGAAAAGGAAACGTACTAAACCATGTTATTATTGGAATGCCATTAACCAAAGCCAACATGTGGGAGACTACCAGACAAGAAGATTTAGTTCCTTTAACAGCATCAACAACACAGCAAACAGGGAAAAAGAGGATGGAGTTTTCATGCCTCAGGGATACTGAGGCAAATAAACTGTCAGTAAAGAAAAGAGAGCAAGGTAGAAAGAGGCTATTTATAGGAGAATCAGGAAAATGTAAATACTAAATGAATATCTGATACTATTACAGAATTATTAATATTGGTTTTTAGGGAGCTGTGATGATTCTTAGGGAGGTGTCCTGATGCTGCATAGTTGCTTTTAAAAAGGGCACTCTTTGTCTTTTACAGATCCACACTGAAACGTTTACTGATGAAATGCTCTCTAACATCTGGGATTTCCTTCAAAATTATCCGGGGCAGAGAGGGAGTGGGTACGGGCAGAGGAAATAACATAGGACATAAGTTGAAAATACTGAAGCTGAGTGAAGGGAGTTCATTGTAATACACTCCACACTTTGGTATATGTTTGAAATTTTGCCTAATAAAAAAAATTCAGTGTCTATTTTACAGATGTATTTGTCATTTCAACAAACATATGTTGAAATCATGTTGCACATTAGGGATTGGAGACATATACACAAATTAGCATTCCGGCCAGACTGCTTATCATTACTTCTTATTTCCTGTTTGTAAGATGCCATTCGTCTGGGCAAGGTAGCACATGCTTGTAATCCCAGATTTTTGGGAGGCTGCAGTGGGACCATCACTAGAGGTTAGCACTTGGAGACCAGCCTGGGCAACATAGGGAGACATCATCTCTACAAAAATAAAAGTAAAAAAAATTAGCCAGGTGTGGTATCATGTGCCTATAGACCCAGCTACTCAGGAGGATGAGGTGGGAGGGTCCCTTGAGCCCAGGAGTTCAAGGCTGCAGTGAGCTAAGAAGATGCCAGTGCGCTCCTCCCTGGGTGGCAGAGCGAGAACCTGTCTCTACAAAATAAAATAAAATAAAATGTCATTTATTTTAAGACACACAATTATATTAATTGCAGCTTTTGAAGTATCCCGAAGGTCAATGCTCACTTGGAGTGGGAGAGGGGAAAAAAAGCCCACCATATTAAAATTAAACATTGATTTTGAGACACATTCTAATTTCAGACTATCCAAACTATATATCTTTAGATCAAGGAAGAATGGTGATTCTTACTTTCTTTTGGCTCTATGGTAAGTATCTGGTTGTAAAGTCTGAGGGCATCCTAAGGGAAAATATTGTGTCCAGTGTAACTGTGGTTTTGATCCTATAGTTTTTTCTTTCTTTTTTTTTTCTTCAGTGTGTCAGAATCTAGCTATCAAGTTGAAATAGGTTAATCTGATCTTATCACCAGCAGACGCATCTCAGTCATCTGGAAGAAAGTGCTGTTACAAGAAGTAACTCTGGGTATGCGCTTCAGGAATGCAGTTGTGGAAACCATGTTTGCGGCTGCTTTAAACTGTTTCCCAGGAGTCAAGGAAAATTCAACAATCTGAGACCAAAAAGGTATCTTCGGCACAGTCTTCCTTGGCACAGCCGTGGAGAACAGAGCCAGGGCTTTGAGTCAGAGGAATTGGGTTGAAACCTGCCTGTATTGGTTGCAACCTGGTGACCTTGGATATCCTTTTTATTCTCTGAGCCTTATATACCCCCTGGATAAAATATATCTGATGAAACCTGCTGTTGCATGTTCTGGGATTTAAATGAATAACACCGTACCTAAAGCATTTGGTGCAGGGTTAGGACGTGTAGAAGCTTAAGTTGTTATTCTTCTTCTTAACATTTTCCTGGAACTCCGGTGAGGCTCCCCGAGCATGGGACTTTTTAGCTCCGTCTGACGACTGATCCCTGCAGTTAACTGATCATTCTACAAAGCCACCATTTGCTGAATCCATTGCCAAAGAATCGATACAGGTGATATCTCAGCCCAAGCTGCTATATCAAAATACTATTGACTGAGTGGCTTAAGCCACAGACATTTATTTCTTACAGTTGTGGAGGCTGGGAAGCCCAAGATGAAAGTGCTGGCAGATCCTGTGTCTAGTGAGGGCTGTCTTCCTGGTTGGCAGATAGCCGTCTTCTTGCTGTATCCTCGCATGGTGGAGAGAGAGATCTCATGTTTCTCCATTTCTTTAATGAGGGCATTCAGCCCATCATGAGGGCCCCACCCTCACCCTCATGACTTAATCTAACCCAGCCCCTACCTCCAAGTACCATGAGGGTTAGGGTTTCAGCATATAAATTGAGGGGAGGAAGACACAAACACTTAGTCTATAGCAGGTGAATTGGCTGCTTCCATCCTGGCTTGGAACTTCAGACATAGAAGCCTTGGGACTTTCTCAGGACTTTCTCCAGATCTGACTCATGCTCAGCAAACAAGCATCTCTGTGGATCACGTGACCTTAGCCAGGGATGTTGGTGAAACTGTGTGTTGGTCTAGGTACCTAGCCCATGCTAGGTGCTCATCGAATAGCTTTAGTGGGTGACTGTGACTGAAGAGGCATCCTGGGCTGTGCTTTCACACCACCAGTGCCAATGCTATGCATTTGCTCTTTTTCTAGCATTTTTTTTTTTTTTTTTTTTTGAGATGGAATCTTGCTCTGTCTCCCAGGCTGGAGTGCAGTGGCATGATCTTGGCTCACTGCAACCTCTGCCTCCCAGGTTCAAGCAATTCTCCTGCCTCAGTCTCCCAAGTAGCTGGGATTACAGATGTGCACTACCATGCCCTACTGATTTTTGTATTTTTAGTAGAGACGGGGTTTCACCGTGTTGGCCAGGCTGGTCTTGAACTCCCGACCTTAGGTGATCCACCCACCTCGGCCTCCCAAAGTGCTGGGATTACAGGCATGAGCCACCGTGCCTGGCCTTTAGGATGTTTATATGCTCTCTATGCACCATGATATTTGCGCCCTGGCGGAGCAGTCTCAGTTCCACTTCTGAGCTGGGATGAGTATTTAGCTCCTTCCCCATCTGATGCGAACTAGGCAACACTACAGAGCCAGAGGCAGAAAACAGGAGGGCTTCTCACCTGTCCTTGTCCATGAATAGCCAGTGCTCTGCTGAGGACTCCAGGAACCCACTCTTCATGATCAGCCTCAATTGGCAGTGGCCATCTCCTCTGGCAGCAAGCACAAGTGGACTTCTCTTCCTGCCCACATCTGCTAGATGAGGGTGACCCTCTGGAGAGAGGCTGGGAGAAGCTAGCCAGCCTGTAACCAGTGGGCTAGTGTGTGTACATATTGTATGCATGCTGGGGGACAGAAGAGGGTGTGGGGAAGGGCAACTTGCTTTCCCCAGGTGAAGGAGTAAGGAAATGTTTCCTTCCCAACCTTCTTTCTAGACCAGCTAATACTCCAGTTTCACCCTTTGGGCAAGTCATTTATCTGTCTGAGCCTGAACTTCCTCATGTATATGAAAGATGGAGAAGACCATTGTAGAAATTCATGTTATTAGTATTCCAAGCAAAAGAGCTAAAGGTTGGTCTCTCAAATTCCTACCCCTTTGAAGACCGATGGATAAGATTCTTTAAGTTTGCTGCAGGTGATTAACTATGCAAGGGCTAAAGACAGCAGAACTCTTGCCAAAGTAGCGTGCCACGGTAATTCTGCCATGACCTATGTAAGCAGAAATGGGTGGATAAATAGTTGCAGACTATCTACAGATTTCCGTCTTCCAAGTCTTCCAGGCAGAGGCTACAAAATAAAATACCCTTAAGAGCCAGGCAGGTAATGAGAATGAGTGGTGCATGCCGGGGGTTTGCATAGTAAATATTAGCACTATTCCTTGCTTCCACAAAGGCGCTTTCTGCACTTGCTGGTAAAACACACAGTCCTCTGGGTATATGTTTTGTTTTCTCACATTTTGTAGATTCATGAGCACAGAGAAATATTTCTGCACTACAAGCAAAACACTAAAATATAGGCTGAAGTAGCAACAGTGGAAGGAGCCCTGGAGAATTGGGAAGCATGTACTCTACCCAAAGAGGACCTAAGCTGTGCAACTCCAGCTCACCGTTCAGGGAGGGGAGTAATGTGGGCCCAGTGTAGCCAGAACCTCTACTTCTTTATTTAAAAGAAGCTGGAAATCCAGATTTTTAAAAACGTAGAGTCTCCTGCTTTTGCTGTTTTTCTTTTTCTTCTTTTTCCCTTTTAATGGTGCACATGTATTTTTTAAAACTTTGTGCACACGAAATAAAACCCACCTCCTGGTGGCCTGTCTGCCTCTTACCTTCCACATACCACACTGAATTTTGAAGGGTTCTCGCTGAATTGCTCCAAATCTGACATTCTGGGTAACCCTCCTCATGCAGCTGGGAGCCTTTGGAATCTTCACAACCAGGAGGGCTGTGTCTTTGACCTTGATTTAGGCCTTGTGTCTTCAGGGCATGCCAAGGGGCCGGTGCAGGCTGGACAGAGGTGTGATCTCCTTTTCTCAGCATAATTTCCTTCCTGGGGTCTTCATATCGCCCTGAGGCAGGAGCTGGGGTGCTGGCTCCTTCTGAAGGTCGCTTTTCTGGCCTTTGCCTGGGTGGAGATTAGAGAAGAAAGGTGATCCTGGAAACCTGACCAGCTTCCCGAGAGAGATGATAGGAGAATAGCGCTGGGTGAGCCATTGAGACATCTGGGCCAAGTCCTTCATTTTACAGACAAACAAGCTGAGATGCAGGAAGCCACAGCATCTTATCTGGGTCCCCAGTTCATCAGCAACAGCTAAGGGGTGAGATCCCATGTTTCCCACCCCACCACCCGATGCTTCATCCACTGTGCTTTTTGGCCTCTGCCTCCACCAAGTACACTCAGCCCCTCCCAGCCATCTCTGGAGTTTAGTTGGGATTTGAACTGACTGAATGATGGGACTTTAGTACTAAGCCTGGGGACCTAGGCAAGGCCAGAGGAAAAGCTGACGAAGGGAGAGGAAGAATCAGAAACACTCATTTTCCTCTGGCTGTGAGCAGAATTCACCTGAGATGCACCCGGAAACGGGTCTGTTGCTTATTTTGTCACCAGGGTCTGGGGTTGCCCATGTCCACAGAGCCTATCAGGTCATGAGGGACAGACCTAGCAGTAGCATTTCCATGGCTCTCTACCAATTTTCACTGGTCCGTTGCTTGATATTCAAATGAGCACCTTTCTCACTGCCAGTGAAGGGGCTGCTCCCCTGTGGAAGGTATCCTGACAGGGAAAGCTTGGCTTAAAGAATTGCTTGTCCTGTGATTTCTGACCTATGATTTGCTATTTAATCCTAAGTAGCTATTTTTTTAATCAAAAGTTTCAAGTTTCTCCCAACACCACCCTTTAAAAAAAAACTGTTAAGAAATGGGGAAATGTGTGGATTTAATTTTTTTTGTTTTCCTGCTTATGACTGGGGGGGAAGAATGTATAACATTTGTTGAGCTTCTAGTTATATTCTGCTAGGCCCTTTTATATACATTATTTTATGTAGTCCTCAAAACATTTCCAGAGCCAGGCATGGTGGCTCACACCTGTAATGCCAGCAGTTTGGGAGGCCAAGGCAGGAGGATTGCTAGAGCCCAGGAGTTTGAGGCCAGCATGGGCTACATAGTAAAACCCGGTCTCTATGTCTCTGCAAAAAGTTTTAAAAAAATTAGCCAGTGTGCTGGTGCATGCCTGTAGTCCCAGCTACTTGGGAGGCTGAGGCAGGAGGATTGCTTGAGCCCAAGAGATCAAGGCTGCAGTAAGTCGTGATCATGCTATTGCCCTCCAGCCTTGGTGACACAGCACTACCCTGTTTTAGGAAAAAAAATTCAGGATGTATGTATTACTATTTTAAAAAATGTCCTATGTAATAAATGAGGGGATCAAGGTTCAGAGAAAGTAAGAAATTTACTAAATTTATATACCCCATCTTGGAGGGACTGTGTCTGATCCTGACTGTATTCTTCGGCCTTGCATAGCGCCCAGCACAGAAGAAATGCTCAATAAATAGCTTCTGATAATGTTATTTCCAGGGTAAGAGAGCCAGTAAATGATGAGCCTTTCATGAAAGATTTAAAAAAAAAACACACCAAAAAAACCTTGTGAGATGAAGAAAAGAAAGACATTTGCATCAGTAATAGTGAAAGAAGAAATTACTTTGATTTGTAGACCATCGCATCTTTCTTTCAAGGATTTGGCTTTATTTGGCGTGGTATCTCACTTGTCTTTTCACCAGTCCTGGCAACATTCCTGACAAGTGAGAGGAAGTGAGACAAGAAATGATACAGTAAGGGCCAAGTACGCAACTCCAGGGCCAGGCATAGTCATTGCCTGCTTGGGCCCCACTTCCTTCCTGCACCCCCGGGGTCATCAAAGCACACTCTCTCTTCAGATTCCTCTGGAGACAGGGGTTTCTGCCTCTTACCCCATCCCCTTCACCTGGGAGAGAACTGTCACTAAACTCAGCAAGGAAGACTTTCTCACCTTGGGTTTTCAGTTAATGGGGGTAGACACAAAACAACTAAGGACATTGACTGCGGTAAGGTATTTAGACAAAGCAGGTAGAAACAACCCCTGACCCCCAATCTATCTTCCCCACATCTGACCTTTAATGTGTACTAAACAAATTTAGTTGAAAAGAAGCAAAACCTTAAGTAAACATTTTGCTGCACATTTATGTATTGCTTTTATTGTCAGAAAAAAAATAACACCACATTGATACTTTTAGCTATAGTTCTAGATACAAGCTTTGCTTATATTAACCCAAAATGGTATGTTTGCATCAGAATCACAGAGTAAGAGTTATAGAAGTGGCTTTACAGTCACAATTCTTCTAGAAGATTTCTGTACTCCAACTGGAGATCTATAGACCTGTCCACTGCAGGGCAATGGGAAGTTTGCATGAGACTCCTAAACACACACCCCTACCGCTACCCATCTTGAAAGCTTGTGTGAGACACAGAAGTCTTGATTAAATGCAGATGACAGTGTCCTGAGTTGATTTTTCTCATTTAACATTAGACTGTCTTGATTTAAGTAGCTCAGTAAGAAGTGAGACATAATTGGGTCTTGCTTTTAATTAAACATAGACATATATTTATTTATTTACTAGTACCATTGAGATACTGCTTAATTTTCATTAATGCTGTTGACTTTTTCTCTCCTTAGAACAACATTCTTGTTAATCGTGCGGCTGCAATTAGTTGTCCTGTGTTTATCTTTCCGGCTCCACAGCTAATTCCAGCGTAGAACCAATTTATTTATAGTTTTCACTGCTCAGAACATCCTACCCACTGAAAATTCACTGATAATGCCATAACTCAGAGTGTCCTTTTATTTCTGGGTGGAAGGAAGCAAGGGATTGGTTTGGAGGCAGAAGCGAGAGGGAGGTATCAATAAGATCCTCTTCATTCGGTAGCATAGAACGGCAATGTTCCTAATGAAGGACACAAACATACGCTTTCTGATAGAATCATGATGCTGGTTTTGGCTCTCTGCATCACTTTCAGTTCCCTCAGAGGCAGACCACAGCCTAAGAAAGAACTCTAGTATAGTTATTACATTCCTAAACACCAAACAAACATAAACAGGGAAGCATCTTTTAGTGGAATGTGACATGCTGATTCACCACACCTCTGGCCAAGTTGGGAGTCAGGAGCTAAACTGCCCACATATTAGGACAGTTTAGGTTCCCTTTCTATGGAAAATGTATACTTCTGTAAGCATTAAAGGCTTAATAGAAAACCATGCCTTAAAATGGACTTGGGGCCTTTAATCAGGCTCTCTTAAAGCAAGTTTCTGCGCTCCACTCGAAGGACTTAGGCCAGTTAGCCTCGCGTGGTGTTTTATTCCTGCTTGAACTGGGCACCATCCGTGGCCATATGAGTAGGTGGAGAAGAGGTAAATAGAAGCCACTTCCAATTCACAGCATGTCACCAGCTGCCTTTTCTGCGTTCCGCAGCCACTCAGGAGGACTGATGGAACAAGGACTCTAATCATTTTAGAGAAGAGAGCAGGCTGATTACAGTATAAACCTAAGCCTTTCAAAACCCCCGACTGAAATACTTCCATTTGCTAAATAATATTTACTAGGCCTCAATATTTTCAACAACCATCTTCACTCCCAAATACTTGGATTTAGTTTCTGCTGGTTATTAGCCTAAAGACAGCTCTAAGTTCTTAATCATATTCTTTCTGGTGTGATTGGAGAGCCTGCTCTTAACATATTTTCAGAGGTCTTGAGAATCTGTCACTGACGTGAATAAATAAATGAATGAGCTGAGTGATGTTGGCAGGAGGCACGGGGTCCCAAAGCCTCTGTGTGTGCTACAGGAGTGGGATCCTTTCCTTCCACCTTCTTTGCATTCCAGGAAAGGGCAAATAGGATTACCCAATGCCAAATGTCACCTTCTGTCCTCTGCTTTCATTAAGGAACCGGAGGGTGGCCTAACATGAATATTGTGCTTGGAATGAACATGTCTGCAACTTAGCTGCACTTGTTATATTATTTTATATTCTTAGTCATTTTGTGTCCTGTTTGCTTCTTTGCCAATAACCCAGCATAGGAAAATACATATTCCAGCATATGTTATGTTCATCGCTAGACTGTGTCATGGTAAGCTTTTTCCACCTTGGCCAAAGTATAATAAGAGGAAAAAGATAAACAGCTTACACATATTGAGAACTTACATTGAGCCAGGCACCATGCTACCCACCTGACATGCTTTCTCTCATTTAATCTCCATTTTACACATGAAGACATTGAGGCACAGAGAAGTCAGGTTACGTGCACAAGGTCACACAGGTGGGGAAGTGCAGGCTGGGGCACTCGGCTCTGTGCACATTGCCTCTCTTCTAAGTGCCTGCACTGACAGCCAATGCTTTTCATCAGGTGCTCAGAAGAGATGAAACCTAGGAGCACAGGAAGCACCTCTACTCCATGGAAAAAGAAGCAATTATCAGAAAACATCGAAGCTTCTGTGGCTGTCTTTCAAGGGCAAGAATAAATGCGGTGAACTATCCTTGAAGGCACTAATAACTGGGCTGCTGAACACCACCACGGCGATTATTGTTTTCCGGGCTGACACTCGGCCGGTTTTTTCTCCTTTTTACTTTCAGGCTAATAATTAGATTTAAATCCGTGACAGGACTCTAACCATCACCTCAGGGGGTTCTAGATTTCTTTACTATTGCTTGCAAAGATTTCATTTTAAAAAAGCCCTTTGAAACTATAAGTAAGTTACACTAGCAACAGCTTTTAAAAAAATCTATTATCTTATTGAGTCTTTTGAAGAACATATGCTGCTCTCTCCCTCCTAACCTTGAGAGACCAACCCTTATTTTTATCTCCAATTTGAAGAATAAAAAATGCCCAGGAGGACGAGTGAAGGCAGAGTCATAAAATGTGGTTTTCACCAGCACTGATGTCACTGCCAGGTTGATTTGGACAGCCCTCGGAATGTGTTGAATCAGGAATTTCGTTTCGTTTTTTGATTACAAAAATTTTTTCCTATGTATAGTGAAAATTATTACGGTGGCTTTGCTTCTCAGGGGTTGAGGAGAAAGAACTGTTCTTTATATGAGTAAATGACGCTCTTGACCTCTGTGGCAGGTTGCTTTGAGCAAGGCAGTTAGAGGCGAGGTTTCGCAGAGCGCATTTTACCCACCACAGCCCTGCTCTCCTCGGATGCCCATGCCGATGGGCGAGTGCACTCACCTGGCTGTGACCGTGGAACGCCGCTTTTCTCAGTGTGAAGACACCTGGCCCAAACAGGGCACTTTAAACCCTTTGAGGAATAAGATGGAGTCATATAAATAAGTAACTGGCTCAGGTGAGGACCCACTGGCAACCTGGCCTCATTAGCACTGTTAAAGCAACAGAGTCGTCTCCCTGGAGGCTCTGTCACACACGAAACATCTGTTCTGGGGCCTTTCTGTCACCTTATGACTGCTCTGGAGAATCCCAGTTGCTTCTGAGGAGAAGACAGAGAGCCTGTTGGTCTCCGTACTGAGTCTGATCTATCCACACAATAAAGAAAAACAATTCTACCCAGAGGCCCTAGGATAAGCTGTGGGAAACTAGTCCAGCCAAGCCCTTCAGCGAAGGTTTTTCTGGAAGAATGTATTTAATACTTTTCCAGAGATATAAAAAGAATACAAGAATATTTAATTTTACTTGGCTGGGCGCGGTGGCTTACGCCTGTAATCCCAGCACTTTGGGAGGCCCAGGCAGGTGGATCACCTGAGGTCAGGAGTTCAAGACCAGCCTGGCCAACATGGTGAAACCCTGTCTCTACTAAAAATGCAAAAATTAGCCGGGCATGGTGGCAGGCACCTGTAATCCCAGCTACTCAGGAGGCTGAGGCAGGAGAATCGCTTGAACCTGGGAGGCAGAGGTTGCAGTGAGCTGAGATCCTGCTATTGCACTCCAGCCTGGGGGACAAGAGTGAGATTTCATCTCAAAAAAAATAAATAAATAAAAAATAAATTTAATTTTACTATAGTGTTTTTGAAAAAACTTAAAAAAAATTTTTCAGTATAACTTCAAGGATAATTCTTTTAGGCAATTAATAAATGCCCCATCTTCTATCATCATCAACTTAAAGCAGAAAGGTTCCATAATTTTCTGACAACTTTCCTTGAGCAGAAATGAGAAAAACTGATTTTTGTGGATGTTTTCAAACATATTCCCGCACAGGATCCATGGTAATCTTTTCTGTTCCATGGAGTAATAGTCGTTAGCAGACAATTCCCACTGATAGCTAGGCATATAGCTAAAGACAGGAAGAGACATGGGCTCTACTGAATCCATGATAATCAAATTTAAAAACCTAAGATATGTATCTAACCAATTCAATTGTGAGAAGTGAATACTTGATAGTATTGCAATAAACAAAGGTTTACTCAGGTTACCAAACATATAGAACTTGCACAAGTGACAATTATAAACATCACATTCCAAAAACGTTTGGTTGAGCTGTGGATGGAAACTTCCCAGAGAATAAGGAGCATTCCTAGAATGAGCTGCCTGGGAGGCAGGGGCTGGAGGCAGCCGCCACAGGGCTCTCATCCCATGTGGTGGGGCCGCTAGTCCTACAACTGCTGGAGGAGGAGGCTGCAATGGTAGGGAGAGCAAAGGTTCCAGTTGTTCCCAGTTAGCATGCCAGAGACATATTTCCCCACAGAATCTGTGACATATATGATGACTGGTAGAGACACAGGACACAGGTCCTGTGGACCTGTGCAGGTCCACTCTGCCCACAGTGCAGCTTAACTACAACACCCTCCACAAACAGTATTTTTAATAAAAATGAGCAAAACTTAGAGAGCTCCATGAAAGACATATTCCATGCTTTGTTATTTTAATTATTATTATTATTTTTTGAGAAAGGGTCTCGCTCTGTCTCCCAGGCTGGAGTGCAGTGCTGTGATCATGGCTTCCTGCAGCCTCTATCCAGGGCTCAACCGATCCTTCCACCTCAGCCTCTCAAGTAACTGAGACTATGGGTGCCCACCAGCACCTCCAGCTATTTTTTGTATTTTTTGTAGAGACAGGATTTTGCCACATTGCCCAGGCTGGTCTCAAATTCCTGGCTTCAAGCAATCCACCCACCTTGGCCTCCCTAAGTGCTGGGATTATAGGCGTGAGGAAGTGTCTGGCATGTGTTATAAACAATACATTAAAATTTTTCAAATAATCCATTTGTTTAGAAAGTCAAACCACTTACAGGCTGTTAGTTTAATCTTGAAGAATTTCTTAGGCAACCCAGAGAAAATTAGGAAGCAACATTATAGTTTTGTTTTTTATTAAGGGAGGCCTATGATCAGATAAGATTATTTTCAGTAGAGGCTTCCAGAAAGCCTGTCCATTAAGTGAGCAATGGTAGCAATATTGCAGTCTGGCTTCAAAACTGACATAAAATTGCTGTCTTTAGACTTACAAATCAATTCTGTCCAAACTGGACTTCTTACCAAGCATTTCTCATCATCCAGATTTGGAAAATATGCCTAGTCTTTCACAACTGGCTATCATCAGAGCTGAAAAGTTGCTGCCTGCTATTCAAGTGATTAAATAAATACTTGCTAAGTATATAAGAGTTCTAATCATTAAGTCCATTATTCTATATAGTCATAGATACATAAAATAACCAGGCCAAGTATCCATAACTTAGGGGTAAATACTTCATTTCCCTCTGATTTGGTGAATGGGTACTTAGTATGAAGCTTACAAAAAATAAAGATTACTTCTAACACCAAACACTGCCAATTGGGCTTAAATCTCTGAGCCACTGGTAAAACCATGTCTTACCTGCATAGTGTTACCATATCCATTATTTTCTAAAGCTATCAAAGCTAAGGCCTTGAGGCAGAAAGGTGCTGCACCAAAATGAAATTCAGTTGCGTTTGGAAGCCTACCCCTCCGTGGGAGTTCAATCAGGTTGAGTACAGTTCTGTGCTGCACAGAGCAGCTTTCAGTGCAGGAGGCAGGCCATTAAATGCTTTCTGAACTCCATTAGTTACCCCTGCTGAGAGTGAAAAGTTCTCGTAAGTGCATAAAATTTAAATTGCCTATGAGGTAAGAACGAGACGGTATTTTGCTGCCAAATATTATTGTCTGTTCAAATGGTCTACGATCACACATATAATGCAGAATCATAGAGTACAGACCTGAAGGAATGAAGCGTTGACTAGGAATACTGTGCCCCAAATCAAATGACATCTCATCATCTGGAAAGACCCCCAGAGTTTTCTTCAGGTGAACTTCCCCCCGGCCTGGCACCTCCAGCCAGGTACATGTGCTCAGATGGAGCCCAGCACCTCCACTCCAGTCTAGACTCGGGACTCAGCCAGGCCCGATCAGAGCGCCAGAGACACTTGGCCTCAGTGACTGAAGGAGGCATGGCACGTGACCCAGTCAGAGCACCGAGGTGAGGTGCAACCCAAGGTGGACAGGACTATTAAGAGAGAGACATGCGCTCTTTTTTACCCCTCTACTCTCCCTGAACCTGGAAGAAAATGGGTTTGGGATTGCAGCTTGCCATTTGCCATCACAGGAACCTGGGAGAGTAAAGCCACACGAAGGACAGTGAAGCTGAGAACTGGCAAGATATTGTGTCCTTATGACACTTTTTGGAGGCCCAGGATCCAGCTGTGTGTCTGAATTTTCAGGTTATGTTAGCCAATAGATCCCATTTTTCTTAGATTTAAGTTTTCTTTCACTTGTAATCAATAGTCCTAACTGATAATTAAAATGGAGAACCATACATTTCAGTCTTGAAGAGACTTATCTCATTCTACAGGCAGAGACGGACACTGAGATCCAGGGAAGTAGCTTTCCCAGGTCCTCTGCTAGCTGGTAGTGTAGCCAGGACTAGCACCCAGGTCTCCTGCTTTCTCATGTGATGTTTTCACTGCACCATGGAGAAAATTAAAAAATAATTATGAAACACATTGGACTGATTTAAAACTTTTAATTAAAACTCTGCTCTAATTAAAAGCTTATTGGGTATTATACTCAAAAAATTCATAATTAATATTTTAAATCATTCTTTACATTGTTACCTAGAATATAAGCAACTTAAAAATACATTAATAAATTAAATTTTTCAGAAATGTGCTTGTGGTCTGCTGTAGCAGCAATAGAAATAGCCCAACAAAATAGCTTAAAATGTTTTATTAAGTATATATAATATTACAGGGTAATATTTACAAAGTTATGTTTTTTTTTAAATAAAAAAGTACCTTGGCAAAGATTGCAGATATTCAAAGCTTTAAACAGTGATAAATTGATTTAATACATATAAAAAAAAAAACCTTTAACGGTAACACAGCTGTAAAACAACTTTGGTCTTCAAATCACTGCAAAAAAATGGCTACTGACAAATAGCACACCTTTAATTGCTATGCAAAAAAGCTCCAAGAGAGGATCTTGCACATAGCAACACTGGAGTTCTCTTTATTTAGAATGGTTAATAGATATTTATACGATGTGGGATCTAATTCTCAACAATGGCTTTTTGTAAATAATGCTCCATTTAATAAAAACAAAATGTTTTCTTCTCTCACCAGTCATGATAACAACACTTTTAAGATTTAAGATGTTGTCTTACAGAGGAGCTTAGTACAAATGCTTTCTTTTTTTCAAAAAGAGAAATTTATGAGAAAGCTGGTCTTCAATGATCTTAATTAAGAACTGTCAAAGCTAAAGGCAGAAAAACTGCCTGGTCACTCACTGCTCATCTCTTCAAAGTTACCTGGATTATCCCTATTAGTCACTGAAAATGACCTAACAAAGGACCCCAGCAGGTGATGGCAGTTAGTAATTTTAAAATATGACACAAGTAAAACTGTTTATAAAAAAATCCCTCAACCAAATAAAATACAATAAAAAATAAACGGTTGCCCGACAATCATTTCTCCAGTTTCCAACAACAGGTAAATTAAGGAGTATGTGTTTCCATACATACACCACAGATCCCCATTTTTGAATACCCATTTTAAGACAAGAGAAACCTAGAAGGTTGATTACAGCTTAATTTTTATTACTGAGATGGAGGAGTAAACTTATCGTGTTTTGAGCTTTGTTAGTGCAAATAACAATTTGGTGGTCACTTACTAAATTGACTATAGCATCCTGAAAAAAGAAATATTTCCAATTACGGGATAGCCCTGTTATTTTAATTCTGACATTCTTAGGGATTTAAACAGAATGGACCTGGAGTTTCCAGGAGAAAAATAATCACCTTTGAAGGTTTTTAGAGCATGTGAAATTAGTCAAAAAAAAAAAAAAAAAAAAAAAAAAAAAAAACAAAAAAAAAAAACAGAAAGAAAGAAAACTCTCAAGCTCACCCTATTAAAAAGTGATAAATCTAAATACAGCCAACTCTCAATCATTTAACTTATGTACCTAGCTTCTGATGTATGCAAAACACTGCAGGAAGAGAGAATGAAAGAAAGAAAAGCTCTAGCTATAGAAGGAATTTTAAAATCAAGGAGAAGAGCAAGGCCAAAAAACTAATAGAACTAAGCAGAGATGCATAAAGTACTATAGGAATGGTAAGTTAAGAGACAAAAGAGCAGCTACACAGATGAAGAGGAACTGCAAAGGAGAATGTTTTGAAGGAGAAGACAAATAGAATTTGGCAAAAGTAGCTGGAAAGGTTGTTGCAGAAAAGGACAAATGGTGTCACTGTGAGAACACACAATAAATAAAACTGAATGGAAGAGTCAACAGCAGAAACTGGGATCAGGGAGTAAAAAGCATATTATGGGACAAAACAGATACATGATGTGCAAAACACTGTCTGCAATTTAAATGTGATGTGATGGAATTTGGGAGCCATTACAAATCTGATTTAAAGAGAAGGAACTGGCCCAATGATGCCCAAGCAGGAGGACTCCTGCTTCTGTGGTCACTTATCCAGAGAAGCTGACAACTAGTGAGAGCAAGAGTTGGTTTCATCTGGCATTTCCCCCACTATCTCTGGTGGCATTGTCTAGGGCAGTGAATGCCTCAAAAGGCAGGCAGCATTAAAGAGAACACAATGGATGGATGAGATCCAAGAGCGAACCCCAAATAAATGAGAGTTTACTACATATTAAAAGGTACAACTTTAGTTTATAAAAAATTTTACTATAAAGATTTTCATACCTTTTCTAATAGGAGCTTGGATCTTTTTCAAGTCCATCTGCTTTTCCCTCCTTTCATCAAAACTGATTTTTAAAGTAACAAACTAGGTTAGCAAAATGTAAATATTTTCAGAAGGAAAAAGTGCTGCAGGAGCCATCAGATTTGTATAAAGGAATACAGCTCCCTCTATATATGTTATTATTTTGGACAGCTACACAATCAAGGAAGAATATACATGTGTGTATATACATACGTATATATAGATATACGTATATATTTGTGTATACATATTTTTTTTTTCAAGAAGAGCTGTCTTGCTAGTATGCTCAGTTTTCTGAGAGGCCTCAGCAGGTCATAAATTTAGGTTTGCCATGGGCAAACTACTTGGTCCCAACATGAAATATGACAATCAATTTGGCATAAAAGAGGCACACGGGAACATCTGATGGACTAAGAAATAACTATTATTAATGCAACTACAAATATGAATATCTTATTACACAAACAGGAAGAATTACGTATTTTTACAGGGTATTGGTGAGCAGTCAAAAAGCGTGGCAAATTACCTAGAAGTTTTAAAAGTTTTAAGTGATCAAATATTTGCATCAAATATAATTCCACCCAATAAAGAACTTTGTATTTAAATGTTTTTACTAAAAGCACAAAATTAACCTTTGCTCTCCTGTAGGTACCCCACCTTTGTCCATACAGAAGATGCATGTGCCTATCTCATACGTATGCACATACAAACACACATCCACAAACAGGTAAAAAACGAATGCTAAAAGTCTAAAAGTACTCCAGGCGATCACAACTGTCAGAACATTAATTTTCTTCTAACCAGGATAGGAAATGTGGGTTTTGTTTACTTTTCAATCATAGGGGAAGGGGAGTACGAGGCAGGACTACAGGAGGAAGGTGATGAATGTTTATCATGCAACATAGATACAACAGTAATAAATCCCCATTCAAGGGCTGGCCTGTTGGCCTGATGGTGACACACATTTTGTTGCCATGCAGGAGACTCATAGTTCAAATTTCAATCTTGCTTTTTTCATGCCCCAGATCAGAAAAGAAGTGAAGAAACACTGTAGATTTTTGCCTTCAAATCAGAGGAAGGGAATACATATGTTACAACCATAGCTATTTTTGCTGAAAAGTGTGAACACAGTGCTCTGAGAACAAGTCTGGCTCCTTCCTGCAACTGGTGCTACCGTGTCACTAGACCATGTTCAAAGAGGAGAAAAGGTGCTACATCTTGTACAGCAGAAGCAAGTAACAGGAGGACAAGACAGGGTTTCAAGGGGTTATGTGAATAAAAGGAAAACATATCCATCAATAAAAGTACCCTAAATCTGGGAAGGACCTGTTACACTGTTTGTTGAAGGGGGAATGTGGGAATGGCAACCCCCAAGAATGAGGACCACTATCTCCATCAATATCACATCATACGGAGATCATACAAGATGCTCCCAACCAAATTCCTGCCTGTACTTAATTTATTATTCCATTGACCCAGAAGTGGCAGACACCTCTCAGCTAATGCCATACTGCCATAACTGCCCAAAGCTGCTGTGAACCTGAGTTGGCAAAGGTTTGATGGAAGCCACTGGTTTTCATAGATATCTCTGGGTAATCACCAGGGCAGTGCTAAGTAGTTATCACCCTGAACCAATTTAAACTGGTTACCTAGAGGCCAGAGGCCCTAGGACCTGAAAGGCATCATTCTTGGAAATTGTCCATTCTACTATTGCCCCTAATTGATTAAAAATAACAACAAAAAACTGGATCTCAATTGGGCAAACAACATAGATCATAATTATTTTATTAACTAAATTACAGCTGCTTTGAATAAAAACTTAACTAACAATCACGTAAGGGTCTCATAGGTGACAACCAGTTACTTTTCTTGTTTCTTCTCCCCAACAGTGAATCATCAAGGCCATGGTGCTTAAACACAAGTGTATTCCTTTCACGTCTTACTACTCTCCAAATCGGAGTCCATCACTTCACTTCAGTTATTCTGGAAAATTGAAAAATGAACACATAATCACTATTCGTGTCTATTTTCTATCCATTAAAAAGTTGACACATTAAAAAAAGTTTCAGATATATAGTATCTAAAAATTAAGAAAATAGACCTGCAAAGGTCAGAGACAGAAACCAGGCAAATCATTAGCCTTTTTAATTTCAGTAAGAAAAAGGCCAATGCCAAATGAAAGTAAAAAATCAACAGAGTCTGATAATCTCTGTTTGCTGGGTTGGCTGAGGAAAAGCCAAGAGATGTTGATTTTTCAAAGCAAAAGATGTTGATCCTAGAATAATATTCTATAATATTCACTTTGGATCTCCATCATTCATTTAATGTAAGTAAAATAAACATCTGATCAGCTGTAGATGAAAGAGAAAAATGGTACTGACTCTGATCCCTAGGAAGCACCCTGAACCTCATTCATTGACAAGGCAGACATACTGTAAGCAATAAGCAGTTGTCAGTGGGAAGTACCCACCAGCCAGACATTTTAAAAACAAATTCTGATCAGCTGAATATTAGCAAAATTAAGAGAATCTTGAAGATCATCGTAGATTTCATCACAAATATTCAAGGCAAAACTGTTTTACAATATTTCCTGATGCAGTAGTTTAAAAAAGTCACATCTTAAGAGAAATTAACAAAGGAAGAGGCACTCAAGATTCTTAGATTGCTTTCCTGAAAATGGAGAAAAGTTTAGTTTCTTCATACAGCTACAGAACAATGACACCACCAAGGAAAAGGAAAGGACATAGAAATTAAAAAAAAAAAATAGGACATCAGAATGTAAACATGAACAAACCATGCCACAATTCCTGGAACAAACCATGCCATGCCACAGTTACCAGAACAAACCATGGTCACAATTCCTGGTACTAGTCATTTTATGTTTTGTTATGTCTTTTAACTTATTCCTGTGAACTATAGTCTTTTTTAGGAGGGTAATGGCTTATATAACAAGACATGCTTTTAAAGGCTGTGACACAAACATACAAAAGTAGGATCATTCTGTGACTCCATGCTGAATACACGTTGTTTTAAACTTTGTTCACCAATGCATGACTGGAGTGTTTTTTTTTTTTTTTTTTTTTTTTTTTTCTTGAGACGGAGTCTTGCTCTGTCACCCAGGCTGGAGTGTAGTGGCACGATCTTGGCTCACTGCAAGCTCTGCCTCCCGGGTTCACGCCATTCTCCTGCCTCAGCCTCCCAAGTAGCTGGGACCACAGGTGCCCGCCACCATGCCCGGCTAATTTTTTGTAGTTTTAGTAGAGACGGGGTTTCACCGTGTTAGCCAGGATGGTCTCGATCTCCTGACCTTGTGATCCGCCCGCCTCGGCCTCCCAAAGTGCTGGGATTACAGGCGTGAGCCACCGCGCCCGGCCGACTGGAGTGTTTTTAATCTTATGCAAATATTAATGACACTTGGGGGGAATATAGCTTCCTGAGTTAAATGCTGCACTTTGCTACAGAAGAGGGCAGGTAAGGTCACAGACTTTAAAACAGTAAAATATAAAGCAAACTATTTACATGACCGAGGAGTGATTATAAATATCAAAGGTAAGAAGACATTTTTTGATAAGATAAAAACATAAACATAATTACTAAATGCCAACAAAACTGAGGAATCATAATATGTTAAGGTAAAACCAAAATAAATGCTTGTAGCACTCAATATCTCAAACCTATGTATCTTTAAGAACAAATATATTTCTTTGAAATATTCTATAAAGATTAGAAGTTATTAGCCCAGAGTTCTTAAAAAAAAAATGGAAGCAAAAGCTGAGGACGAAACATCTCTCTCTCTCTCTCTCTCTCTCTCTCTCTCTCTCTCTCTCTCTCTCTCAACCTCTCTCTTTAATCATCTCCCAAAAGGTTAGAACCAAGCTCCTGATTGGAAAAGCAGAGATGTTAAGTCCCCATGGGTTAAATGCAACAAAATCACCAACACAAGCATAAAAGAAACTCTGTCAAAATGATAAAGATTTGTGCCAGATTATTTATGTGCCTTATAAAAGGCATCTTAAAGTTACAGTCACCAGACACGGAATCTGAAAAACATTTTACAAAAAGTGGTAATTTCTCTTTGCTGGGAGCCATATGACTGGAGTCTGATTCGTGACACCCTACAGTTTTTACAGTAGTAGTTTTGCAATTTTTAGCAAAGTAGATTTAAGTTGTATACATCAAGAAATGTGAACCTTTATCATCTGACAGTGTCCCTTTTACTAAAAAAGAGCCACATTTTCAAGAAGCTTTTTTGTTTTCCAATGTCCATGTTTTAACTGATCTATAATTATTAAGTGCATTTTATACTTACCATCATTCATCATTCCTTTTGATTCTTTGAATGCTAGGATTAGTAACAAGCCAAGCAGGCAGTTAGTGAGGTTCCACAATTGGAAATCATTTCTAAATAAACAAATATGCAATGATATGCTAACTAGTCTACAACTCTACAGCCAAATTAATTGTAAAGCTATCATTTCATTATGTAGCCTTTCTGTGGATCATACCCACAGCATTCACAAAGGAAACAGACTTAGTTGGGAAATCAGATCTAGGTTTACAAAGAAAGA
This sequence comes from Homo sapiens, assembly GCF_000001405.40. NCBI lineage: Eukaryota > Metazoa > Chordata > Mammalia > Primates > Hominidae > Homo > Homo sapiens. The sequence continues at coordinate 108,049,878 of NC_000003.12, forward strand.
AAATGAGATGTTTTGGTCTATCTCTGTGGCAATAGCCTGTATCTTTCTAAAATGTGTACATCACAAATTGGAAGTAATTGGGATCCTTCTCTACTAGGGGGTGCCATGCTTCGTCTCAACCAGTAGCAAAAGGCAACGATCCCCTTGCCCAAATATCACTTGGTTAAGGTAAGCAGCTACTTAGACACAGAATAGTGCATTTTTCCCAGTGGTGAGAATATTATAAAAGTAATATTCATAATTCTTTTTTATTTTTTTTGAGACAGAGTCTCACTCTGTCACCAGGCTGGAGTGCGGTGGCATGATCTCAACTCACTGCAACATCTGCCTTCCGGGTTCAAGCAATTCTCCTGCCTCAGCCTCCCGAGTAGCTGGGACTGCAGATACACACCACCATGCCCAGGTAATTTTTGTATTTTCAGTAGAGACAGGGTTTCAACATGTTGGCCAGGATGGTCTCAATCTCTTGACCTCGTGATCTGCCCGCCTTGGCCTCCCAAGGTGCCGGGATCGCAAGCGTGAGCCACCGCACCCAGCCCATAATTCTTGATGAATAATCAAGAGTAGAGATGCCAAGGAAAGAAAAAAAGAGGAAAAAAACCTAGATTCTTCCTAAGGCATAGACAGGGCATTCTAACTGTTTTGCGGGCCAGATCAAATTATGATCTGGTAAAGGATTAAGAGTGAAATAACCACATACCATTAAGGGGTTCCTCTACAGCTTTCTGAAAAATATTTAAAATATATTTACATAAAAATATAATTTATGTCATGTCATTTTATAGTAAAACTTATATATGCTAATATTTAAATTACGTAGTAAGCAGTAAATCCTACAGTCAAAAAAAAAAGAAAAAACAAAACAACGAAATAAGCCTGTAAATGTTAAAGCAAAGCTTGCCAAGTCGGGTTAATAGTTTAATAATAACTGTATTATTCTCTTAATATTATTTTTCTAAACAGAATTTCCCACTTCACCACTCTCAGCTCAAGAAATTCTAACTTCTAAAAATATGAAAGTGCAAGCATAAATAGCAACAACAGAATAAATAACACAGTGAAGAGGTGGAAGCAAAACAGAATCATCTTTAAGTATCGCAAATTGAACTCAGTAACTGGGAAAGAAAATGTGTTAGGATTCACAGGTCCAGTTAAGTTGCTGGCCTCTTGTGACCAACATAGCTATGGCACCAATCTTTCTAGAATATACCCCTGTGGTAGACACACATACCCGCCCCACCTGCCCTTTAGGCACAATGAGGCTTGTCAGACTTAGAAGCATATGTGACCTCTACCTCCGGCCACAGACAGAAGACTCTCTTTGGCATTCCAGATACATCTATCATCACTCCGTTATAGGAAGCTAAGTACAATATAATCCTTTCCAGAGCTTATGTCCACAACATACCTCTTGGGCCTGTCACTGTGATAAGTCTATGTTTATAAATATGCTTTTCTCTTCATTTATGCCCTCCTAAAATTACTCCTTTCTTGCAATTTCCTCAGATGGCTTAATAAGGTATCTAAGGTACAATGAAACCTTAAGCACAGTTTTAAGGGAAAAAATGTTTATAAAACATTTGTATGGGAGAGGATCGAATCATAACTCCGAACAGATGTTTTCAGCAATATTTACATTTATTTTATAGATTATAATTATCAGTGATGTCAACTTAGTATAGATTTCTCCTCATTTTTAAGCCTGAAATTGTCATTCTGTGTATGCACATCCAATGAATCCAACAGGTGAGGTGATATATTGGAATCAGCTTCCTTCTGATTGCAGAGATAATATAGCCATTATTCCTACTTTCCAGTTTTGGGTGTGAGAAGTCAGTACAATCTTAAGAAATCATTTATTCCATCCCATTGACACTAAAATGACCAAACACAGGTTTTAAAATAGAACTGGACCCATTCATGCAAAGGTCATGCAATGACTTCAACATTCTCTTAATTTGACGTGAGACAAAACAGATAGCAAAATATCTCAATTACCAAGTTCCTCAGTCTAATCCCTCAAATGATCATTCACAATTCATTTAATAAACTTTAACTTACCCTAGGAGGTTGTATAGTCTTCTGATTGGAAGCTGATATAAATAACAAATAAGAATATAAATTTAATAAATGAAATAAACTAAGGCATTTGGTAATGTTTAATTTTAAGATAAAATGTTCAGGGCTAAAACTAAAGGTGCCAGAGATGTTAATGAAAGAGTTCCAGCTCTGACAGTCTATTCAAACATGCTGAATATTCTTGATTATATACACTGATTTGAAAAATGAAGCAAATAACCCATCTACATCAAATAGTAAACACATTCTCTCATTTGTTTATGCCATCTTTCCCCCAAATCAGCCACTTGTTACACTGGCTGGTGGGAAAATGCTGTCACCAACATACCCCCACCATGGGTGCTCCATCCTCCCTCCTCTATCTACCCAGAGTGTAGACAGAATGTGCCAGAATTTGTCCCCACTACTCCATCTCCCTTAGCTCACTGCTCCTGTGTCTTACAAGCTCAGTCTCTTTCTCCACATCACTCCCTGGGTCTTTCCAGTTTCAAAGCTCCAAAGAGCTAACAAACTAAAGAAAATACTCAGATAGCTCTGAGTATTCCTCTATCTATTTCTTCTTAGCTTTCTGAGTTGCCTTTTTCACTGCTTCCAAATGGATTCATTAATGAAGTTGAAGGAATACAGTACATGAGCAAAGTGACGAAAGGGAAAAAGAATACCCTAGTTGGGGAGGGAAGAAGAGATAGCTTCCTTATAAAAAAAACAAATGAGAAGGCTGGCCGTGGTGGCTCATGCCTGTAATCCCAGCACTTTGGGAGGCCAAGGCAAATAGATTGCTTGAGCTCAGGCATTCAAGACCAGCCTGGGCAACATGATGCAACCCTGTCTCTACCAAAAATACAAAAATTAGCTGGCGTGGTGGTGCATGCCTGTGGTGCATGCCTGTAGTCCCAGCTACGTGGAAGGCTGAGGTGGGAGGATCTCCCTCGTCCTGGGAGGCAGAGGCTGCAGCGAGCTGGGGTCGTGCCACTGCACTCCAGCCTGGGCGACAGAGCGAGACTCCATCTCAAAAAATAAAAAAACCCAAAAAAACAAATAAATACAGAATAAGAATCCTACAGATGGAAAAGCGTTGAACAGAAACATGCCATGAACCACTCAGCAGGAGGGGGATCCTACTGAACAGAGAGGCCCATTCCGCTGGGACCTGGGCTGGATGACAGCACTGGATTTTCTCATCAGCAGATGGAGGCACGCCTCCAGGACTGCTCTGTGTTCCTTACTATTTATTTACCACCACTGCACACTCGAATTCTGTCAAGCTTCCAAAGCTGGCAGGGAAAAGGGTGGGTCCTGACCCAAGGAAAGCCAATCTGTGAGCCAGCCAAAAGCTGGTGAGTCTTTCTCAAACAGGAAAAATGGCAACAGACTGGACTGACAAGTTTCTCCCTGCCACTGGACTCTAAGAAGAAACAGAAAAAAACCCAGAAAGTTGGTGATGGGAAGGGAAAGTGAAAAAGAAACAGAAAGGAGACAAGGATGAGTCCAAAGCTGTAGGTAAGAAAAGTTGTCTGTGAGAAGGCATGAATAGGATAAAAAACAGTGGCATAAACAAGAGGGTGAGCTAGCTGGCTAATAGGCAAAGAATCAAAGACAGAGGAACTCAGGAACTATAACTGACAGGGGCATCACCTTACTCTTGCTGCTGAGAGGGCAACACGATGCTTCAGTTCTTTGATATGGAATGGATCCTTCCAATTCCTAGACTACATACTGTCCCACCCCTGTGAGGCCCAGTTATGTATCTGAGCTCATAGGAGTCCAGTTTCTGTTAGTGCCATGGGCGGCTTTAAATAGGCCTCCCTTACTGTGGAGGAACCTGGGGGAGTGACTTGGTCCTTGTATCCAAACAAGAAGCCAACCTCTTTTTAAAGTAGAACAGGGTAAAATGGGTTGGGATGCACTACATTTAGCAGCCTCCCCAATAAACTAAGCAGAAATACAGAGCTTTATTTGGGAACATCAGGATAGTTACATGTATATACAACTGACTTCAATGAAACCATGCCTTATATCTATGTTCTACAAAGAAAAAGAGAACTAAACAACTATCTAAATTTCTGATGGTAATATGGAAGTTCAGAGATAAGGTTTTAGAGTTACATTTTTGAGCTCATAAATGTATTTATCAGAATAAACACTGCCAGGTGTAGTGGCACATGCCTGTAGTCCCAGCTACTTGGGAGGCTGAGGTGGGAGCATTGCTTGAGCCCAGGAGCTCGAGGCCAGCCTGGTCAACATAATGAGACCCTGTCTCTAAAAACAAAACAAAACAAAATAGAATATTGCTAACCGCCAAGTAACTCCTTTTCTTCCCTAATAATGTAGAAAGAATACTTTCTAGTTCTAAATCTCCGATCCAAGGGATGTCACAGTTGGCTGGCCCATTCTGAAAAAAAAAGATTTATGAAGAATGGTACTTCAAAGGGACATCAGTCAGTTGTGATCCCTCTAAATATTATAAAACCAAACAGTGTACAAGTTAATTTCACCTGAGTTAATTCTCTCCAATATGGATATAACCCATGTGACAAAAGAATTATTACGATTTCTGCTGCTACCATGAGCCTAAGACATTGACAGCCATATATATATATTTTTTAACCACAAGCCTTAAGCATTCCATATGAGCATACTTGCAATGCTTCTTGATTTGTTCTTCTCTCCCTGAAACATCTGACTCCATGCCATAAATACATTTCCAGGGTTTAAATTTTTCAGAAACATTTTTTCTATTGATACCAAATTTACCTCTCCTTAAATTGAACAAGAAAATATCTGAATTTGTATCTATACATAGATATAAATTCTACGTATATATTCTGCATCTGCATCATTCTAAAATATCTGGGATGTTGTGGTAAATATGGTACTTACTGCTACCAGATTGATTTGTATCAAAACACTATATGCCCTTATATTGAACTAACTGGTAATGGCTTTAAAAATGAGAAAGTATTGATCCTTATAATTATATAAACGTTCTCTACAAACAACAAGCCCAACTTTAGTGAGTTTGGTTAGGTTCTTGTAATCTTTTCTATGCTTTCACATTAAGTTATTGTGCCCAGTCCTTTTTCTCATCTTATAAAATTAAAATGCTTCCAATAAAAGAAAAAAAATACAACACAGTTTAAAAAGTTAAAAAATAGAAAGTGAAAGTCACTTTCACAGAAAGTTGTAGAAAGTGAAAGGCCTACTCTTTAAAATAGCAAATTAAGGCTACAAATTTAAAGTTGGAAATAATAAAAATTATAAAAGTTAAAAATCTCATAGCGACATTAACTTCTTCTTGAAGAGAAAGCTTGGATTTTTAACTATTTGAGGATTTTATTGCATTTAAATCAAAACACAATCATTAGGCTTTTCTAAAACAGAACACGTGCAATGAGTAAAAATTATTTTGGAGACACTTAAAATTTTAACTTCCTAATATAAACGCTCAAATTTGCAACCTTAATGTTACATAGATTCAGATTTACACAGTCAGATTATATAAGCAAACCATATTAATGTTCCTCCTAGTCTACCATGTTATCTAAAGAGCAACTTTCCTGTACCTTGTCTCTTCTTGCCTTTCAACTGACTGTAGGTGTCCCTCTGAACCCTGGCATCAGACAAGTTGATTTAAAAAGTTAATTTAGGATACTATCAATAAAATTAGGACACTATCAATAAAATTGCACTAAATTTTAAACATATAGCATAAATTTTAGCATATAGTATACTTATATGCTAACCTATGACAAAGAAAAAATAATTTGGGGTACTTGTCAAGATTTAAGTCATTTTAATTTTAATGTCAGAACAGTGACAGGTACAGTACAGTGGTTTCACAGGCTTGGAGGAACGTAAGTGATGGAGAAGGCAGGAGAGTGAAGTTAAGGAGGTGGCAGATAGACAATGCTTAGTTCCACTTGAGACATTGTCACCAGACCTGCTGGCAACTGTACTGAAGATCATTCTATGCTAGATATGGAAGGCATGGGGTGGCATGGGAGTAAAAGGGAGGACAACCCAGATAGTGAGGAAAAAATAAGAGCGTGCTGCCCGTCAGCCAAAGGTATCTCATACTACTTCACCAGAGTTGTATGGATACTGCAAATCACACACTATTCTCAGGCATTTGTGGGGAGCAACAAAACCAGGAGTGTCATCTTCCAGAACCAGACACATGGTGATTGGAAGATGTAACAAAAATAGAATATGCACCAACATTCAAGATGTTCACTGTAGCTACCACATGAATTCCATTCTGCTTTAGATGTCTCCATTGTATTTTATGGCATTATGTGGTATAAAATTAGAAAATTTCATTGAGCAACAACTAAGACTTATGAACTCATATGCTAAGGATACGCAGATTTTAGTTAAGTATTTTAATTATTTATCTAATAAGCATTAATTAAAGAAAGACACAGAATATATGACAGAATTGAATTCAATTAACAATCATCAAGAACCAAAGTTCAGAAATAAAGGTAAAAGTTTTTTGAAACTATTATGTGAGTCATATGAGAAATTATTTGACTATAACAATTCAAGTTTCGTATTAAGTTTTAGAAACACATACAGCAAAGTTTACCTAAAGCAAAGCAGAAACACTATTTTTTTACTCCATTAATTTATAACTTTTGATTATTTTGATAGGTGGTTAAGAGTATGTTTTATTTCATAAAAATATAATTTTTTTAAAAAACGGAAACTAATATAAATTACATTATTGGGAACATCTTGAGCTTAGGTAAGATAACATTAGTTTCAGGCACAATTGAAAATATCTCTCTGTGTACATATATCTCAATAAAAAATAAGAATTTATGCAGAAATGTTACTTGAAAATTGGCAGATTAAATATACAAGTTAGAAACAATGAAGTAAATTCCATACTTACTAATAATTGATTTTAAAAGGAGTAAAAGCCTAAATTTTGAAACTCAATGTTTTCATTATATTGGTTTTAACTAGAACTGTTTTAAAGTCATGCATTAGAGGTCACTGCTCTTTAAATGAACAAAATTGATAGATTGTGAATTTTAATTCCTGTCTGGGGTGTCTATGTCTGCAAGAAAAAGAGCAAGTGACAAACAAACAGGTCTGTGCAGGACAGCTCTATCACAGAAACACTGGAACAATTAAAAATCCTATTCTATTACTTAAAATGGATCCTCAAAGATCTCTCCCCTTTTACTTAGTATAAAAAGGTACACATTCTAATAGATAAAGCCATTTTCCTTTAAACTACTTTGGAAACCAAATTTTCATTAATCCTATATGTCTTCTACCCTCTTTAATTACCCTCAAATCATTCCAATTGTATTTTCTGACTTCTGGTCTTAAACTGGAAGAACCAACTAAAAATCCTATATGTCTTCTACCCTCTTTAATTATCCTCGAATCACTCCAATTGTATTTTCTCATTTTTGGTCCTAAACTGGAAGAACAAACTAAAAAGCATTTTCTAAGTGATATATCTGAAATTATTGGCATAGGTTAATGAAAATAAGATTGACTTACCCACAAATTTCATATAAACTAGTCCAAGTAATTGTGCTAGAGCTAAGATACTCAAACCTGAAATCAGAAGAGGGCCATGCATTGGTATACACGCTGTAAAAACAAATAAAATTCTGTATTAGAAAAGCATATGAAATAACTTACTAAAAAACAGTAATAATCCCAAGTTTTAAGAGAGTTATTCTAACGATCAAAAAACAAAAATTATCCATATATGTTTATTAACTTAACCAGTAAAATGACTCAAAATTATTAGAAGAACAAAGCCCTCCTTTGCATAACACATACCTTATCATATCAAGAAATGGGAACTGGTGTTTCAAGTCTAAGGCTCCAACCAATTTGAGCCCAGTTATTTTAAAAGCTCTTCCACAAATACAGGCATATCAGTTTGGGTGCTAGAACAATCAGCCACCAAGCCATATATACAGCTAATATCTTTGTAGCGAGGAGGAAAGCACTATTACCACTGGGGTAAATTGGAAGTTTAAAAAGAAAAGCTCAGAATGCTAAATGCTGTCAAGTATATGAATGAACAAAAACTCTTATTTATTGGTGGTGATAATACAAAATGGTACAGCTATTTTGATACAGAGAGTTTGGCAGTTTATTTCAACATACTCTTTACAGTCCCGTAATTGCACTCCTTGGTATTTGCCCAAATGGAATTGAAAACTTATGTCCACATAAAAATATCCATGTGAATGTACTTTCCACTCAATTTTGCCATGAACCAAAAACTGCACTAAAAAAAAAAATCAAGTCTATATATTTTTAAAAAGAGAGAAAGAAAAAGAAAAAGGAAGAAGAGCTCTGTCCAAAAGTAACCCAAATTAGGTCTACAGAAAGATGACTCTTACCCGCAATACAGAGACTCAGTCCAACCACAGCGAGGATATAGGCTATCACCTGAATAACCAATATGGCAATGACGAAGGAGGTTAATCCAATCGCTGGAGGAAGGAAAAGGATGTAACAGAAGCATGTCAAGAGTATTTAAAAAGCAATAACTTCCACTTGCATTTGGTATAATCAGGGATCTCCTAAGACCAAAGACTGACTCTGGAGTTCATTGTTTGACGGTAGATGTTAACTCAGTGATCTAACCCTTCCACACAAGTAGTCAGCTCCAAATTCACACATTCGGCAGCCTTTAATTTTCACAGTCAGCTAAGCTGGACTGGAAGTTTTTACCCTAAATCTTAGAACAATGCTGCTTTTACCACACTTGTGCATTTTACAATATGAATGGCTATTATGAATGTCTTCTCCACATGCACATGGAATTGCTCTTGCTGAGGGAACCATTATGCAAATACCTGACTGTAAACATCATGCTCTCTATCTCTAGATGTCATTTTATAACAAACTAATACCTTTCCAATGTACAACGAGCCAGAGATAGGCTCTAAGACCAAGTGTTAAATGTGACTCTTTAATAGTAATAACTAAATATGGTAGTGATCTACTTTCAAAATGCAGTGAAAATGATACTGATTATAGTTTGGATTTCCATACCATCTCTTAAAACTACAGTATTAAGGTTTGCTAATAATTAAAACAAATATGTTTCTACTATTTGTGATTCATAATTCCATTTTATAGAACCAGTCTTCTTAATGCAGAAGCAGAAGCTTAGCAAAAGAAGAGAAAGACTGCGTTTAACATCCACTTATAACTTCAAAAAACTGAAATTAGAATATGAAAATAATCATTAAGAAGTTATATGGCATAATTTAAAATTATGCTGATTGGCATCAAATACATATGAAAGTCACTTTTTACAAAACAGCTAACCTAGAATAACCTTAAAATTAATATGAATGGGAAAATGTCACTAAGAATAGCATGAAAAATCTTTTAATAAACCTACTCTTATTGAGTTGTAAAAAATTTATATGAGCATTTTCACCAAAACTGCTGTTTTGTAAATGAAAAAGGTAGACAAAATCATACTGTAACAATGAAAACTCACCTGTACTAAACACATAGTAGTGAAGTAATATTAATATCCCTGTAGAAGTCACAATTAAACCAAGGCCAGTAGCATTCTTTAATGAATATTCACCTGTCAATAAATAAAAACATTTAAAATATTTTCCTACATACTTTTTAAATGTACTAATCTAAATTCTGTGCTTGACAACTGTGAAAATTTTAAAAATATACGTTTCCCTGAAAACCTCACACAAAATTAGTGACTATTTTTTGATTAAGACCAAACTTAAGACATCTAAATCTCAACATTTAAGTTTCAACATGCTGAAACCTTGAATTGGCTCTGCCTCCTTCTTAACTAGTTTACAGAATTCCAGTGAGAAACTGTGTATTCATCTTTTACTGTTCCCTTCATCTGCTGTATTCAGTATGCCCCAAAGTCAAATCAATTGTTCCTTCAAGTTGTCTTCTGAATTCACCTCCTTCTTCCTGCTGTCTTCACTAACTTCAGATACCAATAGAGCTGCCAAGCCCATGTTCCTAAATATTACACCTGCACTGCATTCTTCTCCACAAACGATGGTGTGCTATAGTTATTAGGTTGAGTCCCAGCCTTCCTTTGCTTTTCTTTACATGTGCTACATATCCTCATTTCCCACTCACATTCCCATCCTCCAAATGCAACTGCCAATTTCCAGACTTGGTTCCCACATTCATTCTACTTTCATGTCTTGGCCAATGAAGTTTGCCTCTGTAGTGAGTTGAATGATGGCCCTAAAATTATTTCTACCTCCTAATCCCTAAAACCTGTGAATATTACCTAATACAGCAAAAGAGTGAATACTGCATTATATGGCAAAAGATATGATGAAGTTAAGGATCTGAAAGGAGGAGCTTACCCTGGATTATATGAGTGGGCTCTAATTCCAATGACAAATGTGCTCATAAGAGAGAGGCTGAGGGAGATTTAACAAAAACACAGAGGCAAAGACATAGAGGAAGGAGGAGGCAATGTGACCAGAGAGGCAGAGGGTGGAGTTATGCTGCCGCAAACTAAGGAATGATAAACACTGTCATTCTTCAGCAAATTCCAGAAGCTAGAAGAGCCAAGAAATGGATTCTTCCATACAGCCTTGAGAGGGAGTGTGGCCCTGATGACGTCCTGATTTCAGACTTATGGCCTCCAGCATGGAAAGGGAATTGCTATTGTTTAAGCCACCCAGTTTGTGGTCATCTGTTCCAACAGCCCTAGGAAACTAATGCAGCCCTCCTCACCTTGGAATGCACTCATCTACCTCCTGCGTTCCTGCCTAGGAACTGCACATCTTACCTGGGACGAAAAGAATGGCTCCAACAATGACAATGACAGTGATCACTAGTCCAGCAACAAGTAAAGCAATTGTTTTCTCATCCATACCACCGGATCTATATTTAAGTGCTTAAAAAAGAAAAACAAAGAATTATATGAACTCAATCACAAGTGAAGCCATTTTAATAACTTGTAAGGTACAGAGACAAACTGACAGAAGTACTATAATGTAATAACTTATGAGGAACAACTCCTTAATATCATCAAGTCACCTCACATCTCTTTCATAAGCAAATGGATAACGTCACGGCAGTATAAATATGGATGGTGAATTTATAGGTGACACCTTATTTTCCTACACTAACAAATGAGGTTCTATACATCAGTCTTTCTCGGTTGATGTATTACTAATAAATTGAGCTAGATAAGTTTTTGGGGGGAGGGGGGACACTGCTCTGCATAATATAGAATGTTGAGGAGCATCCCTGGCCTCTACATACTAGATGCTAGTAACTAGATGCCAGTTATGTTAATCAAACTGTTTTCAGACATTGTCAATGCCCCCGATGAGCAAAACCACTCCAAGTGACAACACAACACTGATGTACATAATACTAATGGGAAATAATGGGTTAATTAACAATATTGAGAAAAAGAGAATTTTGTCCTACCTTATAAAAAATTAGTAAACAATCTGGAAATCTAGTTATTTTGTTTTGAAAAAAATGACAGAATAAAACTGGGCAGATTACACCCTTGTGAAATCCTGATGAAGAAAAAAAGCTTAAATTGTTCAATTAAAATATTTTAATAAAAATAAACTGCAAAGACTCAATGGGATTCATCATACATGTTATTGTTTCTGCTGCTAGCTCCACTGTCAAGTATCTCATACCTTCTCTGAAAGAATGGAATGGGTCAATCTGCGAATATTAGTTCTTTTACTATATATGAATCTTTTAAATTTTGGTTAATATTGAAGTTGATTTTTTCACCAAGGAAGTTGTTTAAGGCAACCTAAAAGCAAACTGAGTAGCGGAAAGAAACAGCGTGTGATTGAAATGCTGCTGTGTGTCATCCACATAGAGATAGTCTCCATGACAGTAATCAATTGGTGGCTGTCATGAAGGGGAAAATATTTTAAATGTTATATTTAGCATTTAGTTTTTTTTCTTCTACAGTGACAAACATTAAATAAAGTAAAAGCAATAAATAAGCCCCTAAATGATTGTGATAAAAATCTATGTTTAAGGTATATGACAGGTACCTAAATATTTCTGGAATTTCTATCTACCCATAATTTATAACCTCAATTTTAGTCTCTTTATGGGGAGATAAGTCCTAAGCAATAAATAACCAATTTATTAATGTGGATTTCAGTTACACAGTTGAGTAACTGAAATCCACATTAATCAGAGAAGAGAAACCCATATTAATCAGAAAACATCCTATGGCAAGTTCCCCAAGTTTTTATTTGATTCATTACTTCCGCCCAGCCCTGGACTTATGTGTCTAATACTCAGTCATAGCCTTGCCTTCTTATAAGGCACAGAGTTTTCATAACTTCCCTATTTTCTAGGCTCAAATGCTGGCTAGAATGAAACTGAGTGTATAAGTCACAAAAGGCACATACACAGAAAAAGGAACTTTCTCTAGACATATGTCACATTTTCCATTTTAATCCCATATATATTGTTATCTAAATAGAGCTTGAAAGTTCTGCAAAGGGTTATAAAGTAGAAGCTGTTTCAAATGCACCTCACAGTCAATCAAACATTCATAAGAAACTCTTCCAGGTTTAAGTCAATGCATAAAAAAGCTACTAAGATCAAGCAACAAGAATTTGCCTTAGAGTACAGTATAATTTCATGGAAAAAGGTTGACTTATGTTCTTCTTCTATATTTTTCTTTTTCTTTTCTTTTTTTTTTTTTTTGGAGACAGAGTCTCTCACTCCGTTACCCAGGCTGGAGTGCAGTGGCACAATCTCGGCTCACTGCAAACTCTGCCTCCCAGGTTCAATGATTCTCCTGCCTCAGCCTCCCGAGTAGCTGGGACTACAGGCATGCGCCACCAGGCCTGGCTAATTTTTGAATTCTTTTTTTTTTTTTTTTAGTAGAGACGGGGTTTCACATTGTTGGCCAGGCTGATCTCGAGCTCCTTACCTCATGATCCACCTGCCACGGCCTCCCAAAGTGCTGGGATTACAGGTGTGAGCCACCATGCCTGGTGACTTACATCCTTCTTAACAAAAATAAGAGTTTGAATCTCATATAAAATTTATCCTCTTAAGGCTTAGAAGAGCTGTTATAGGAGAAAACAGTGCAAACAATAGCAACAAAAATAAAACATCACAAAATACTACCATAGACAGGGTTCCACCATAAAATGGTCCGTCTCTCTTTGAGTATAAGTACACTATATATTGAAAGTAGTTTTGGTTCCTGTTGATTAGTTCAACTACTACTTATTTTCCAGGCCACCTTAAACTTTTCCTTAAATTAAGTAGCCATTTCCAACAAATACACATGTTGAGGATCCCAAGTGTGAAAAAATCTGAAATCCAAAACACTTCTGGTCCCAGGCATTCTGGATAACGGACACTCCACCTGTCTCTGTGGGGTCTACTAATGAAAGAGTATCTCCAGGTTTTCTTCAGTGAATCTTCAGAAAGAGTTTCTTTTGGCTCATTTTCTTTGCTCACATGGTCACATTTCAGCAGGTACCACAGCTAATGTGGGGTAGGTATCTTGTTGCTAGCCCAGTCGTCAAATTTCTCAGTATAGTGAAAGGGCAAGGAATTTGATATAATAGATGCCATAGAACCCAATAACCTCAAGGATCTCTTATTGATCTTTTCTTGTCCTTCAGTAAGTGGATTTATCCTTATTTATTGAATGTATCAAAACATTAAATGCAGCAAAAAAAATAAATTCAAGTAATTCTCCACTTAGCATTAAGATAAAAATAACTCAATGTGTTGTTAACAGCAGGCTCTTATCAAATTTTCTAGTATGACTTTCAGACGGCTTGGCAAGGCAATCTATGTAATTTTTAAAATCTGCATGCTCTTAAGGATTACCCTCAGCTACAACTACTGAAATCAATACACAAAATAAAGTACATGAGAAATAACAGTAATTACATGCTTAACAAAAAATGTATAACCTTAGTGCTCAGCCTGACACAGGAATACCAAGTATCAGGGGAGACAATATAACATTTTTGTGAACAAATTAGGTATTCTAAAATTTTCTTTTATATGTTCTATAAAATAATTAGTAACCAAAAGCAGGCTACTTCTAAGAAATCTGTTGGGTTGGTTCATTCATCTGTTCTACAAATATTTACTGTGTACCTACAATGTACCAGCCCCTTTTGCTAGTCTAAATCAAGGAACAAGTAGATTACTTTATTTGACAATAATTGATTGAGCACTATCCATCTATATGACTATCACTATTCTAAATGCTGACAGTGAACACGAAAAGCAAACACAAGGCCTGCCTCAAGGCCCTTACATTCTAATGGGTGAGTGTGTGTGTTTGAGGGGAGGGGGGTGTGAGTGATGAGTATGTTACTCCCAAAACTTCTTTCCCAGTTAAAGAGATGGTGAAGGCCTACTCTACTCTAAGAAAATTCCTTTATGCATTTAATCTTTCAAATTCATGCAGATGAAGCAATGACATGTCCCTCTAGCCACCTGAAAAAACAGCTAATGTTATGAATGGACAAGAAGGTTTTCTGATTTTGTGACCAATAGACAGCACATACAAGATAAAATGCAGGTTGTGACTGATGAAATCTAATGAAATTACCAAGTCAACTTGGGGATAAAATCAAGTCTATCATGCTAAGTTTCCATGACACCCCAAAGACTGGATTTGACACACCCATATAGGCTCACACAGACTGCAGTCCATCCAACAAAACCCAAAACCCAAGAATTTAATGCCTGCCCAAAGACATGACATTTGGAGTGATTGGTAAGTAAGCAGAGAGACAGGAAGGCTTACCAGGCTGATGCGTATCAGACTAAGAATAAATCATAAAGAAAGATGGGTTTGATTTCATTATTACAGTGCTGTTTTCTGATAACTCTAGGAAAGTAATTTTAGAATATATTTGGTGTCTGTTGAGCTGTAAATGAATATTGTTTTCAGTGCAGAATAAAGCACATCAGACACCTTTACACATAAAATTACAATTTCATTTTTTAAATTGTTTAAATTTAAATTACTATTTTTCAAGTATCTAATACACTTATTTAACACACACATGCATACACAAATGAAAGCTTCTGAAACTGGTACTGGAAAAAAATGAACATTAATACCAATTATAAAATTACTTGACAGAAGACAAGTTAAATCATTTTATAATAATCTCCATACACTATCCAACTTGCTCTAATGAAACAATTTTGTCACAATGAATACTGACTAGACATCAGTCTATAGGACAGAGATAAAAGAGTCCAGGCTTTGTGCATCAAGTACTTTGAACATAAAAGATGAAAGAAGAGGATGTCCAACAGACCAAACTTCCTTTTTTTCATTATCAACTTTCCCTGCCTTGTGGATTTCACAATTTTTGAGTATATGGAGAAGGTTGTGATGTCTGGATTTGGAAAGGGTCAAGGGATTTCTACAAAAGAGTAAAATGCTGAGCTATAGATTTGTTCAATTCCTCCTACAATAAAATCAGCACATAAGCACATTATTTAATAACAGAATGTGATCATTATATGGACAGGACCAAGGGAAAGCACTGGGAGTTCAAGATTATTGAACAGAATTCACTGTAAGGGGCCATGCATGGTGGCTAATGCCTGTAATCTCAGCACTTTGGGAGGCCGAGACAGACGGATCACGAGGTCAGGAGTTCGAGACCAGCCTGGCCAATATGGTGAAACCCCATCACTACTAAAAATACAAAAATTACCCAGGCATGGTGGTGCACGCCAGTAGCCTGTAGCTACTCGGGAGGCTGAGACAGAAGAATCGCTTGAACCTGGGAGGCGGAGGTTGCAGTGAGCCGAGATCACGCCACTGCACTCCAGCCTGGGCAACAGAGCGAGACTCCGTCTCAAAAAAAAAAAAAAAAAAAAAAAAAAAAAAAAAGAATTCACAGTAAACTTAATAACAAAGTCTTATTACCAGGGGCCATCAACCAGGTCACAGAATGATTCTTTGTGATAATATTTATTGTATATTTTACTTTCTTGGATGGAAATTTCCTAGTCCAAGATAGGCTATGTCTTCACTTTTTCAGAATAATTTTTCTAATCTATGAAGAAATTTCCTGTTCCATTACTTATTTTAAATATGCTTTCATGGCTGAATTACTTTCATTATTAAGCTGTCCTCAAGTCAAAACTCAAGGACTTGGTAGGATCTCAAGGTAGTGTAATGAGAACTTTTTTCCTTGAATTTTCTAACAATGATTTCTACAGGAACATCTACTCAAAGACATCTGAGCCGTAACCAAAATCTCTGTGGAGTAATTTTGAGCAGGGAGGGGAAAGTTGAAAAAAAAAAATTAAAGATGCCTAGAATACAGTTTTAAATTTGGAATCAAGTACAGCAGTCCTCACTTTGCACTATTCTGATATGAATTCCAGTTACCATGGTTTAATCAAATAAATCCCTCATAAACAGTCCAAATTTCAATTACCACAATATATTAACTGAGTAACTGCATAAAGTACAACTTCACTGCTATTTCTTCAGTTCAAAAATAACTATGTAAATAGCAGATGTCCCATCATGATCAGTGATCAACCATGTCACTTCTTTTGAAGACTGTTGGTGACTAGTCACTGTACATCTGATATTTAGGTCATGCACAGACAGCAAAGTATGGAGTTTTGTTACCTCCTTGTTTCCCAGTGATAAACCCATGTGACATTTTATAATGGATAAATCAAAAGAGGAAACTAGGCAAGAAAGATGAAAGAGTAAAGAAATAAAAACTGACAAATGCTAGGAGTGAAATTTGAATAGACCATAAATGGAGTAAGAGAAGAAATAGCTGATTGTGCGAATGTCGACATTACTGCAATGCAAGAAACTCTAGAGATGAAGCCAGAAGAACTCAGCGAAGGTGGACTTACTGATATAAATGAGGAAAGTGAGGAGGATGTAACAAAAAGAATAAAGATGTCCCAGAGGAAGTGACTGGCAATAAAATAAACTTTAAACATTCAAAAAAACATTAAAGGAATTCTTTCATGACATTGAGAGTGCAAAGGATAAAACGGTAGAAACCGATCCAAACTTAGAAAGGGGTATGACAATTCACCAAGCCATAGAGAAGATGCTTGCTCTGTATCCAAAGTTATGCAAGAAGAACACACAAGTGTTGTTCAAACTACTCTTGATAACACACTTTCATTCTCGATGTTTCTAATGATTTAATTTACCACATACTAAATACTAGCTTTACTATTTTTCATTTCCCAATGCCGTTGTTATTGATAATAACAGAGTTTTTAAGGTTTTAACAACAAAAAAAATTTTAAAGGTCATGGAACAATATAATAATAGTTTTTCCCATTCATCATGAAGATTGTTTTGCAGAATTTCAGCTTACATGGTCATGTTTATGGTCTTGCGGTTTTGTGCGAAGCCAGTATTGCCTGTATAAAACAAAGTTACAAAGGCAAAGAAAGAACAGATAGGCCTATCTCAAAGAATTTCAAAATGTTAGCCAGTTCTTTACATACAGTTGGACCTTAATCCTGCAGGAACTGGAGGACTAGGTGGACAGCACTTAAAATGATATCAGAGTGAGAAAGAAGAATCCTGAAAATCAGCCAGGAACTTAATTGTCAGTAGAGTGGCAAACTGTGAGTTGGTGTAGTTTTCAGAACACAAACAAAGCGTCTGAAATTCAATACTATCAGTTAAGCCTTGGTGTTTGATTCTAGCAATCTCTGAGCTGTTTGCTAAGCATAGAGATTCTGCTTAAAAGTTCCTAAGTTAAAGCTAAGCTAAAGGTGAAGGTATTTAGGAACATTTCCCTGTAAGAGGCCTTTATCTTTGAAACGTGGTCCAGGGCTCACCAAGTGCTGGCTGGGCTCTGGGAGTTTAAGAGTCTTCTCAGGCTTCTTCCTCAGTAGGACCAATGGCATCCTGAGACATCTTTCAAGATACAGCTCTGGTATAAAGAAACTCTTTCTCCTCAGAGTGAGCAAATGAGGGCATAACCTGCTGTCTTTACTGAAAGTTTAGCCTGGTAAAGGTCCAGGTTTGTCTTGGACCACAAAGACTCACATGCAGAGCTGGAAAAACCACTGAGAGAAATCCCCTGTAGCCAAGTACAGACCATAAATGGTAATCAGGAAAAGTTAAGCAGAACTAGAAATCTATAAAATAAAAGTCATGGGTCTGAGTTATTATGAATGCTTTAGAAGATTTACCATACTGGATTCTAAAAAATATACATCTAAGCAGGTGGAGAATAGAGGTGCTTTCTATTTCTATTTGGTGGAATGCTCAGGCCATCAACAGAGGCACTAACAGAAAAGTTAGATTTGGATCCATGACTATCTCAAAGATGTGACAAGGCATGGGATGCACATACATTCGTGTCTCCCTGGCTTAAATGTGGGTGCTACAAAACCAGGGCAATATGCACATCACACCCACATTTCAGGCATGTAGCTTGGTGTCCAGCAATCAGTAGGCACCCTGTCACTAGGTATTTGCAGAATAAGTAAACAAATCAGGTCAACATTCTGCTCTCCTAATAAGTTTTAGCTACTCAGTATTATGTGCTTAGATATAGGTTCACCCTTCATGGAAATAAAATCCTCAAAATAAATGCAAAACGGGGAGGCAGTACAGTGCAGTGGTAAACAGTACTAGTTCAAATCCCAGTACTATCAGGAAACGGCTGGGTGATTGCGGGCAAATTGCCTAATCTATCTGTGCCTGTTTCTTATCTACAAAACGGGAATAACAACAGTGTCTATGCCCATAGAGTTTCTGGGAGAAATAAATGTCATTTCAGATATAGAGTACTTTGCACAGAACCTGTCAAGCAGAGCAAGAGCTCCACAAATGGTTAGCTACTATTATCATCAACACCTTTAAATGTGAGCGCAGGCTGGGTGAATCATGTATAGACATACCTCTTCCATGCACATACACACACATCTACCTGTTTCAAGATGAGCCAAAACAAAAAATTCCCACCAAAATATTTCTTTAGGTTTATAAGCACGTTCCTTAAAATATGACCAGTACAAAAAATATAAAAAAGAACATTCCACCTTACTAACACAAAAATTACAATTACAATAAGATGCTTTTTCACCCATCAAATTTGCAGAGATTTTAGCGTTATAATATCAGAATTATAACTGAGGTGAAAGACAGGTATTCTCATCTGCAATAGTAGTTGATACAAACGTTTCTGGAAAACATTTTGCCAGTATGTATCTAGAGTCTTAAAATATCTCTGCCAATTCCAGGCTTCATATCTTTAGCAGAGTTATTTTCATAGTATCAAAAAAATTGGAAACATCCTTAAAATCCATCAAGATGAGAGTTAAGTAAATTATAGTGCATCCACAAAAGTAGAACACAGGCAGCTATAACAAGATTTCTGAAGACATGGGGGAACATCAGAACGTACAAGCATATAAGCTGTACGAGTCCATTTATGGTTACCTTTTTTTAAAAAAAAGATAACAAAAATGAATAGAAAAAGACAGAAAGGGAAACAGGAAATTCACCAGAATATACCAATAGTTTATTTCTAGGTTTGGGGACTACAGATGAGTTTTTTTTTTTTTTTTTTAAATAACTCCCTACTTTGTACGAGGTGTTCTAAAGTGATATGTATGACTTTTTTAAGTCAGAAAAAATATTGTAAAGCTCATTTTGTAAAAATACAGCCAACAGTGAACAAACTCACTCCTGGTTCATTTCACTAAAAATAATGTCACCAATGATAACGTCTGGATCAGCAAACATCCATCAAGCCAAACTCAAAAAATCGCACTATGTGAAATAATTTCATGATCTTTGAAAAAGGCTGTTCCCTGCCCAAGTCATATGACTTAGCCCTTAAAGTCTGGCTCTGCCAATATGGTTAAAAGCTTTCCCTAATATCATTGATGCCAGAATAGGTCTTAATGCTACACCAGTCCTTTTCTTGACATAAAAAACTAAGAGATTATAAGAAAATTTCCAAAAGAAGTCTAGACACTATCTTGAAAGTAAAAGTTATAAAATGTCTTGACAGTTGCCACTGCCACCCCTTTCTTCCCCCTTTTTTCCTTTCAGACAAAAGTTGAGAACATTTCTGAAATCACTAAGCATTTCCAGAATGCCATACACTGAGAAAAGCGCTTAAAACATATAATCAATCAGTCATCTCCCTTCCATGTTTATACACCACCATAGATATAGACAGCTTAAACTGCTGAGTAAAAGTAAAATTCATAAAATATACAACA
Organism: Homo sapiens; assembly: GCF_000001405.40. NCBI lineage: Eukaryota > Metazoa > Chordata > Mammalia > Primates > Hominidae > Homo > Homo sapiens. The sequence goes on from NC_000003.12 coordinate 108,070,191, forward strand.
GGGCAATCCACTGCAATAGTTTACTAGCTTTTGTGTGTTTAAAGGTTGCAGAATAAATTAAATAAGCAGTATTTATTCCTTGCTTATATAAATGTTTACTGGTCTTCAGGATGCTACAAGGAAAGAAGGAATAAATCTTGTATTTAAAAAGCTTAAAAGTTTAGACTGTCACCTCAGAACTTCATTAATTTTGTAAATTTTCTTTACCAAAATATGAAAATATGGTTGATTAAACATTAACCGTAATGCATATTACCTATTTGCCTAGTAATGACAATTCTGTGTTGTTGAAGCTAAATCTAATGCAGCATCAAGATCTGCCTTCAGAAGTCTGGTTACGTTACTATTATAGGAAAGCAAGATCAAAGAACCTAACTCTCTGGTGGCTGCTTCTTTAGAGGCTGCAGAACTGCACGCAGAGGATGACAAAACATAGTTCCGACTGGACTTTTCCAAGGGTGAACACGTGTACACAGAGAAAATCAAACTGGGAAAATAAAAAGAGGGGAATCTAAATGCTCCAAAGTATAACGTCCTACCTTAAAACTAATGCAGGCTGTCACCACCTGTTTACCTAATAACATAATGTGTGTGTAGATGTTCTGTGAATATTAAAATGTGACATGAGTTTAAGGTGTTGGTACTAATATTCCTACTATTCATTCTTAAGAGATTAAAAAAACACCAAGTGAAAACAACCTTCTTAGGAATTAAAAGTGAACTGCAGCAAAATGTGGGCGACAACATATACTTCAAGGAGACTAGTAGTATTCAAATTACATACTCATATTTATCATAATAGCACTTTTCCTAGTACAACTTTAAATATTTCGCTGACAATGTCTCGTAGAAATAACTATATCATCACTGAAACATAAATGAAAAGTAGAAATAATACTTACTTTTAATACCAAACTGTCCCCAGAACAGGAGTATAGCAAAAATTGGGAAAATAACAATAAGAATATTTTCATTTGGAGAAAACCATGAAACTGGGGAAGAAGAAAACAAAAGTCACAATTAATATTTACTATAACACTTTAAATTCTGCTAATGGTCTATAATACATGCTTTATTATAGAGATGGAAAAAAATTAAAACTGTGGCCTTATTTTTACATGTATTTATTTATACATACACACATATACATAAAACAAATTACACATAATGTACTTATGTAAATTTTATTTATGAATAAAAACTACACTTACTTAAGCATTTCTCACATTTTTCTTATGTTTCACGGGAGGAGGTAGTGCAGTGCAGTGGCTGAGAACAAGGCTCTGTGGCCACACTGCCAGGGTTTGAACCCAACTCTAACTTAACACTCTATGGAACCGTGACCACGTGTCAACACCTCTTTGTTCTTTGGTGTCCTCAACTGTTACACTAGTATAACACAGTACATGTATCTTGAAGGACTGTTGTAACTATTAACAAAGTTAATAAACTACATGCAAAGGGCTTAAAACAAAGCTTAGCACTCACTAAGTACTCAGTTAACTAAAATAAGTATGTATTCATGTGTTGAGTGGCTGGGTGTGTAAAGTTCCAAGAATGTACCTTCAAGTAACAATGAAGTCTTCCTGTAAAGACAGACTCAGGGAACCTAAGCGAGGAAGATGCACCACTAGGTACTCTCTTCTCATTGTGGTTAAAATGGAGAGAGATGTGCCCGGTTGGTCTTTTCCCAAACTCACTCTGCAATTATCCATGCATAATTAGGCTTCAGAAGGACTGTTTATATGTAAAGTAAGATGAGTGGCTTTAGGATATTAACGAAGCTGTTATTAAGTTGGTCACATGTTACTTTTATCATAAAAATATATCCACATATCCTATATAAAGGAAATTAAGATATTAAGACTTCAAATAAGATTTGTGAGAACTTTTAAAAATTAAGTTTAATTGCATCTTATAAACCCCTAAGACCATAATTTTAGCTGTGAAGTTTCTGCTCTAACAATAAAGCCAAGTAAATGTACTGAAAGTATTCCGGAGTTTGCCTGTACAAGGGGCTGTGTGATTGGAAGAGTTCTTCTGAATACTGCCCTAAGCAAGCACTAGCATTCCTCTGAAATCAACACTTCTTTCAAATTCTACCACGCACTATCTCTCAGGTCACAGGTGAGGAATTTTCCAGCCTTTCACTCCATAATGATAGCCACATATTTCTTGTGTTAAGCTTATAATGCTATAATAAGTCCTGGTAAAATGCTTACATCAATCCCCAGAATATAACAACATCATAAACTCTGTTTTATAGATATTAGCTTTTCAGAATCTAGCATTTTCCTCTATATGTAGTAGAGACTCCATATGTTTGCTGTTGAGGGTTGCAATGGTCATAAGACAGTTTTGCGAGTGAATGGAAGACTTTTTTTTATGCTTCTTTGGTTGTGGATCTCTACTGAGAGATGTTTTTGGATACTCCAAATCAATACCTTTATTTCCAACTGTATAACTGAATATCTTCTTATGCCAAAGAAAAGTCACTTCAGTATAGCCTAAAACCCTACCAGGAAAAAATTTTGGAGATCATGCTTGGATTTTTGTATCTAATCCCCAATGGATTTGGTAAGGCTGTATGGTCTAATAGCCATGCTTAATTGATGTATTTTTCCTTACTTCCCCTGTGCTTTTGTTTTTAATTGTGTACCTCAACTCCTCAAATCCTCACAATTATGATGTGAGAAATTATTAACCCCTCCTTATAGTTGTAGAAACTGAGGAACAGTGAATTCAGGCTCTTCAGTTAATCTTAACTGTTCATGTTCCACAATGAATCCTGATATTTTCATCACCCCATCCCCCACTAAACTCCCCCTCTCATTTTCCTCATTTCAGTCGTGGTGACCCCATTTCTTCAGTTGCTTGAGGCTGAAAACCTTGGAGTTATACCTGACTCCCTGATTTCTCCCACATCCCACTCTAGTTAAACAGCAAATCCTGCTGACTCTACCTTCAAAATATAGCCAATATCTGATCTCATAGTCAAGATGAGCTGACAATGAAATGTTCTTTCATTGGTCCCTGCCCCTATACACAACAAAATTTTAGGATATATTAATAGAATATTAATATATTAATATTAATTTGAATATATTAACAAAAGTAAGAGGTGCATTCGATCCTGGTGTGACCACTCATTTTTCACTTATTCCACAAACACTTATTGAAAGCCCACCATGGGGAGGAACTCCTCTAGGCTCTTGAAGGCCAGCAGTGAACAATGCAGAGGACCCTGAGTGTGCAGAGTGGGAGAAGCTGAGGCAGTAAGGAAAGGCCTCTAGGGAGAGGAACGAAACTAAGCCTAGGATGGGAAGGAGCCTACATTGTGAAGACAGGGAGGAAGAGATGCCAAAGGAACGGCAACTTTGAGAAACCAAAGGATGGCCATTGTGACTGGAATTCAGTGATGAGATCAAATGGGAAGAGTTTGCTGGGGCAAGACCATGTAGAGTCTTAAAAGCTTGTTGGGAGAGTTTGGATTTTATTCTAAGAGCAATGACAAGCGGCTGGAAGGCTTTAAATAGGGAAGAAAAATAACCTGACTTATTTCAAATCTTCTTTGGCAGCCACATGGAGAATGGATTACAGGGAAGCAGGACCTGTCAGAAAGTTACAGCAGCAGTCATTTGGAAGGGAGAAGGGTGTGACCAACAAACGCAGTCCTGAGCTCAGTTTTACTCATCACATTTGAAGATCTAACAGGGAATTGCTCCAAAGGAAGATGACTAGAATGGGGATCCCGAAACCATGAGCAATGGCTAAAAGAACAGAGATTTTCATCACAGAGAGGTATAAACTTGAGAGAAATACTACAGCCCTCCCAGTGAGTGAGAATAGTAGCAAGTTTTAGCTTGATTTAAGGAAGAACTGAAATTGCCTGATAACAGACCAAGATCCTCTGGGAAGTAATAATGTCTCATCATGTCAAGCTTTCAGTAAAAAATCTGAATCGCCAGCTACTTGGGGTGTGATAGAAATAATTCGTAAATTAGATGATGAGATAGACTAGATGACTACTTGATGACTCCCAGATTCTATGTGAAACAAGAAATATGAGACATTTCAATGACAGAGAGGAAGATTACAGAACAAAAAATACTGTCTAAGTGATTCTTTTTTTTTTATTTTTGAGATGGAGTCTCACTCTGTTGCCCAGGCTGGAGTGCAGTGGTGTGGTCTCAGCTCACTGCAACCTCCACCTCCCGGGTTCAAGCAATTCTCCTGTCTCAGCCTCCCAAGTAGCTGGGATTATAGGCAGGCGCCACCATGCCCAGCTAAATTTTGTAATTTTGGTAGAGACAGGGTTTTATCATGTTGGCCAGGCTGGTCTCAAATTCCTGACCTCAGGTGATCCACCTGCCTCAGCCTCCCAAAGTGCTGGTATTACAGGCGTGGGCTGCCACACCTGGCCTGTCTAAGTGATTCTTAACTGGAACTTATCAGTTTGTCACTCTCCCTTCTCATTATTGTGCCAGGATTTTAAATTGTTCCCTGATATGTGGGGCGGGTGGGGGGGGGGGGCACACAATGGAGAAGGGCATCCAGGATTCTCTCAGTTTGAAATCACTGCTGCACATTTCTGCTGTATTTGAACTACAGTCACTGATGAACATGTTCCTCCTCTCTCTAATTTGTTACAGTGGGAAAAGTTTGAGGATCATGGAATTAGATATTTAAGAACCAACTGAGATGCTGGGGGAAAAAAACCAACATTTTATATAAAGCCACTTATATGCCTATTAAGCTATTGATTTGTTATGGTAGTACTGTCAGATGACGTTAACTCTTGTTCCTCAAGGGGAGAGTGAGACATGATACTTCTTTCAGCTCTGAATTTCTATGCCACTAAGAACATAAATTAAGCTTAAAATGGACTAAGAACAATGTCAGATATTTTTCCATCACAAGATTAATAAAGATAAGCCAAGGACATTCACATCCTTATTCTACCCAAGCTATGGCTGACAACTGTGTCTATCACTCTCCTCCAATTCCTGGACAGGCAGAATGGCTTCCACGAAAATGAACTTCTTGCTAGTGGAAAGGCAAAGAAGTGATATTACAAGGGTGTAGTCAATGAATAAGTGTTTAATTTTTGCTTTCAAGCTGAAGTGTTATTAAAACCCAGGACCTCATTTGTCTTATCACTGTACAAAAATGAGACAACCTAAAAAAGTGAAGACACCATTCCTATCAACAAAGTGTCTCCTTCAAACTCCCACAAACATAGGGAACACCAGGTTACACACACACACACACGCATACACCACAGTAACATTTACAATCCTAAAATGCAAACCAAATTTTTACTTGATGTTTCAGGATTGTGATGGCTTTTCTGATGTGTCGACTTGCTAGGCTACAGTCCCATTATTTATTTAATCAAACCCAGAATTCTAAGGTGGTCCCAAAACCCCTGCCCTAGCCATGCATCTTTTATAATTCCCTCCCCTTGTGTGTGGGAGACTAGGACTGTGAATGTATTGGATTTCATTTTCATGATTATATCACCCAGCAAAAGGGAGTTTGCTGATGTAATTAAGATCCCAAATCAGCTGACTTTAAGAAAGAGAGATTATTTTTGAGGGAGAGAGAGCTGACCTAACCAAGTGGTCTCTTAAAAGGGTCTGGGTTCTTCCTGGCAAAATAAACTCAATATGTGAGAGGGATTCAACAAGAGGAAGATTCTCCTTTGCTGGCTTTAAATATGCAAGGGGCCATGGGGCAAGAAATGAGGGCAATCTCTAGGAGCTGCTACAATTCCTTGGCAGATACTTAGCAAAGAAACAGGGACCCCAGTCTTACAATCACAAGGAATTGAATTCTGTCACAATTATGTGAGCCTAGAACAAGACCCCAAACTCCAAATAAAGTATGCCCTGGGCAACACCTTGATTTTAGTCTTTTAAGACTTTGATCAGAGAACCCAGTCATGCCATGACCAGGCTTGCCACCTACAAAACTTTGAGCTAAAAAATGGGTAGTGTTTTAAGCTGCTATATTTGTAGTTGTTATGCAGCACTAGAAAACTAATACAAAGATCTTGCAATGCCTTCATGTCTTCATTATAAACAGACCATATGTCCTGTTGATAATAATGGAATTGGCAACACTGCGGAACTTGAACTGACCTTTCTAAACAAAACTCTAATAGCTTAGAGAAAAATAAACTTTAAGTTTTCAAGTTTTTGTATTGCTAATAGAACAGAAATATTAATGATAAATTTTATGATTACTAGTATTTGCATTCAGTATTTAGTTATTTACAAGGTGTTTTCACATGAACCACATATTACGGTGGTAAAAATACTGGGTTTTGATGCCAAAGAGATCTAGGTTTAATTCTTGGCTATTACTCTGACCTTGAACAATACCTTGAATCTCTTTTGCTTCCCTATTTGTTAAATGGTAAGAACTCCATCTATCTCCTAGAGTTCTTGAGAGGATAACAGGACACGACTTACATAAAGTATGTGGCACATGTGCAAATAAATGTTAGGTCACTTCACTCTTCATATTTGTACTGCAACCACTTCCTTGAAATCAGCAATAATGTCTTATTCATCACAGAATCTGTGATGCCTAGTACGGTGACTGGCACATGGTAGGCACTTAGTAAAATTTTGTTAAGTAAGAGAGGTATTATTTATATCTCAAACATTTCCATGATGGTGATGCCATCTTTACTGTACTAAGAAGAATTTGAGGGACAGATAGGTTGAGTTTTTTATCCAACTTTTCTTAAGCTATTAAACAGTGAAGTCTAGAAAACAGCTTTCTAATTTCAAGTCCAGTGCTCCTTCTAATGGACTATATCATACATAGGCACAGAGGTATATAAAACTATATCTTATAGTGTTTCCATGTATTCAGTCCTAGTCCTCCAAAAAATTTAAAAAGGCACAAAGAATGGTCACTATTATCTGCATTCTATTAAGTAGAATTCACTTCTCTATTGAGCAAATTCTGTTTCTCATTTATGCCTGTATTTGCAAAAATCACGACATAGTAAAAATGGTTTCTAATGCTTAAATCCTCAAAGTCCGTGACAAGTAAGTATTCTTATTAGAAAAGAACTTATACTCCATAGTAAGAGTCCTGCCCCATTTAACCTTTTTGTGCAGATAACTTTTTAACTGGTTTTTGTTTGTTTGTTGTTTTTTTCAGTTAAAAATGGTTACAACATAGTGGCACCAGATACTGGTGAGGATGTGGAGAAACCAGATCACTCTTACATTGTTGATGGAAATGTAAAATGAAATAGCCACTCTGGAAAAGTCTGGCAGTTTCTTTAAAAACTAAGCATATACTTACCATACAGCCCAGTAACCATACTTCTGAGCATTTATCCCAGAGAAATGAAAACTGTGTCTACACAAGAACCTGTACACAATTGTTCAGAGCAGTTTCATTTGTAACAGCCCAAACTTGGAAACAACCAAAATGTCCTACTATAGGTAAGTGGTTAAACAAACTGTGATATATTCATACTATGGACTACTACTCAGCAAAAAAAAAAGTAAGGAAAAAAGAACTATTGATAGATGCAAAAACTTGGATAGATCTCAAGGGCATTGTGCTTAGTGAAAAAGCCCTTCTCAAAAGGTCACATCTTGTATCATTCCATTTATATAGCATTGTTGAAATGACAAAATTATAGATATGGAGGACAAATTGGTGCTTGCCAGGTTAGGGACAGTGGGAGGTGGCGGTATGACTAGTAAGAATAAGCATGAGGGAGATGTTTGTTATGATGGATAGGTCTATGTCCTGATTGTGTAGGTAGTTACGCAAATAAACACGTGATAAAATGAGAGCGAACCATTAACACACACTGCACCATTGTGAACTTCCTGATTTTCATATTGTGTCACATAAGAGGAAACCATTGGGGGGACTGGGTGAAGGGCACATGGAAGCTCTCTATCTTTGAATCGTCCTGTAAATCAATAATTATTTCAAAAAATTAAAATGGATGCAAAGCCAAATGTCTCAAACCTCTGGTAGAATTTTCTACATTCTCTATAATAAAACAATACTTTCTCCTTTTAATGGCTCCCAAAATAAGTCTAGTTTTTATTTTTATAGGGTATTTTGCAAACAAAGATAAAACAGTCTTTCAATCACACGCAAAATAATAAACTGTTTTTATCTCAGATCCTGGCATTCCTTTCTCTTCCATCTTCATTTCATCTTCTGGCCTTTCAAATCTCATATTTTGAGTTTTCCAGTTTACCTCTCAGTGACCTGCATTACCCCCCAAAAGTTACTGTTCCCCCATATCTTATTCTTTCATTTCCACAAAATTGTACATTACCTCAGAAAAATTTCAACTAGGTATTAGATGATCTAATACCAGTTAGTTGCAGTGGATATGACTGACTGATTACACCCTTCATTAAAGGTATACTTAACAACAACAAAAAAAGCTCCTTTGCCCAAATTAATATCAATAGTAAAAGCTACAATGTAAGAGAGATTTCTGAGCAGAAAGACCTTTCAAATTCTCCTTGCCTACTCGGAGCCATCCCTTGCCCATTCCTCACTGCACACAAATCCCTCTCACAATGCTCTAGGCTAACTTCAACAACTTGATACCTTACTTCATAAAATAAACATCCCAGGAAAACAACTAACATTTACAACACACTTTGGTTTATGCTCATTAGACTGTAGAATACATAAAAGCAAGTATCTATTGTCATCTCCATTTCGGACATGAGGTAACTTGGACTCGGTTAAGCACCTTCTCAAGATCACACAGGTGAATAGTAAGTTGCTGAACAGGGGCTGTAACTCAGACCTCCTGATTCTCAATCCTAAGTAATGTGCAAACATTTCATCAAACCAAACACCCCATTCCTAATCTGGTAGTAGATTATTTTATAAAAGCTAGGCAAATAGTTGATCCAACTGAACAGAACTGAACCTATCTAGAGTTAAGGTTCTCAAAATGTGGTTAAGCCATGATCGGTAATATGACAGGTAATTCTAAATAGAGATTTCAAAACAGAAAGAACATACTCATATGGGGTTGAAGAACTCAGCTAGCACAGCAGGAAACAGCAAGGAGAGGAGACTATTTACTTCAGCTAATTTTACTACCTTCTACACCTCAGCAACCCAAGTTTGTGATAAAAAGGGCAGAATCATGGTGCTATCATCAAGTCTGAATTTGAATAAATGAATTTGAATCTCTAGTTCTCTCATATTTTGGCCAACAAAAAGAAGACCAAAGTAAGGCTAAGCACAGAAAATCTGAAGAAATCATCCATGATAACGTGATTTAATCTCCTGACTCTCCTCTATTCTCTCCAGAGGGAGCATGGCTGGGACTTGTCATCCCTTGGTCAAAGTGTAAGGTTAAAAAAAAAAAAAAAAAAAAAAAAAAAACACAAAAAACAGAAGGCTGAATAATTGGAAAGAGACTTGAAAATTAGTCACAGGAAAGAAAGCACTTGGATGGCAGCAAACAGAAATGAAGAGTACATTACCCCAGGACCAATCAGCCAAATAAAATGGTCCTTAGACCAAAAGTTTGAGAACCACACAATATACAAATTAACAAGTAATACAAATTAAATAGTAAATGTGTTTTACCATGAAGAGTAGATTAACAAATAGGATAGAAATCACAATCTTAAACTTGCTAAACATTACATCAACATTTATTAATAACAGCCTGCTTTTTGATTCAAAGGAGTACCTATCCCCATTTGGCCTCCTCTCGAAAGAGGATCAGGTTGCACCAGGACAAATAAAAAAAGAAGCTTTCATAGAAGTCTTACCAACACGATATTTTAGCTCGATGATCGTTTCACCTTCTCTGGTTAATTCTGTTACTTCACAAGTGTAGTTTCCTGTGTGTGAGACAGCATCACTCTTATCCATCTTCAAAGAGGCATCTCCTTTTAGTAATTGTGAGACTTCAATTTTTGCACTACTAAAGTCAGTGGGGACAGTGGACTTGTTTAGAGCTCCATCAAAGGTGTAAATATCTCTTCCTTTAAATTTCCACTTTACGTATACTTCAGTAGTGTTTTGTGCCTCCATATTAGTAACAAAGCATGGAATGACGACAGTGTCATTACAAAACGTGAATTCTACAGATTTTGTTTTATTAAATAGTAGCTGAGCTGATCCTGGAAAGGAAAAAGAAAAATGTTTCATTAATTATAGAAGTCTGTACTGTAAGATCTTAGGCATGTTACAAATCCTTAAGATAAACAGCAACATTTCCATTGTTCACTTAAGTAAACAGTATAGCAATGAAGAAGACCTATTAGGTGAAATATGCAAACAAATTATATTTTAATATTAACTTGCACAGCTGGAAGGCATCATTATGACTTTTCTTTATTCATTCTCAATAATACAAAGTATACATTACATGCATCTTGGGAATAAATTCAGCAACTATGTTGGAACATGCAGGTGTAGTATCTGGCTTTGGAAGCTTTGAAGTAATCATTACTGCCTACTGATATATGTAGAAAAATATTGTCCTTATCAAGGTAAAATTTTGAACAGAAAACCAAACCAAATATTTTATTCAGTCTCAACTTCAACACACTGCTAAATAGAACTTGCTGAACTGATATGAAATTTATCTTTATCCTTATGCTGCATTTCCAAAAAAAGTGGCAGGTTCTACTGTACTTTAATATACAAAGTAAATAGGATGAATCAAATCATATCTTTCCACTAGGATGGAAAATCTTAAAATACTAATGAGGAAAAAAAAAACATTATCTGTGGCTACTTTCCCATAGCAAAATATAGGCAGCAATAGACATTTTGTATGGGAGTCTTGAATGACATTTTCCCACCCCCACATTTCATTGACACTACAGAACAACAGTCTCCAAATGTATATTATGGGTATTCTTCCTCCAAGAAACCACAAAACGGTGAAAAAGCTAAGTAAGATGCAAGTTGAAACCAAGAGCAGTTACTGCTAATAAGCATCCTATCTACGCTTCTCAATAGGATAAACTACCAGTTGTTGCCTTATAGAAGAGGCACTGGGTAAATAAATGTAATCACTCATTGTTCAACTAAAATGTACAAGAATGTGTAGGAATTGTAGTTGTCTTCCATATTCTTCAGCCACTCAGCAACTCTTTTACCTAAGTAGCTACTTGGCCTTCCCCTCAAAACATAAACAAAAACAAAACACAAATTACTAACAAATATAAATAAAATATCAACTTTGTTAATAGTTCACACTTAAGATTTACTTCTACATAAACTGGAATAAAAATCAGAGGCATAGAATGTTTCTATTGTAAGAACACTATGTTTACTCAATAAATACCCCATGAATTGAATGCAAGGATGCATACTGGAATATAGGTACTGGACAATGTTCAAAACACCTGAGTAAAAATACTATTTCTGCCCCTTTTTAATATGCTGCCTTAAGCAACTCACTTTTCTATGCCTTGGTTTACTCTCTAAAATAGGAGGATCTCTTAAGTAGGAGGATCAAAAACAAACACCGGGCTACTTCACAGAACTGTGTTGAGCATTAACATGGAAAACATAGCGGCAAGTGCTCTCTAAACAATACTATGCTGTAAAAATGTAGGGTGATACTATAAAAACTAGATAATCTGGCATTTTAATGTAATGATATGGGCCCTCTTTGACTAGTCCAAATTGTTATATTTCTGGGAAATTGCAGTCTGAACCTATATTGTGGGCATCCACAGCTCACCTCTTCCCAGTTTTCTACATTTCTAGCCACCCAAATACTAGGAAGCCCAAGGCAAAACCTGGACTTCCGTTGCATTCTTTAAAACTTTGGAATTGTGAATTATTTCCCCTGAGAGAGAAACACTGAGGGAGAGAGGACATAGTATACCAGAGAAGAATAAAGGGGTGAAGATGTTCAAATTATAAAGGAAGGAAAGTATCAGAAAATATGGTGAAGATTTTGAAAGGGATACAAAGACTACTGGGTATCCTTTCAGTCAAGTGCTGGGCAATGTCTAACAGACGCTTTGGAATTATCTGACTCTATAGAAGCCTGTGCCTTTCACTGACTTTGACTGGGCTGTTTTACAGTTTCATAAGTTGTAGAAAACTGAGAGTAATTCAAATGGATTGCTGTCCATACAGATAAAAATAAATCTTGTTCTGCAATTGATTTCCACCTGGTGGAAGAGAGGATTCCAAAAGACTACATTTTACTGCCCTGAGGATATTGACCAATTTTGCATTTATTAGCAAATTCATTTAGGCATTCTTGATTGCCTATAAATGTGTCTGTTTTTCCAATTTTCTTTTAAAAGGGTTTTGCCTTCTTGCTAGTTTGCTTGTTAATTAATTAGTGAAATAAAATCTTTGACACATGTTCATTTTATATTTGTATGAATCATGGTTTGACTTTCAAGAGATTATTCTTAAAAAAAAGAGGTACGAATGAAGAACTCAGTCATCCTATGAAACTTTTTGCAAAGGCTTTAATTAAGTAAGTAAGAAGTAGTTGGTGAACAATCCACCATTTCATAACATATGTTTAGAGAATGAATTTTCAAAGGAATACAGAAAGCAATAATTATACTGCATTATTTGTTACAATAAAAACATTTTATAGCTGAAGCAATTTAAGTAGAATAAATGCTATTAGTAAAAATAACAGTAAAATTGACCTGGATAAACCACAATTTGAATAACCTTTGCACTAGTAATTAATAAATAAGGGCAGGCCAAAAATATCACTCTAGCTGTTAACTACAACTTCAATCTCTATAAAGATGCATTAAAAAACTATTAAGTAGTAAAACTGTCTGATTTGGGGTTTTTTCCTTTTGCCTACTCCCTTCTCATAAAACAGCAAAGTGAAGAAACTATTTAAAATGTAGAGAGCAAATAAAGAAACACAGATAATTAACATGAATAAGAAAACTCTGAATAAACAAGATATGCTTATAGCAGTCTAAATCAGATAGCAGCAGACAAATGTAACCAAGAGTAATGCCAGAGTTATAGATAAATTAGCAAATAAAATGGGAAAATGATTTTATATCAAATGCCAAAAGTATTAGACTTGAAACCTTCATTGGAACTGTACAAGTATTGGTGAATATAGACTATCAGCCCAAACCATCTCATATCATAGTCTAGAAAAGAGCTTTGTAGTGGCAGAGAAGACTCAATCCATGGTGGTCACAGCACACAAGTTCAGGTTAGAAATTTTAAAAATGCAATCAACATTTGTCAAGAATTACCTGTGATGAAATATTGTGATAGGATGTGGGGATATAGTGATGAAAAAATATAGTTATTATCTTTTAGGAGCTTACAATTCTCAAATGGGCGATGATAAGTATATAATACAAGGTTACAAGTGTTATCTTTTCTGCATGGACAACGTCCTTATGGATGGGCAGAAGAGTAATTGGTCTTACAGATTTCTAAGAAAATTCATGTTGCTAATAGGCAAAAACAGAAGAATGTCATAGTCCCTGCTCCTCCGGGCCTTCAATCTTTACCATTTTACATATTTCATGTAAATGTTCGCTTCTTTTTAACAACTCTTAAATTACTCCCTTCTGCCCTTTATCCCATACTCTCCAACAGTCCTCTCTCCCTATTTCTTAATACAAACTGAAACCTTCAGAGGAGAATCCTGAAGCTTCCAATACTCCTTCCCTATAAACCTACCTGTAACCCCAACTATCCACACCTTTTTTTTTTTTTTGCTTCCTTTTCTGAAATGAATCCCATCACCTGAAAGCTAGTTTCCATTTCTGCCTCCATACCCATCAGTCTCCTCAACGACTTTCCTTAGTTGATTATCAGCCTCCCACATCCCCCATTCCATTTACAAGGTGTTGTTTTTGTGTGTGTCTTTAAAAATTGCTTGAATATTTGCCAACTTAAAAAAAATCCCTCATACTTTCTCTCTCCCTAGCATCCCAAATTAACAATCTATAAGCATTTCCTCACTTCCAATTCACTCCTTAAATCTGTTACGTGGCCTCCACCCATTCACCCCTACTTCTTCATTACTACAGCTCTTGCCAAAGTCACCACCAATCCCTTGTGAAAAATCAAATATGCATGGTTCACTTTCTGTCTTGACTTTTCCACAGTTCTTGAGCCAGTGGGCAGTCTCTTTCTTGCTCTTCTCTCTTGGCCTCCATGGTATCTCCTGATTACGAATTTCCTCCTGCTTTGTCCACCCCATCCTAGTTTGCTTTCTTTGTTGAAATCTATTCCTTGACTCACACTAAATGTTAGTGTCCCTAAGGGCTTCAGATTCAGTACCCTCTGCCCCCTAGTATTTTCCCTGACTCCCATGGTTTTCTTCACCTGCAAACTTTTAAATAAAAAACTGAATCATGCACTGCCTTTCTTCTAAACTGCAGATGTTGGACAGCCAACTGTCTGCTGTGCACTTCCACTTGGATGTAATACAGTTACTTCAAAGTCAGTATGTCCAAAAACTTACGTACCCCCACTTCTTACCCTCAGCCTAAATCACTTTGCTAAAGTATTTTCTATCATCTACCAGTGAACCAGACCTGGACCTAAGAATCACATTAGATTACTCCCTCTCCTTAGCCATGGAGAATTCTTAGTAGGTTCAACCTAATTAATAGTTCCTAAATCCAATGTCTGTTGAATGAATGAATTAGACACTCATCCTCCCCCCTCGAACTACTGCCATACCCTTCTAACCAGCTCCCTGCCTCCATCCTCAAGGTTTCTCCATCCTGGCCCTGATGTATTTTCTACAGTTCCCAAAATAACTGTTCTAAATGCAAATGTGCACTCCTTTGCCTAAGATACTTTAACAACACCCTCAACCCTTTTCAGGCTAAATTCTAAGTACATTAGCATGGAATACAAACGAGGTCCTTCAAGATCCTTTCCAGCCCCACCTCCTGTACTCCCTCATTTCCACACTAAGCTCCAATCATAATGACGTTATTGCAATTCCATGACTATGCAAATGCACTCTCATCCCCATGCCTTAGCACATACTGTTCCTCAAACCTAAATAGCCTCTTAACTGTTATACACTATTACCCCACTGAGTACATAGGGTGTATAATAGTTAAGTGCACACATTAAGGGGTCGACCCTAGTTTAAGATTCACCTCATGTACTTCTTAGCTGTATAACCTTAGGCAAGTTACTTACCTCTGCTCCTCAGTTTCCTCATCTATAAAATGTGCATAGTGATGGTATATACCTCATAGAGATATTGTTAAGATTTAATAAGATAACATGTTTTTGTATCACCTTTCACATATACAGCAAGTACTCAATAAATGGCAGCTACAGTTTGCTAACTTTTGCTCTTCCTACTAAAGCACAGTTGAGTTGTTCAATCTTGTTCCCCTTCCCTACCATTACTCAATTGTATTCTTCCCCTCCTTATTGCTCCCATTGCCTTGTGTTCAAATGTTGTCACTGTACCTACTACTGTGTAATTACTATTTTACTTAACTGATCTCTCCAGGCTCAGAAAGTAAGACACTGTCTTCATTTGGTATCCTAAGAATCTAACACAGGGTCCAGAAAGTAGGATTCAATACCTTCCTTGTGAATGTAAAAAGTTTAAAGTATAAATTCCATAGAAGAAAAATCTAAAAATCATGTGGGAGAAGATAGATTTTTCTTCTGTATTTCAAGAGAACCTGCCACTGCTTCTCACTTGTATAGACTTGATTATGAAATCATGAAGCTGCATATTTTCATGGAAAATCTCAAGTCACTTGTATGGTTGGATAGAAAAGTTCCTTAAAAATCACAAGAATGTGTCTATGAATGATCTTCCTAGAGGGTGATGTTTAAACTGGGTCTTAAAGGATGAGTAAGAATGTTATGGGAAAGAAGGGGCTTTCTAGGCAGAGTAACGTGTACAGCCAGATAAAGAAAGTGAAGAACTGAAAGCAGAGAATTATTTAGGTGAGCTCTAGGAAATGAGGTTGGAAAAGATGAATAAGAAAAATTCTAAAGGGCTTCCTTGAATGTCATGCTGAGTTTAGACTTGATAACATAAACAACTGTAAACCACTCAGATTTAATTTCATTAAAAAAAAAACATTGACAGCAGTGTAAAGGAAGGACTGAGGGCAGCAAGGGAAAAGAGAAAGGGAGATCCGTTAACAGACTACTGCAATAGTCCAGGTAAAGAACAACTGGAGAGAAGACCTAAAACTTACAGTAATCAACAGAAGTTAGTTGTGGGAAGCAGGGGAGATAAAGAGGGGAAAATTAAAATTGTGAACCAAAATAGTATGTGTAGCTAGTTAGATGGTAGGCTAATTATAGAGAAAAGAGGCTTAAATATTTGGGGAGAATATCTTTCCATCTGTCAATGGACTAGTGAGATCTGATGCACACTATGTTTGAGAAATGAGAGAGAAACAAGATGGCTTTATCAAGCACTTAAAATATATTAAGTGGCAGTGATTCTTTTACAATAAATTTGGCAGTGTAAGAAAGCAGAGAAGGCAACAACTGACAATGTGCAGGCAGGAACAAGGGCAAGGACATTTTGGTTCTTGAGGTTTTTTGTTTTATTTTTTAATATGGGGTAAAATTTGATCATGTGTGCAAGCTACGGGGAAGGAGTCAATGGAGAGGGAAAGATCTAAGATGCAAGACTGAAGAATTATGCTGACTGAGCAGGTCTCCAAGATGGTAGAAGTGAAAAGGTGGTAGACAGGTTGTCCTTTCGTTGGAAAAGTGAGTAGGTTTTCTTCTGAAGCTGGATGACGGAAGAGAATGAGACGAAGGTTATCTAAGATGTTATAGATCAGTTTAGTAATGGTGGGAGGGAAGCAGAGGGAGTCCAAACCACACACCACTATTTTTTGCAGTAGAGTAGGAAGTTAATTATCTGCTGGGAATGGATGTTCAGGAATGGAGTAAGAAGTCTCAGCAGCCTCTTAGGTAAAGAAGCAAAGATCATCAGTAAAGACACATGCCAGAAAGCAATCCTACCTACTTTTGCCCCTTAGAACTAGTGTCTGGCTTGAAGAACTGGAGTCTCTAGCTACACTGGGTTACGTACAAAAAGGATGAAGTCAGATCTCTCCTCAATGGACACTAAAATAAAGGTCTGGGGTAGAGTGGGGTGTCCACAAGTTGTACTTAGTTCTGACCCAACGCAATCCCCCTAATGAATTTAAAAGTGGCCTTATAAGAATGGAAGAGGCCAACTTAGAATTAAAAAGGGCAGGGCAGTTTAAAGTCAATAACATCCAGAATTATGGCCTTAACAAGCACCTAAGTACCATGAGGGAATAAAAACAAGATATCCCTACTGTCTATATACTACATCTTAAGTCATTAAGAGACATACTGACATACTGTCTGAAATTTGTCTATATGCCAAAGAGGGCTTTGCAAACTGCTTGGTGTGTAGTATAGGCTCATACTTGCTTGAAATGGAAAAAAGTGGTTTTGACAGGCCTTGAACTAGCCAAACCCCTTGCTTTACCTTTTAACCTACAAGTGTGATATATATTCAAATATGCACATTAATTCTCCTAATCTGAATCTCAAACCATGAGATTGACCAGATTCTGAGTCTTATGCAACTGCTCCATGGATTTGGAATGAAATATTCAGAGGTGGGTGTAGCTTGATTTCTGTTTCAACACTGTATAATCGTAAAGAGGAAAAACCCAGATTCTATTGTCTTAGTCTAGGTATATCAGAATCAAATTTCCTGGGTGCTCTGTATTTTCTACTTTAGTACTACAATGAGTTTAACAAAACTGATCCTACACTATTATTCTTGTTCTTTTTATCACAGAAGAAATATCTACACTAGTATACAAAGTGAAAGTAACTTTATGATAACCCAAGACGATATTATTAAAATCAGACTGAGAGATAAGATATGAAAATAGAAATGTTTATCTTGTATAAAAAGGTAGGCAGAAACCTAAGACAGGGAAAGTGATTGAAAATTATGCCACAAAAAGAACATTACTATATTAAAAGCAATGCCTATATACTAGCTATAGCTGAATTCATACTATGAAATGCAAATCTAGTTTTGCGAATATGCGTGATTATTTTGGATTTAGAATATGTATCAATTTGGGGGGAAAGTCATCTATCTCTCATCTTTAGAACTTGGCCTTTCAAATCTCCATGAACAACTCAGTGACAAAGATAAAACATCTGCCAAAACACAGATGACAGCATGAGCAAGTGTCCTAATGGTAGGCATTTAGTGTAATGCTTTAAAAAACACTGCCTCTAGACTGCTGGGGCGGCCCCATAAATACGTACTTTTAAATAGGCATTTACTTCCTTAAAATGGCAACTTGTAATTAAAAATAATATATTCTTTAAGAGAAAACATTTTTATTTAAACAAGCCAAATTACTACTAGACTTAGACGATGGAAAAAAATTTTATTTAATCATATGTACCCTGATTTAAAAAAAAAAACAACTCATTTTGAACAAAGAGGAATCATTCAACCACTGAAAAGACAGTTCACAACACCATCATTATTTATTTAAAGTTTTATTTGCTAGCTAATAAATACCACTGAAACTATGCACTTTTAAACAAAGTATAATTGTACATGAGTGGGGGCAGAGTGGAATGCAACATAGTAATTCATTTCACATCTTGCATACCATTAAGGTGCCTTCCAGTTTGCCTGTAATTGCATGAAATGAGTATCTGAGATAACTTCTTTTACCACAAAGGCCACTAACACTGTAGAGGGTGCCAGGAAAGGTCCCTGATTCCCGGGGCTTAATTAACGAAACTGAAAGCAAAATCAAACTTCAATACAAATGAATGTACAGATCCATCACTTTCTTACTCATTCTAGATTCTAAAGTCAGTCTCTCAAACCCTTGGTTTATAACTACCTATGTGCTGAGACATCTTTCTTCATACATGTCCTTTTGAAGCTATATATTAAACACATACAAAAACATATTTTATAACAAATACTATCCTGTTTTACAGTCCACACTTAACACAACTCAACTGCATAATGCCTGTATTTTGCTTTTTTTTTAGGTTAATATTAACTAAGTAAAATAAAATACTATAAATTCTGAATTCGATGACTCTAGGGATTCGAACACATTAAAATTGTGTGTAAACGAGTGCTAATTACATGATATTAACTATTACTAAAGAAGGCCTAACATAAATCCTATCACTCAAAGTACCATTCCAACAGTTCTAAACTACGTGATTTAAATCTAACCTACCTGTTTTAAAAATAGTATATGGTTTATACTTTTTACTTTTTAGGCAGTTTGAATAAATGATACTGTATCACTTCATATCTGGTTCAATATGAAGGCGTTCTGAAATTATTATGCGATTATACAACACATCTCTGAAAGCAGTATTATTTTAGCTATAATGATAGTAAAGGCAACAAGCATACTAAACGTGATGACAGGAAACACTAACATCAACCATTTAGATAACGGAGACCTGGATTCACAGTCCCAACATCCAGGATGCTCGGGGAGGGAGGAAAGTGGTAAGCAGAGACTTAAGGGCATCTTGGAAATACCTAAAGTCACAAGCCTTTAGGAACGGCACACCGAGGCTAATAATCAGTTTAAAATCGAATTAATTTAGCATTCTAGAATAAATGTAACAATTGCTGTCACTGGTGCTCAAGCTGAATTCTGAATCTTATAAAAGTTCACAAAAGGCTCTATGGATGTGAAGTGTGACAGGCACTCACTGTAGAGCTACGAATGTTTCTATTCCTTGCTCAGTTTTTACAGACGAAGCACACGTTTTACAAAAGCGAAATGGATTCCAAAAGCTCGGGGTGGGGGTGGGGGGGTGGAGGTTCTTTGGCGTCGAAAAACACCAAATCCCATTCTGCTGCACATGTTTTGACTGGAGGTTACTGTCTTCCTATTTCAGGCGAAAACCAGATTACTTTTAAAACGGTTCCCCCAAATAAAGTGGGAAAAACTTCAACGTACAATTTAGAATGTATGCAAGTGGCTGATGGGGCGTGAGGGTCACGAGAAAGGAAGAGTTTCCAGCAAGCTTATTTTTAGGATTAAAAACGACAGCAAAAATTACACGGCCGGAAGATTCTTCTGATTGAATGCTGAGTTGAAAATGAAACTTAATTGTGTCCTTTACGTCCTCTTCGCTCCTATGTTCATGTGGGAGGCAAACGGCAGAAACCCCTTCTCACCGACTTCGCCAAAATGCGCACTTCCATCGCAAGAGGCCCGGGCCCTCCCACTCTCCCTCCCTCAACCCCAAATGCGTCTAAGCACTGAGAAGGGAGAGGGGTGCGAAAGAAGGGGATCCCTAGCAGCTGCAGCCCCTTGCCTCTGATCGCGCCCTTTCTTGCTAGTTAATTTTTGCGCGAGGTGCGCGGTTTGGAGTCTTCCTGTGTGTGTGCATTTGGAGATGGAGAACCGGGTGGAGGAGATGAGCCCCGCTCTCACCCAGGGGGAAGAAGACGACCAGGGAAAGGAAGGGAGGAAGAAGGGGGGCGCCCGATTCCCCGTGGGGCCCTCCCACGTCTGCACTTCGGGCGCTCAGGGCCCGAGTGTTCTGCGCCCCGGCCACCCTCTTCAGGGCGCCGCCGGGCTGGCTGGGGCGCAGCCCACACGCCCGCGGGGGCGAAGCGACAGCAGCCGCAGGGCTGGGAGCGAGGAGCCACTCACCGCAGCACGCCGAGCCCAGCAACAGCGCCGCTACCAGGGGCCACATCTCCGCGCCCGCCGCGGGGTCGCCGCCGCCGCCGCAGGTGTCCGGAGCAGCAGCCGCCGCCGCCGTTACAGGCAGGACCGACCGCCGCCGCGCGTCACAGGCAGGACCCACTGCCCAGGCTGCACGGCCGCGCGCACGCGCGCTCCCACTGCTTCCCGCCCGCTCCCCCGCCTGCTCCCCGCCCGCGAGAGCCGCGCACGCGCACTCGGCCCCGCCCCGCAACCGCTGCTGTTGACGCGGCGCCCTCCCCAGTCGCAGGCTCCAGACCCGGGGCCCGCCTGCCCGCTCCACGGAGGCCGGATGCCTGCTCCAGGGCGGTGGCACGCGCCGCGCTTCCAGGTCACGTCCTGTCGCACCCGCCCGCCCCTGGGGTCCGCGTGCTCGCCCGCCGCAGGAGGCTGAACCCTGTGTTCCCACGCTCGCCGGGGACCTCATTGCACCCGTTCCTGTCCGCGGGTCGGTTCCTGCCTTTCGCGCGGCGCTGGGCCCCACTGTCCTCTCTCTCTACTTTTCTCCTCTTTGCTTTCACTCCCACCCTCGCGCTTCAGGGGCCGGGTCCCGTCCCGCCCCAGCCCGCGTCTCTCCCTGGACCCGACGTCCGGCTGCGCGCGTGGACCAGGACACCTAGGCTTTCACCAGCGCCCGTTTCCTCCGGACGCGGCCGTCTAGCGCCGAAGCGGTCCCTGAGCCCGAGGCCGCCACGCCCAGGGCAGGGCGGTGGTCGGGTACCTGCCCGCAGGGAGCTTCCACTCGCCCCTCGCGGGCTCTGCGTTCGGCTCGTCTACTCGCTCTGCTCTTCCCTATGCGGTTCTCTTCCCTCTTTCTCACTTGGTTCTTTAGTGTTTTCATCCTCTGATCAGGGTTAATCAAACAAGTTCCATTCACGGTGGTAAACATTGTTACCTGTGAACACCGCCACCACCGGGACTAGCGAGCATTGTCGCAAACAGGCATTAGCAGCGTATCCAACACATCCCCACCAGCAAGGTTATTGAGCTTGGTTTGTGACTGCCCCATGTGCAGCCCTCTGCGCTGCGCTTGGGTTTAACATGCTTGAAAAATGGGTTCGAAATGTGGCCGCAAGCCACAATAGGGACAAGGCTTTTGAATTTATCGCTGAATCACACAGGCCACATCATTCATCCTGAAGCAAAAGTCTTTTAAAGATACTTTTAACCGTTATCCTAACTGATGTACTCTCTTATCAAAAAGTCAGGCTCTGGTGGCTGCTCTAATGGAGTGCACATCCTGTCCACCTCCTTGATTGTTTTCCTCCTACCTCCTGGGAAAGAAAGCAATTTCCCACCACAATACCCCACTTCTCCAAATCCTCTACACAGTGCGGCTCCTCCCAAGCATCCCATTGCCACAGAAATAAAATCCAGCGTATGAAAGTGGCACTGTCTATGACACTCTGTACCAGTGTATTGTATACTATCGAGCTTCTTCCTGTAATTGCTTTTTTGTGTGAACCTCTTCCCCACAGCATTATCAATTCTTTTAAATCCGAGAGCATTTTAAGTATTCCCTCCTCCAAGACTTTCCATTGAGCTCGGCAAACAGAAGGGGTTTAATAAATGTGTTGATGCGGCGTGAGGCAGGCATTGCTCTAGTGAAATTTGATTGCTTTTTTAATGATTGAAAAATAAAAACAATTGCCTGGCAGACATCTCACTAAAACAATGGTTAATAATTATGGTGGTAATGATTTGAATGGCAGCCTTGACACCCCGAGGCAACCAAAGGGACTCATCGATTCTCCTCCAACTGCTGCTTATGTGGATACAAAAGAATCATCCACCAGACTTTGAGCATTAGGGACATTGTGTATCACAGAGCAGCTGGTTGGCTAAATAAGGCTGTCAGCTGTCCCTGATACCAACCAACCCCCCTAAAGCTGAAGAGTGACTAGAAAGGACTGTCCCCAACCTTCAGAGGTGGAGATCGGGTGATGTTCTGTTTTACACTGGGAGCTACTGAGCTATATGCTTAACGTCTTTTTGTGCAGAAAATGGAATGAGAGGCCACCTGGGTGACCACTGCTGCTCTTGGGAATCTAGCTGGGGTATGTTTTGGTGGTGGGGCAAAAGCAGGCATATCCCAGGAGAGACAGTCCAAAGCAGCCTGCCTAGGTTTGATTATCCTCTCTCTGAGATAACCTTAAGCTCTTTTCAGTATTTAATCATTTTAAAGGTTTGCCTTTTAACTTTTCAAAGCATTTTAATTTGGATGTTGAGCTCATCTTATCTGTATGTAAGGAGTTTCTTGGGTAGAGAGGGAGGGGATAATACATATTAGAATGTTTTGAACACAGGAAGTACACATTAGCTATATCACCTAAGTTAATCTTCATAACAACCTCAGAAAGGATAAATGTTATGATCTCCCTTTTTGAGATGAGGAAACAAAGGGAAAGAGGAATGGTGAGCACTTTGCCCACAGTTATAAGTGACACTGCTCTCTCTCTTGTCTCTCTCCCTTGTTCTGGTTTTCATCCTTTTTTCTTTTTACCCTATAATAGCAAAGTTGCTACAGTTTCCCCTTTACAGATAAATAAACTTAAAAAAATCACTCTTGTCACCTTTATAGATAAGGAAAGTGAGGCTTGGTCACAAGCTCAGGGAGGGACGGTGGTTGGACTGAAGTCTCCCTGACTCCATGGCCAGCGAAAAAATTCACAAACTTCCTCTCTCAATGCATAAAAAATTTCCCTTGCCCTCATTTCTGTCTCAACGATACATCTACTTTTATCTTCCTCCCCACACAACATCAAGATCCTGCCACATAGTAGGTATTGATATGATAGTATCTTTAAATGTTTATGTAGATACAATTGTATCCTTATTGTAACTTCATTCAGCAAATGTTTTGCCCCATGGTGGTGTGTCATGCAACGACATGAGACAGTGCTGTCTCCTGGTGCCCCAAGGGGTTGGCTTAGAACTGTATGTGCCTACCTACTCATAGTCTGTGCTTTGTGTAGGGCCAGATGCATCTTTCAACGTAAGGGAACATAACAGCAAAGGATCCCACAGTAAATCAAGGCCCATGATAATGCCAGTATAAGTTAAGTGCACTTCTCTGTGTTTTAGTCTTACTTTGGTGCATATCAGTTACCATCTTTTATTGAAATTATGTTTATATAGCTGTCTTCGTGTTCAGTAATAACTGTTTCCTATACTGTAAGCTCAATGAGGGGAGGGACCATATGAGTCTTCTTTACTGCTAGCCCCTTTGCCTGACACATAGTATGTACTCAACAAATCGTTGTTAAAAGAATAAATAGAATGAGTGAATAAATGAATGACTGAATGAGTAAATAAACCTCTCAGGGTCAGGAACCATATCTTCAATCAGTGTCTGACAAAGCACCTAGCATAAAAGGGTGTTGTGTAAACATATGTTTTATCTTTTATTTTTTGTTTGTTTGTTTGTTTTGAGGCAGAGTCTCGCTCTGTCGCCCAGGCTGGAGTGCAGTGGCATGATCTCGGCTCACTGCAAGCTCCGCCTCCCAGGTTCACGCCATTCTCCTGCCTCAGCCTCCCGAGTAGCTGGGACTACAGGTGCCCGCCACTACGCACGGCTAATTTTTTGTATTTTTAGTAGAGATGGGGTTTCACCGTGTTAGCCAGGATGGTCTCGATCTCCTGACCTCATGATCCACCCGCCTTGGCCTCCCAAAGTGCTGGGATTACAGGCGTGAGCCACCGTGCCTGGCCAACATATGTGAATGAAACTATTGAACTAACCTTGGAGCTGACCTGACATATTAGAGGTTCTTAGCATCATTAAATTCCTAATTTTGACTTATCAGTCATCAGCTGGTTGTAGTTTCAGAGTATTATCTCTTTCTTCTTAGTGTCTCTGAATATGTGCTTTTTTTTGTAATTAAGATTCTTCACTTGTTAATACTTCTGGCCAATGGAATGCAAACTAACATCTGTTGCATGGTCAGGCAACACTAGCAACACTGGATTATTCCATGCCTGGACTATGCTACTTTCAGGCTTTTGTGCTTCAATTACGCTGTTTGCTCTGCTTCTCATAATGCTCCCTCATGTTTTCTTCTTTGCTCCTCAACTCAGAGAATTCTAGCTCATTCTTCAAGGCCAAGATCAAATATCACTTCCTCCAAGAAGCCTTTCTCAACCCTACTTTTCCTCTTTGCCATGATTCTCCATCATTTCATAGGTCTAGTTATCTCTCCCATGATGCTTTGTTCATACTGCTAACAAAATGTGTCAGTAGATATTTGTTTCTACATAATAGTTTCCTCTTCTATCACATTAGCTTGGAGAAAATGAAATTTGTCCTGAGTATATTTGCATGTCTGTATTAGGGTTCTCTAGAGAGACAGAACTAATAGGATAGAGAGATAGGTGGATTGGCTCATGTGATTAAAGAGGCTGAGACGTTCCTCGATAGACCATCTGTAAGCCTGGAGACACAGGGATGCCAGTAGCATGGTTGTCCAAACTGGAGGGCCTCAGAACCAGGGAAGCCCTTGGTGCACCTCTCACTCTAAGGCTGAAGACCTAAGAAGCCAGGAGGCCACTGGTGCAAGTCTCAGAGTTCAAAGGCTGGAGAACCTAGAGTTCTGATGGCCAAGGACAGGACGAGAAGGGTGTCTCAGCTCCAGGAGAGAGAGCAAGAGAGCCTTTCCTCTGCCTTTTCACTCTATCCAGACCCCCAGCCGGTTAGATGGTGCCCACCCACATTGAAGGAGGATCTCCCCAACTCAGTCCACGAACTCACATGCCAATATCCTCTGGAAATACCCTCATAGACACACTCAGAAATAATGATTTAGCACCCATCTCTTAATCCAGTCAAGTTAATACCTAAAATTAACCATCACAATCTCCAAAGTCAAACATAGTGCCTGGTGGAGACCTACGTGTGTCGAATCAATCAAGAAAACTTACAGTGTGGTATGTAGTATACAGAGTCACTTTAGCCTAGGTTTGAGTTATAGGTCAAGCCACTTACTACCTGTTAACCTTGGACACATTATTTAAACTTTCTGAGCACTTGTTTTCTCATTTGTAAAGCGAAGATGTTAAAAATAATATAAATTAACTTTTGAACATGGCTTGAGAATGTAATAAGTTAACACCTTTACAGTTATGTAGAGCAGTGCCTGAGGCACAGTAGGCACACAATAAATATTAGCCCTTATTATAATAATCATCTTATATAGTGAGATTGGTCTCCTAGAAGGGCAGTGAAAATATTATCAAAAGAATCACCAATTGCTGCTCAGGAGCATTGAAGGAGCACCTTGAGTTGGAGAAGTGTCAACAATTTTGATTGAAGCTAGATGAGCGTGTCTATGCCTAGTGGGCAGGCCTTAATTTGCTGCTTCTTCACATTTCACTGGCGATTAAATGCTGAGGGACCCATGTCTCTGATACCTGGCTTGGAGCCCAGTCTCCTGGGATGCTATTTCAACTTGACCCAGCTATAAAAGCATAGGAACCCCAGTCATCAGATAAAGCAGTAGAGCAACGAAGGTCTGTGCTGTCTGGTCAAGGGTTAGATTTGGATGGTTAGGGAGCTGGAAGATATTGGTATGGGATTGTGGGGTTGGAGAGATGGATTTGGCTTAGGAGAACAGAAGGAAGGCTCCAGCAGCAGGAAATCATTTTCTTGCTAGCCTGTGTTCCAATTAGGGGCAAATATTAGAAGCAGGAACTGCCTCAAGGTAGGAGGATAATAGGACTGAGGGTTTTAGGTAAGGGATATCCTGCCACAGAGATGACAATGTGATCTGGTATGCGTTTTCCTCTGCATGTCAAATGAATAACAAGGATTAATTTGCTTCCGCCACAAGATGCACAACATTCTCTACTCCTCCCTCTGCTGTGGCTGCTGGAGGCCACTCATGTAGGGCACCCATATTCATGACAGCTTGAAAGCACTAGAGAAAGCCAGCTTCTATATTACATTGCAAAATTGCAGCAGGCTTATTTCTTTGAGAGCACATACTGTTTTGAGTCCTGAGAAGTCCCTTTTGTATCTTGCCTACCTCTCCTCTTTGAGAGCCTGTAACATACGTGCAGTGGGCATAAACCACACACCAAGCCCTCGCTGTGCTAGTGGATTTACTTTCGATTGCTACTACAACAAATTACTACAAATTTAGGGGCTTAAAACAACACCCATTTATTATCTCACAGTTCTGTAGGTCAGAAGTCCAGTAGGCGCAGCTGGTTTCTCTGTTTCAAGTCTCACAAGACTGAAATCAAGGCATTCGCTGAGCTGCTTTCCCTTCCGGAGGCTCTAGGGGAGAGTCCATTTCCAGGTTAATCCAGGTAGTCGGCAGAAATCAATGTCTATAGAACTGAGGTCTGTTTCCTTTGCTGGCTGCCATCTGGGCATCTCCCTTGGTATTTAGAGGCCTCTTTTGAGTCATTGTAGGTAGTCTCTGCACACCCAAAACTAGGAATGGCATATTAAATTCTTCTGACCCTGGATCTCTTCTGTCTCCGCTTCTTGTGCTGCATCTCTATGACCAACTCTTCTGCCTTCCACTTCTGCTTTTAAGTGATTAGATGGGCCCCCTTGGTAATCCAAGATAATCTTCCTATTTTAAGGTCTGTAATCTCAATCACATCCACACTGTCTCTTTTGCCACGTAAAGTAACATATTCACAAGTTCCCAGAGATTAGGGCTTGGAAATCTTTGGGGGACATTATTCTGCCTACCACAGCTAGGTTATTTTCATATTTTTCTCCCTTAATCCATGTAACAGCCTCGTAAAGAAAGCATTGTTATACTCATCATATACGAATAGTAACTGAGGTTCAGAGAGGTTCCTATTACAACTGATAAACGGGGGAGCTGGGGTTTGAATCTTGCTTCAGAGCTCACACTCCGTCCTCTGCCAGAGATGGAGGGGTGGAAGAAAAGCCATCATGTGACCTGCCACTCTCATTGCATTTCCCACCATTGTTTCACTAGGGCTGCTTCTCAACTTAGCAAGGTCGTCACTCTGTCCACCAAAGATTTCTAACTCTCCTCCTGGGTATGTGGTATGTGTGTCTCCTGGGTCTCATCAGAACACACATGGCACGCTCAAATGAAGTTATTGAGAAGAGATTAATAAAAGGACTGTTTACAAGGTTGTGAGTGGGGCAATGTAAAACCAACAAGGAATGACAGAGCATGTTGGCTAACAACAGCTATTGCACCCCACGCCTGGAGGAGTATAGGGAAGAAACAGTTACTAGAACCCCAAGAGAAAGGAGAAACTGAAGGAGGGGATGCCTGGCTGGAGCTGTGGCCTTCAATAGTGGAACACCGCTACAACCAGCCTGGCAGGGAGGTAGGTGGCAAACTAAATGACTTCACTCTCCTCCCTCCCTCTGAACTCCCACTATTGGCAAATCTTAATGAGGAGCCAGAGGAAAGGGGAGTCTGTTTATGCAGTTCTTGAATTTTAACTTTCCAGGCTCAGAGCAGAGTATAGAAAGGTAGAGGGTGGATCTGAGAGAGACTATCCAGCACTGTGAGACTGTCCTTCCCTGTGTCATTGAAATCGGGTATGGCGGTGGGATTCGCTTGGGCCAGTGTGTTAGTTTCCTAGGACGACCATAGCAGATTACCATAAACAGGAGGCTTAAAACAAGAGAAGCTTATTCTCTCACTATTCTGAGGGCCACGCTCTCTCCGAAGGCTCCTAAGAATCCTTCCTTCCTAGCCTGGCAGCCTTTGGCATTCCTTAACTTGAGCTGCATCACTTCAGGCTCTGCCGCTGTCTTCACAGGGTCTTCTCTGTTTCTGTGTGCTCTCCTCTTCATATAAGGACATCCATCATTAGATTTAGGGACCAACCTAGATATCATCTTGACATCCTTAACTAAATATACCTGCAAAGACCCTATTTCCAAATAAAGATCACATTCTGAAGTTTGGGGTGGACATGAATTTGTGGAGGGAGGCGGTGTGGATAATATTCAACTCACGAGGCCAGGCACGGTGGCTCACGCCTGTAATCAGAGCACTTTGGGAGGCTGAGGCAGGCAGATCACGAGGTCAAGAGATCGAGACCATCCTGGCCAACATGGTGAAACCCTGTCTCTACTAAAAATACACAAATTAGCTGGGCGTGGTGGTGCATGCCTGTAGTCCCAGCTACTCGGGAAGTACTGTAGTACTCAGCTACTGAGGCAGGAGAATCGCTTCAACCCGGGAGGCAGAGGTTGCAGTGAGCCGAGATGGCGCCACTGCACTCCAGCCCAGCGCTAGAGCGAGAGACTCCGTCTCAAAAAAAAAAAAAAAAAAAAAAAAATTCTGCTTATGATAACCACGTACATCTGGACCAAAGTTTCTAGGCCTAGCATGCAATTTTTTCTTTTTTCTTTCCTTCTGCCATGGCAATCAGCAATGCTCAGACAGCAGCTGCCCCCTCAGCCTGGGTCCTGGAGTGAGATGAGGCAGAGCAGAGCCCTAGCTGACCTGCAAAGGAAACATAACATAAATAGAAATAAATGTGTCATCTCTTCTGAAGTATGCTGTGTACGGTAGTTAATGACCACAGCCCATCCCTTCAGAGATAGTGCCAGCAGCCATAGTAACTCCCTAGTTCCTTCCTTTCACACAAACACCCTTGAATTGACCGAAACCATTCTACAGACTCATTGTTTCTTTTAATCCCAACCCCATTGGCAACATTTTACTGCACCGTAATTCCTCTCTGGGGCCAAGGTATAGAAAGAAGTAGATCTCCAAAGACTGCCTTTTGTATCCTTAGAGGGACAAGATTTGTAGGAAAAAGAAAATGAAGGCTAGAGCACATGGGTGTTCTCTGAAATGAGCTGCAGAGTAGCTGTCTGCATTTCAGACTGACAATTTCAAATGAATCCTCCACCAGAAGCCGCCAGGAATGTCTGCTGAGAAAACTGTTTTCTGCCTACACAGGGCTCTCTAGGTGCACCCTTCCCTGCCCTGCTATGACCACTTGTGCAAAACCACTTGAGAAACTGCACCTCATGAAGTTTGTTTATTGATGCTACTACGTGAGCCTCTCTGAGTCCATCTGCCAACCTTCTTTTCTCTAATACTGATCTCATTGCTATGGGTGTGGGCCAATGGACTCAAACTATCTTTAGGGGGGCCTTAAAAGCAAAATGGATAAACTAGGTTCAAACTGTCAGACAAGACAGACAGACATGTCTGGAATCATGAGAAAGATTGCCCGATTCCAGGCCCCGCCCACCTCACTAATCCATCTTGAACAGCCCCTGGGTTTGACCGCTCCCACACGCTAACTGCTGCTGCAGGAGCTGCAACTTCCCTCATCTCTTCCGCAACCACAAGCCCTGGGAACCGCAATGGTAGCAAGAAAGAAAAATGTTATATCAACACTGAACTTAGAGGGGTGGTTCTCAAAGGATGCTACTGGGGTTTACAGCATCTGCAGCACTGAGAAACTTGGAAATGCAAATTCTTGGGCCCAGCCCTAAACCTACTAAAGGAGACACACTGGAGTGGGGCCCAGCAATCTGTGTTTTATCGAGTGTTCCAGGTGATTCTGGGGCATGCTAAAGTTTGTGAGCCACTGACTTAGTGTCTGACCTCAGAAGACAAGTGGCCTGCCTGTCACATGATTTATCTTGGTAAAAGTATCACCAGTTCCTCTGTCACCTTTGCTTGGTCAGGAGGAATCCACCTGTAGTAGAGTGGAGAATCCCTGTGAACCCAAGTTGTATCCTGGCCTCCTGGGTGTTTTATATTAGCTTCAGGTCACAAGTGCCAGTCGGTGTTGTGCAGCACCCAGGAGACAGAAGCAAGTCAGCTACAAGTGAAGCCTCTCATGTGGACAGCAGGTTCTCTAACATCTCCTGTTAAAGCAGCACATATTCTACCTTTGTTCTGATAGAAACCAATGTGTACTTCAAAGTGGCTTGAGGATCTCTTTAATTCTATAGTTTTGGTGAGTTTAGAAATACTTTAAGAAACTGGTTTCACTGTAGTTTACAAAATGCCCTTTTTGTGTGTCCATCAAAGTACTTTGTGTCTGACATCTGTGCTAATCTCTTGTGAGTTTCCATTTACAAGATGCCATTTTGATAAAATGCAGAAAGTGTCCATATGGTTACACAATTGTGTCTCTCTGTCTGGAGAATGAAGGAAATGAAACTGGGGGATCCCCTAGAGGAACGACAGATCAATAACCATTTCACCAGGTGGCAAATTCAGTGGGTCCTATGAAGCAGTGTGTGCAGAGGGGAGAAATGAGTCATACTCTCTCATAATTCAAAAGAAAATGATATGTTCATTTGTGACAGCCACCTGGGCTAGACCACCTGGAGCTGTTTCTGGCACACTAAAGTAAAGAGCTCATCCTAACCTACCCTGTCCTCGAAAGTAGCATTCTCTACATAAGGCTTGCATAAGTGCTGCATTGGGCTCCTGATAGACAAATCAGTCAGACCTAACCGATGAACTCCACTTCTTCAGTAGTTTGGATAATTCTCTTAATTTTGTCTGATAGTACTGAATTGCCTGAGAAAACCCACTGGTTTCTTGCACAGTACAGTCTGTGAATCAGGATTATTTTTTGTGGTTTTTATGTGAAAAAGTTGTACTTTTTAATCTTTTCCTCCTCTCCACTTTCAGAGCTCTCAGTGTGGTTTGGAGTGTGGTATGGCCCCAGAAGGCCAATAGAATCCTGTGATTTGCGCTCTAATAATCTGTATCCTGCCTGCCTTTTTGGGGTCTATTAGTCCATTTTCACACTGCTATAAAGACATACCCAAGACTGGGTAATTTATAAAGAAAAGAGGTTTAATTAACTCGCAGTTCTGCATGGCTGGGGAGGCCTCAGGAAACTTACAATCATGGCAGAAAGGGTAGAGGCACATCTAACATGGCAGCAGGCGAGAGAGGCAAAAGTGAGTAGTGAAGAGGGAAGAGCCTCTTATAAAACCATCAAATCTTGTGAGAACTAACTCATTATCATGAGAAATCATGGAGAAACCACTCCCATGATCCAATCACCTCCCACCAGGTCTCTCCCTAGACATGTGGGGATTATGGGGATTACAAGATGAGATCTGGGTGGGACACAGCCAAACCCTATCAGGGTCTGAGCCTTATGCCTATCTGGCCTCATTTTTCTTCCAAGAAATGCTTTGTGCTAGTGGGACTGTAAGCTAGACAAAAAGGTATCAAAGTGCTAAGGGAAAGAATATATGTAAGTGGCATGCATATCACAAGTGACAGCTTTTTTCCATGGAAGTTAAGATGGTCTCAGTGTCCCTAATTGGCACCTGCATATCTGTGTGCATGCACACTCTGAGGGTGTCATACATGCCTGAACCCACCCTGCAGAGACAGAGTGGACAGCTGTCCATGGGCTGTGATTGGATTTTGCTTCAGGGACCTCTCGACAACTACCCCGGCTGGTCCAGGACAACTGCCTGCTGGAAATTCTCACAATCACTTATCTCTTTGGACTTAGGCATTGAAAGTTGTTTAAATGCAAATTATTTTCCACAAGGTAGAGACATTATCATTCATTAATATTTGGGCTTTAATGAGTCTATCAACTTAGAAGAGAATGCGCCAGGGTCCTCTTTTGGTAATGGGAGCCAAAAAGCCAAACAGATGTGTTTTAATAACGACAGGTCGAAGAGGAAAGAGTAAGTTCTGAAATGTTGTAGAAACTAAAGCCACAGACTTAAGGAATAGCATGATGACACCGGTGATATGGTAAGACACGAAATGAAAAAAGGGAAGTGGGAGAGTGGAAGATAAAATGCCTTTATAAGTCCACAGGTCATTTCTGCCTACGGCTCCTAGTGACTATCCTAAGCACAACTGTTTGTGGAGACTCTTGCTGAGACACTGATACATTTTACCTCTGCTGTAGCATTATTGCTTCAAAGGATTTATTCATTTATTAAACACCTGGAGCATGCCTATACACCGTGGGCATATCAGGAAAACAAAACAGGCAAAACCCTCGCCCTCATGGAGCTTACATTTTAGTGGTGAGATGGGGAGAGACAACAGACACAATAAATAAGGAAAATATGGTATTAAATGGTGTTAGATGCTGTGGAGAAAAGTAAAGCAGTGAGGGGGTGCTGTTTTAAATAAGGTGGTCAGAGAAAGCTCACTAGATGATAGCATTTGAGTATAAAGTGAGTAAAGGGTGGGCAAGCCAGGCAGATGTCAATGTAGAGATCGTTTCAGGCAGAGGGGAAGGCCCATGCAAGGCCCTGCAACAGGAGCATGCCTGGTTTTTACAGGAAGATCGGGGATCGGGGAGTGGTCAGTGTGGCCAGCCCAAAGTGAGAAAGAGGAGAACAGCAGCAGATGAGATCAGAGAGATCAAGGGGCAGGGGCGGGAAGGGAGGCGGGGATGGGGAAGTTCAGTTCACACAGGGCCTTAGAAGACTTTAACGCTGAGTGAGTTTTGAGCAGGACAATAATATTATTCAACTTGCAATTTAAATAGGCTATCACAGGGGTTAGCAAACTTTTTCTGTAAAAGAGAAGAGATGGTAAATATTTTTTCAGTCCGTGAGGTCTCTTGCAACTCCCTGACTCTGACATTATAGCATGAAAGAGTCACAGACAAGGTAAACTAATGAGTAGGGCTGTGTTCCAGTACAACTTTATTTACCAAAGCAGTTCATAGGACAGATTTTGCCCATGTTGACCCTTAGGCTATTGCAATAATCTGGAGGAGAGATGAAGGTGTTTTGGATCAGAATTGTAATAGTAGTGGAAGCAAGAAGGGGTCAGATACTGGCTATATTTTGAAGGTAGAGTCAGCAGGATTTGCTGTCAGACCAAATATTCCATGATTTTTGGTCTGAGCAGCTAGAGTCACACTGTTGAAATGGGGAAAACCAAAAGGCGAGGTAGGTAGGAGGAGAGGTATAAGGAATCCATTTGGGACATGAAAATTTGAGATTCCTTTAGGTAAAGGAATTGGATTCAGTGTTCCCTAACTCCCCTTCTAGCTCTAATATTCTATGACTCTGCAACTGTGAGAGAATGACGTCTACCCCAGTGGCTTCTGCTGTGATCATGTTCTTCAGGGAGACCTTCCACACTGCGTTACTCCATCCTTCCCAAATGCAATTGGTGATTATGTTGGCTAGAGATAAGTTGCTGGAAGGAAGAAATGCTGAAAGGGAGGCAACTGCCAGCTGAAACTAGCAGGGGGACTTGGAAGAGTGTCATAAACAGTATATGTGCCGGAGGAGGCTTTGAGGGCTGGAGGCAAATTCCTGTGTATATTAGTTTCTGGGAGGTTACTTGTAATAGAGTATTGTCAGTGGAGCAGGCTAATTTTTAACGTGTTTTCAGAGAAGAGCAATGCAACTTCTTAAACTTCACATTTACTCCATGGTCAAAATGGCCACACTTCCACTGTGCTCACCCTCTGTAGAGATGCCCTGGAGCCCCACATGGATTCCGATGGCCTCTATATGTCTGCAGGACACAGCCATGGTTTTTGTCACTAGCTTCCACAGGCAATTTCCTCTGTCTTCTCTCTCATCTCTCATCACTGGGAGATATGTCTTCTGTCTGCCCAAATTCTTTCCACCCAAAATGTGGCTGTGTGCCAGTGGGATTGTTTGCTCTACGGAGAGCCGGCAAACCACTTTGGGAGTGAGCTGATAGCAATATATTTAAAATATGAGCGTTTATCAGAAGCAGCAGATGGAGGCAGCAGAGTGGAGCTTCCAGAACTGAGGGCAGGGAGTGTTTCATTCAAGTGTAAAGGCGCACCATCTAGACTCAGCTGGCACCAGCTCATGAAACCAGTGAAGAGAAGGAGGGAAAAAAAAGGCCACCTTTGTGCTAGGTTCGGAAGGTCACAG
The DNA here is from genome assembly GCF_000001405.40 of Homo sapiens. Taxonomy (NCBI): domain Eukaryota; kingdom Metazoa; phylum Chordata; class Mammalia; order Primates; family Hominidae; genus Homo; species Homo sapiens. The sequence continues at coordinate 108,104,757 of NC_000003.12, forward strand.
CGTTCCCTGACCTTAAGTCCTCAGTGCCTCAAAGACAGCATTCACTCTACGACTGGAAAAAACAAAAACCTTCCCGGTTGCTCTCTTTAATATTTTTTACTTCCTTAAAGCCTAGTAAATAGAAAAAAAATTCTGAAGCTCAGAACAAATGGAAATATAGCCCATTTCATTTATGTATGCATGCATTAATTCATTCGACAAATGTTTGTTACATGGCTCAGACATGGCAGAATCTATGGAATACTCTGGGGCAGAGAACAATGAGGCAGAGAGATATGTTGTAATTATTAAAGATTAAACATGTTGAAAGTATTTTAATTTTAATTTTTTATCACTGTCTCCTAACCCACCCCTAAAAATAAAAAATATATTCACAGCCTCTTCCACTATTTGATCTAAAAGAAGTATATGTTTTAGTGGTAAATTTCCTCAGGGTACAAGTAACAAACTCAACGCATTAGTGGGAAAAGGACAACAATATTAATTTCAAATCACCAGTTTGAGAAGAGTACCATGATGGTAGCATCCATTTGGAAAGGTCAGTTTTAACAGCTGATGGGTGTCCAGTATGACAGGTGTCCTTATAAGAAGAGGACAGACAGAGATGAGGAAAAAATGTCATGTGAAGACAGAGGAATAGAGTGATGCATCTACAAGCCAAGGAATACCTGAGATCACCAAAAGCGGAGAGAGGCATAGAACCACAGCTTCTTCCCTAGAGCCTTCAGAGGGAACGTGGCCCTGCCAGTACCTTGATTTCAGACTTCTGGCCTCCACAACTGCGAGACAACAAATTTCTCTCTTTTCAAGCCAGAGAGAGGGAGACTCTTGCTCTGCTAACAGCTGAGTACACTAAAAAGGACTGGGTTAGAACTACATTTAGGGGAGCTGAGAGAGCACCGTGGAAGGAAAGAACCAGGAAATCCCCAGGGATGGAGAGGGAAACTGTGTCACTCTCAATTGACTTCCTTCCTTCCTTCCAATGAGGCTTGAAGGAAGCTTTAGAGTGTATCAGGCTGTCTTAGTTCATTTGTGTTGCTATAAAGGAATACCCAAGGCTGGGTAAATTATAAAGACATGAATTTTATTTGGTTCATGGTTCTGCAGGCTGTATAAGAAGCATGGTGCCAGCATCTGCTTCTGGTGAAGGCTTCAAGCCACTTGCACTCATGGCGGAAGGCAAAGGGGAGCTGATGTGTACAGAGATCACATGGCAAAAGGGAGGAAGCAAGAGGGAGGATACAAGAGAGAGGGGAGGGAGATACCAGGCTCTTTTTAATAACTAGCTCTCTCAGGAACTTATAGCAAGAGCTCACTTACCCCTCCTCCCCTAGGAAGGCCATTCATCTGTTCATCAGGAATGAGCCCCTATGACCCAAATAATTACCAGTAAGCCCCACCTCCAACACTGGGGATCAGATTTCAACATGAGGTTTAGAGGGTCAAATATCCAAACTATAGGCAGACCAATATTCTCAGTAGGAAAGGCATTGGCCTCTCGGGGAGTTTGGAAATTTTAGCGGTCATTACTAGTGATGACATCACTGATGGCAGGACAGCTCTGGCATTTGGTGGATGAAGGCCAGATATGCTAGATGTCCTGCTGTGCTATGGTTTAATCTTATACAACAAAGAATCATCCTGCATCCAGCATGATGTTTGAATGTCTCGCAAGATATCCATGTAGGTGAAAATGTGGTTATAATTATCTGAACCTAAAACCTAACTCATGTCACATATACACACAAAGCATACTTTACACAATTTTAATGAAAGCTGCATTTTCCAGAAATATGAATGCCTTATGAATCAAAGGAATATTTTGTTTAGCTATCTTTGGAACTTTGCCAAAAGCAGTTCACCATCTTGGAAAATCACATCACTGACTATCTCATTGCTCATGTATTTGTGTGCCCAATGTAATACACCTGAATCAGTCTTGTATCTGTCAATCCCCAGTGATCCTAAGCAAACATCTCATTACTTTGTTATGTCTTTGAGTATAGTTGTACCAACACATTTAAATAAAGAAATAGGGAGGGAGAGCAGTAGGACAAATACCTAACACATACAGGGCTTAAAACCTAGATGACAGGTTGATGGGTGCAGCAAACCACCATGGCACATATATACCTATGTAACAAACCTGCATGTTCTGCACATGTATCCTAGAACTTTAAGTATAGTTAAAAATAAATAAATAGATCTTTTATTTCACATTACTTGTCTTTTTAAATATTATAGTGGAAGCATTATATTGAATTTTTTAAGTTATGAGTATAGATAGTATAAGTTATCCATAACATTTATTCCAAGATTGTAAAGAGCAGGTTAATGTTATTTAATATATGCCAAGTGGAGCAATGGGTCTATAAGGATGAGAACCAGTGAGACGGGCAAAGTAGGAAGGAAGAACATTTTAGGCAGCACTTTAAAACTTTAACATGTACGTGAATTACCAGAGGATTTTGTTCAAATGTGGCTACTGCTTCAGTGGTTCTGGGGTGAGGCCTGACAGTCTGCATTTCCAACAAGCCCCCAGGTGACACTGATGCTGCTGGCCCATGGGTCACATTTTCAGTAGCAAAGTTCTAGACAGAGGGGATCGAAGGTGCAAAGGTTTGAAGGTTTGGAAGAGTTTTTCTGGGAAAAATCAGTGACTTGGTATAATCAGAGCACAAAATGCAAAGCATTACATGATGGTTGATGAGACAGTCAAGGGAGGCAGGGTCAGAGCATGCAGGACCTGATTCCTGTGTTTGGGCTTCATTTTGTAGACAATGGAGGACCCTGAAATGATTATAAACAGAGTTCTATAATTTAGATCTCTCTGCCACCATGTGGGATGGCTCTGCTGGACACAGGGAGTCCAGTGAAGATGCTTTTCCAATTATGTTGCCAAGAAGTAATAAGGACCTGAACTGAGGAAGCCATGGTAAGAAAGGAAGGAAGAAGACGAGCTTGTTTTTCTAGAGTTAGATTTCCTGAGCCTTGGTGATTGAGTGTGAACTGTGAAGAGGAGGGAGGTCAAGGATGACTTGTAAGATCCTGACTTGTGCTCTGGGTGTATAATGATGCCATTGGCCAGCACAGGGAGCACAGAAGGAGATGCAAGCTGGGGAGACAAAGTTCGGGGAGACTGGCTTTCAGACACATGAATTTGAGATCCTGTCTTATCAAAAACCAGAAAGATATCTGTTTGAACTTTGATGTTAAGACTTTTATTAAAAGTGTATTGATTTCATTATAACAGGCATCACTCATATAGGTGTGTTCATTTGCCAGGCTTCTGTGGATTTCTGAGAGAGCGGAGGAGGAGCATGTACAATCACCACAAGCTCCATGGCTGACCAGCACAGGCATTAGGGTGAGAAGAAAAGGGGCAGTACTAACTTTTACGTACGTTAAGTATTCACTTGGGGAAGCAGAGGCGGGCGGATCACCTGAGGTCAGGAATTCCAAACTAGCCTGGCCAACATGGTGAAACCCTGTGTCTACTAAAAATACAAAAATTAGCTGAGTGTGGTGGCTCATGCCTGTAATCCCAGCTACTTGGATGGCTGAGGCAGGAGAATTGCTTGAACCTGGAAGGCGGAGCTTGCAGTGAACCGAGATTGCGCCACTGCACTCCAGCCTGGGTGACAGAGCGAGACTCCGTCTCAAAAAAAAAAAAAAAAAGAAAGAAAGAAAGAAAAAAATACATTAAGTACATAATCACATAACCAGCTGGTGTCAGAAAGTAGGAGACACAGTTGGAATAAATTTCCTGCTTCCCAGGGTTGGTCTTTCTATCTCTGTCTTTTCGTCTGTCTTACTCACACAACACACACCCTGCCTACACTGCTATCTTTACTATACCACTGGTTCACAGATGTTTGCAGGGTGGTGAATTTGAGGTGGTCCTATGAGACAATAGGCCTGGTGTCCCCATTTCGTGTACTTAACCATGTCAAACTCCACCAACACCATGCTGCTAGACTTCAGTGAGTGCTAGGGGCCAGGTCTTTGTCCATAATCATAAACAACATAGCTCTAGGAAGAAACTTTATAAATAAGGAAATGGAAGCTTGTAGAGACCAGATAATTTGCCTCAGGTCACAGAGAGAGAAGAGAAGGTGAATCTAGCCTGATCCCATTTCTTTTCTCACTGAGGCTACAATTCATTTCCTCTAACCTCTCCCAGTCCTACCGAAGTAAAGCTGTCTCTCAAACAGCATGCCGGTTCACATCTCTGCACCTCAGAGTACTTCTGCTTGCAATCCTCCTCTCTGATATTTAACTGTCAAAGTCCTACCTAGTAATCTGTCAAAATCCTACCCAGTGATCACCACATCTGTGAAGACTCTTCTAAGCCTCCCGACTTGATGCCCAGTACATATTTCCCATCTTGCACGTATCGTGCTGCACTGTAACTGTGTGTTTACAAGTCCCTTTCTCTCTCAAGGCTGTGGGCTCCATCGCTGTGTCTGGTCCAATAAAGACTTTTGAAGTGAACTGGTGTGCATAGTCATTAGCGGGTTCTCTGTAAATTTCATGGATTGTAATAATGCCTGGAAAGTATAAGCCAGTTTCTAAAGAAAGTAGATGTTAGCAATGGACAAAAAAAGTGGCTTGGAAAATGATAATCTTTTAACACATTATTTACATATACAACTTTTTATTAAAAATGGGTTTCACAATGGACTCTCCCTCCTCCCTGTCATCCCTCACCAGTAACATTAGGCTTAATTATTTAAATTAATTGAGTGGGAGTCAGTATTTAATTTAAAGTCTAATTCTTATTAGGATTTTAATAAATAACATTTAATAACTACCAATTACACTTCAGCATATAAGAACGCTTAATTCTTAACATTATTAATTTTTAAATAGAATCTAATGGAAACAATTTCTCCACATGGAAGTCTACACCTTGACCAAGTTTGAATTCTAAGTCTTAGCCTTGGTTCTCTTTGTATTGCTCATGCCTGCTGCTTTCTCTCTCTGTTTTCCTATTCTTGAGTGGGTTTTATGTGAAAGAAGATGGACTTCCTTCAGGCCTACAATAAAGTGACACTGACTTAAGAAAAACAAAATATCATTTATTTTTATACACAAGAAGATATAAAATTTCTACGAATGAGCAGATTTGGGTTTGAACATTAAACTCCATCATTCACATGCTGCATTGTTCAGTAGCATGTGTTTAATTTTATCATAAATTATCAAGTACTTTAAAAAACATGTAAAATCCTGTTTTCTGACTTTTGTAATTCAGATAACATTCTGGAATGGGACACACACACACACAGACACACACTTATATCTCCCTAAAACCACTGCATTAGTTAGGATCTTCAGGGAACAGTCACCCAGATAACCTAAAGTAATATAAGTTTATTGTAAGATCATATGTCTCAAACCGAGGTAGCCATATCTCAAGGGATTACATGGCATTAGCCAAAAATTATGAGAAGTAACTGAAACAAAAAATATGCCATGTCTCTCTAAATTATCCATTTTAAATGAATACAACATTTTTAATAAAAAATAATACCAATCTCTCAAGGAGGAAAATGTAGATGGAATTTTGAAGATGAAAACAACATGAGATGGCAAAGAAATGCTAAGCTCGTGATAAGCCTCTTGGGCTATGCCCCAGACTGCTAGTAGTACTAGCACCTTCTTTTCTTTTCTTTCATTTAGCAGAAAAGTCAGAAAAGTGTTGTATAAGATTCACATAGAAATAAGGACAAGAACAAGAACTGCACAAGAGTTGACACTGGAGACTGGAATGCTACTCAAAGAACAGAATTCCCCCAAACATCCAAGATGACCCCTAGCAACTGAATTATCTTGACATCACCTCAGCAGTAGAGTGCTGTTAGGTAACTCTGGCAAGGGTATACATATAATCTGCTTCAACAGTCCTTATTCCCACCAACCAACTCAACTATTCCTGCCCTTTATTTATCTTTTCGTTACAGCTTCCTTATACTTTTGCCCACTTCTAATTTCAATATACCCAATGGCTTTTCACAACATCTACAGTTGACTTTCTCTCTGGGTATCTTCTGCTCCTGCTCCATCTTCCAAATGCTCAAACTAATTTGTGCATTAAATGTAAAAAAAAAAAAAATCACCCGAAGAGGGCATATCATTCCTTCAATTAATCACCAGCATCCCTGTTTTGACACAGATTTTGTGCCATGCTGTCCATATCGCACCGGCCAGTCTACATGTTATTTGACTTTGAGTTCACTTCCCACTTTTGGCAAGCCTGGCTGTTGTTCTGTAGCAGGGTAACACAGGCTAAGAATTGAGATATGTCAACTTAAGGATTCACCGTGGTCAAGTTTCCTCTGCAGAAGACCATGGAAGTGTGTCATGGGCATTCTGACTCTTGCCTTCTTCAAAATAGCCCCACTAACAGATGTCAGCAACTGATTCCTTTGGAAGGATAAACAAATGGTATAACCAGATAAGGCTTTGAAGGCTTTGCAATGGACCCCAAATTATAACTAGTTACACAGAAATTTAAAGAATGGAATGAATCTCTGTTTGGATAGATGTCCTATATATTGCAGGTATCCTTTCTTATTTATTTTCCTTTCCTTTTTTTTAAGTTTTGTATTTCAGCTACAATGGTTTCAGTTAAACATACTTCTTAGTTCCTATTCCACCGTTACTACTGGTTCATCACCTCTTTAGTCCTTTAGTGCTACTGTAACAAAATATCAGTGGCTAGGTAATTTATAAAGACAGAATTTTATTTCTCTCAGTTCTGGAGGCTGGGAGTCCAGGATACAGATGCCAGCAGGTTTGGTGTCTGGTAAGAACCTGGACTCTGTTTCCAAGACGGTGCCTGTTGCTTTATCCTCTGGAGGGGGGTAATGCAGTGTCCTCACGTGGTGGAAGGGATGGGAGGGCAAAAGGGTGCTTCCTCCAGCCTTGAGGTCTAAAGGGCCTAATGCTAATACCATTTTTTAGGATGAAGCCCTGGTGACTTAACTACCTCTTAAAGGCTACACCTGTCAATACTGTTGCATTGAGGGGGCGAAAACATTTAAGCCCTAGCACCTCCGTTGATTGGTTGATTGATTGGAATCCTTTTCACAATCTCTGATAGAGATTTTAACATACTTCTGGAACTTACTATCTCATAAGGGCAACAGCCTATTTCATATATTGAACTTGCTAATTCTTAGGTAATTCTTTCATACATTAAACCAAAAATAACTTTCCCTTAACTTTGCCCTAATGTCCTCAGTTCTTTCTTGCAGAACCATATAGAAAATGTCTATTTCTTCCCCCAACACAATAGCCTTTCAACCCTATAAGGTTGGCTATTAAAGAAAGTTTTCACTTTTCTATGTGAAACATAGTCTGTTCTTTCATTAATTCTTCATATGATGTGGGTTTAAGGCACTTTACTACCTAGTCACTTTCCCTTGGACACACTCTAGTTTGATAATGTCTTTTTAAAAAATATGTATATATTTAAATATTTAAAAATAGATATGCTCTGCCATTGCAGAACATGATGGGTACAACCTTGCCCCTCCCTTCTCTAGTTTTGGTTTTTATTAATGCATCCTAAAATTTGTATCAGTCTTTTTTGGAAATAATATCACATTTTTGACTCTCATTGAACTTTAAATCTTTTTCAAGTGAACTGCTGTCAATTCAAAGCTTTCTACCTTGTATTTAAGTAGTTGATTCTTTGAACTTAGATGCAGAATTTAACATTTAACCCTATTAAATTGTATATTGTTAATTTCATTCCATCCTTCTCCTTTTCCAAGGTCTTTTTCAAATTTGATTCTTTAATATTGTCTATCAGCTTTACCTCCAACTTTCAGCGATCTACAAGCTTGATAGGCAAAGTTTTTATTGAAATTCACCCAATTCACTGATTAAAACGTTTACAATTTCAGAATAGAAGACAAAGAATCACTTTTAGTAGTGGTTCTAAAATTTTAGTGTGCAAAATAATAACCCAGGACATTTGCTAAATGTGCAGATCCCCAAGTCCCATTTCCAGAAATTTTGATTTAATAAGTCTGGGATGTGATTCCAGGAATGTGCATTTTTAACTAGCACCACATTTGATTCTGATGCTTTTTGTCCTAGGCCACGCCTTTAGACAGATCTTCGAAATTTTCCTTTTGGTCTAAATTGACATTAACATGTTCATTAATTTTTAATAGGGTGCTTTTTTTTAGTACAGTGTTGGACACATGATTAATACTGAATGAATGACTGAACAAAAGAAAGAATGAAGGGTGGAAGCAGTGCTCAGCTAATAATTCAGCTATATTTCTTCATTTTAGTCACAAAGCCAGTACGATCAGTTTTTTCAAATGCTTTGTTGTAATTGAATTATATTATGTCTTTGATGTTCCACACCGAGGGAAAAAAAAATTTATTTTGCATGACCTTTTCTTAATGAACATATGTTGTCTCTTAGTGATCATTGCTTTCCTTTCTAAGTGCTCACAAATCACATATTTAACTCTTCTGTCTAGAATTTCATTGAAAATTAAAAGGCGTGTTATATTTAAACCTGGAAATCTCCCGTTACGAGTTCTTGCTTTACTTTTAAGAAATTAGGGCATAGGTGTAGTGTTTTACTTATTTGCTATGCTTTAGGCCATGTTAGTTGTCTTTTATGTCTTAATATGTTTGCAGATAAAGAAGAACTCAAGTACTGGACACTTCGACAAAAAGAAATGTCTTACTTTTTCCTAGAATTCATATTTACAAAAACTTTCAAAATCTACAGGAAGACTCAAATAATATTACAATGTTCTTAATCTAGAGCAACAATTGTTAGCATTTTGCTCTATTTGTTTTTTCGTATCTAGCAAGATATATAGCTAGCTAGATTTTCCCTTCCCCGCCTCCTGAACCAATTGACTGCCATGTAGTTTAGTCTCCTTCAGTCTAAAACAATTTCTCTGCACTGCTTTCTGCCTTTCAGAATGCATGCCTGAATTCTCTGATTATACTTTTTGGTTTTCTCTGTTTGTTTAGTTGAGTTTTGGCTTTTGAGCCATGTAAAGTTTTATATTTTCAAAAAATAAAATTAAAGAGGATTAAAAATAGCAAATTTTAAAATTGTTCCTAAATGGGAACTGGAGTGACACATCACAGTGTTCATCATCAATTTTAGGGAAGCCAGAGAAGGCTGATCCAAAGTACAGAAGAGAGGGAAGGAAGGCTGGGCAGAAGAATACTAGACCGCTGTGAAGGTTCGGGAACATTCAGCAAGGTCATCGGGGATGTCTCTAGATAAAAATCAGCCATCAGATCAGTCCCCTGCTCCCAGCAAGGGGCCTGCCTCAGTATCCCCGCTGGCTCTGTTATCGGCAGGGAGCATCCAGGACAAGGCGCGGCCTACGCGGTGCAACGCAGCCATGGATTTCAGATCTCAGCCCCGGGGGCTGTGGGAGGAAACCTGAGGTGACTCTCAGGGTTGCCAAGTCAAGGCCCAGCCCCTTTCGCGGGGTGGCTGGGTGATTGACTGCAGGGGTATCAAGGACCCATCTCTAGCCCCAAGTCAGGAAAGATGTGGTGGTCCCCACTGAGGCTCTGTCAAGATTTCATCGCAGCTCGACCTTTTGCTCTGCTCTGCTCAATCCTGCTTCCTTCCCTTTGCTGTCCCTGGGGCTGATTGTAAGTGCACCCCCTAATAAGCCGCCTGCGTGCCCATCGGCAAGCACTGCTCCCAGCTCTTATTACCCTGTTAACACATATGCAATCCTCACAACGCTGAGGTGGGTGCCGTTAGCATCTTCAGTTTATGCATGAGGAAACTAAGGAACAGAGACTGGCTAAGTGGCTGCCCAAAGGAATTCATGCGCCTGGGAGGTAGCGAAGACTCGCCTCAAACATAGACACGCTGACTCCCTGCCGCCCCCTTATCTGCCACTCACTGCTCTTCTCTGTGATATAGAGATTGCTGTTAGCATACCCAGTATCGTAGTCTTATGATATTTCCCAGATGCTTTCCTAAGCAGAAATGTAGAAAAACTTCCTGGGGATTTAGCGTAGGTGGAGATTTGCCCGGATTGTGTGAAGGCAGTTCCAACCTGAATCTATTCATCCCCAGGGCTTTAGCTCCAACCTGGAGAACTAGCTTCACCCGGTAAGCTGCATTCCCCAGCACTCAGTTTTCCTCTGGCAGCGTGATACACCTGCCACTCCCATTCTGCAAAAGGAAAGACTATGTACAGCACAAATACCGAAATGGGAGATAAATACTCTTCTTTTCCCTAAGACAAGAGCTGGTTCTTGTTTCCTGACCCATTTGACTGCACATTCAGAGCTTGTATAATGCAGCTAAACTAGCCTATTTAGCATTTATGCAATCTGCTCTGTTTTCCACAAGCTCTTTAAGATATGACTTTAAAAAATCTTCATAACGGCAAGGTCGCAATAGCCATTTCTATAGGGAGACTGAGGAATGATCAAGACTATGGTTGATTTAGGGTGGGGAAATCTTTCCACTCCGATAAGCTTCTCAGGCGTTGGAAGGAGGATCAATTGTCCCAGGTTTCCTTGGGGCTGACAGGTTTCCCAGGACATGGGACTCTTCCTGTCTGAAACTGGGAGAGTCACAGGTAAACTGCGACAATTGGTCACCCTACAATGGACACTTTATGGCCTAGCATTGCTATGTTACAGGAATATCTGCCCCTCTACTGTAACTACTTTGCATTATTTCAAAAAACACTGATTTTTTTTATTATTAACCTAGGAAATTCCCTATGGAAACTATGGAGATAAACAAAGAAAAAACTAAAAACCATTCAGTAGCTCATTATGCAGAGGTCACTGTTTAAATCTTTCAACATCTTCTGTGTTTTTCTTTGCGTGTGTGTGTACACACATATTTTATACATCTAAAATTGTGCAGTAAGAACAATTCTGTATGCTGATTTTCACTTAGTATAAACATTTTCCCATATCACTAAGTATTTTTTGAAAACACCATTGCTATTGCTTGCATAATTTCCGTCGAGGATGTACTACACTTTAACCATTCTCTTATTGTTCAGCATTTAAACTAATTTTTGCTGTTAACGATAATTTTACTGTGAACATCTTTAGGTTTCTAATGGTTTCTTTTGGAGAGGTTTCTAGGACCTTACTGAATGAAAAGTTATGGGCTTAGTTAAAGCTGCTGAATCCTATTTCTAAAATGCTTCTGGAAAAGGTGGTAAGTCAGCAGTGTTAATGCCCCCTCCACTGAACTCCTGCCAACACTGAGAATTTTTTCAATCTTCACTAATCTTACAGATTTTTTCAAAAAAGTTATACTAGACAATCTTCATTTCTTTGTTTACTAATGGAGTCCAAACCTCTTTCATATCTTTCTCATTTGAATTTTCCTGGGAAATTGTTTGTGCATATATTTTTCCAGATCATTTATTGAGTTTTAATGTTTTCCTTCTCAATTTATATGAACTCTTTACAAACTAACTACAGTAAATCTTTTTAGGTCATAATTGTTTCAAATACATTTTTGACTCACTGTCTGACAGATGTCTTAAAATGCCCTAAAAACGTTTAGATGTTTATGATCTTTAAGCAGTATTTTAAGCCCTGCACTCATATACACACGCACTTGGTGAAGGTTTATGCTTTCCTTTAAAAGTCTCTTTTTTATTTTTTTTTTTCATTTTTAGCCCATCTGTGCTGACTTAAAATTATTTGGTAATATTTGAAAAGAATATGTGTAATGCATATGTAATCATAAAGAGAAAAGGTAAAACAAAATTACATGAATCCACCACCCAACTTAAGGACTAGAACATACCTAGTTCATACACTAGAACATACACCTTGTGTTCCTCCCCAGTCTCAGATCCCTAACTTTCCCAATATGGAATTATCATCCTGCTTTTGCCTTTGTTATTTGATTGCTTTTAAAAAACTAGTTTTATTATATATATGTTTGTGCCTCTAAGCATACGTTTAGTTTTAATATTTTTGAGCTTTACAAAACTAGATTCTTCTTTTATCTCTTCATCTCAGTCTTGCTTTTTTTCAGTAAGTACTATGTATGTTTATCCATATTTTATGAGAAGATGTAGTTCATTCATCTTCAGCACTGGATAATATTTTATTTCATTTCTCATCTATATGTCGGTTTGTATTCATGGTGCATATATACAAGAATTTCTTCTAGAGAAATTATATATTATATTATATTCTTATTATGTATATTATGTGTGAGTGGCATTGCTGGGTTGAAGTGGATGTACATGTTCAACTTTACAAGCCATTGCTAAATTGTTTTCCTGAATGGCTGTACTAATTACATTCCCAACTGTAGAATATAAGATTCCTGTTGCTTGACTTTCTTGCCAATACTTTGATATTTTCAAGTATTGAAATCTGGTAGCCATTTTTCACCCAGTAGAGTTGCACTCACTTTTAAGGCTTATTGGTACAAGTTCTTAAAGACTGAAAAGGAGTTCTCAGAAACAAATCAAACCCATTTTTATTTGGGCTTCTCATTTCTCCTTGGGGTCAGACACTTAACAAGCTGTTCATAATATGTCATGCTGGGCCTAATGTTCAGCCCTTAGAAGAAAAGGCCATATCAGCTGAGACAAGTGAACAGCAGACAGAGTTAGGAATTAGGAAGCTTGGGCTCTAACCTGTTTCTGTCACTGAAGGTTTGCAGGGCCCACGTATGAGTCATGTCTCTGCTCTGCATCCTATCTGCTCACTAGGCATAACAGAACTGACCTTCCTCCCAGCCCTGTCGTGAGGATGAAATCCTGTGTGGAGCACTTTGAAATCTTTGGATGAAAAGCACGACAGAAGTGCCAAGTATGATTGTTACCCGTGCCAGCCACACTAGAAGACAGCATAAAAATAGGAAGCAAAGAAAATTTCATTTTACAAAAGCTTCAGTGAGAAAATTGGCTGGTCAGAATGTCATTCCCTAGTTTTGGTTCACATACACGTTGTCTTTTATAAAATTAAAGGAAAAAAATAATTGTACACATTTTTGTCTTTGCCGGGAAGAAGCCCTTTGATCATCACCATCCCTGCGACGCCAGGTGAGTCCCTGATGCAGAAGGAAGATCGATACATGAGGAGACCGTGTGGAATCAGTTATTTGTAGTTGCTCCCCAATTTCTGTTTTTCATTGCAAGGAATCGAAGCCATAAAGTCTGAGGGGGTGTTACAGGTTGAGGATTAGGGAGTGTCTAAACCTTGACATCGTCACAACATAGGATCCGAGATACCTCCAGCTAAAACAGAGACTGTGCTTTCAGAACTGGCCCTGCACGCAGCCTCTACTCCAGTGCTCTCAGGTCCTGTCCTTAATAGGAGAACATGAGAGCTGCAGATTTAAAAACCCAAGAGGGAACCTTTGCAACAACCTTTGTTATATTAGGAATCCCAAAATAAGGTGAGTCATGCCCGTTAGTGTGCACCTTCATCCTAAAAATGACTTAGCTGTAGTTTTAATAGCTTATGTCCATCTTGGTATAATGCTGTAAGTGAGTTGTGATGAGCTGTAATCACCTTTGCTTATAAATTTGGTAGACTGTGGAAACAGTTCCAAACCACAGAAGAGACATTTCAAACTCTGAGCTTGCTGCCTGATATGACACACAGAGAATTTAGAATAGGAGTTTTGGATGCTGTTGCCACGTCTTTACAGCCTGTCTTTTATACTGGAGTTTTAAAAAGTCAAAACCCTACAGGGTGGTTTGGTTGCTGCATCCCACTGAGAAGTTGAGAAAGTAAAAGGTAAGGGGGTGTAGCCATGGGCTTGTCAGGGGGACGTGAGTGACACTAGTCCACCCACAGCAACTGTTCCATGAAGTTATGAATCATATTGTACTCGACTTGTAATTTCCACCCAGGAAGGGAAAGCTACTGAGCACTATTGAAATGTTTTGTTCAGAAGTTTCTCAGAGGGAGGGTCTTCATAGTGTTTTATGGAATAATTTGCATTCTAATCGGCATAATTGAATTATTGCCATAGAATTTGCATGGTATGGCTCCAGTAGAAATACTTTCCATTAAGAAATAAATACTCCTTAGAGAGGAAAAAATGTCCATCCACTGTAGTATCCAGTCACATGACAATCTCTATTTATTCCTCTTCATAACCCCATGAGAAGGGTCATCCTCACTGGAGTTTCAATTTCTTAACCGAAGAAATTAGTTGAAAAGTGGAAATCCAACCTGCTGATAGTTTCTTTATCTGTCCACACCTAATAATGAGTTTGACTGATTCTTCTATTTAAATTGACAGATTATTTACACCTCTGTGAATTACAATGTTGCTATGGTCTTTCTTTCCTTTGCATTTGTGTGTGTGTGTGTGTGTGTGTGTGTGTGGTTAGAACGTCTATAGTCAGGCTAAAATTCAGATCCCATCTTTATAATTCTTGTTTGTGTAATATGAATTTATCACAATGGCAGGAGAGTGAATTATCATACAGCCTTGAAATATCACACTGATTAAGACAGCAGAGAGCCATAGGGAAATGATGGCATGTTAAGCGAAAAAGAGTAGGAAATTATATCTTTGCCATGTTTTCAAGTACTTAAATTGTGCATGTAGAAGCATGGGCTGAAAAAGAAATATGGAAAAAAGAAACAAATGGTTGGTTGAAATTATGGGATTATGAGAGTTCCCTCTCCACCTTTTTATTCTTTTGTTTTCCATTAACACTCTTACAACATTGCTTGTGTAATAAACATGATTGTAAAATTATTCAGCTGGGTGATTAACAATAGCCAAGATATGCAATCTGCTTAAGTGTCCACCAACAGATGAATGGATAAAGAACATGTGGTATATATACACAATGGAATATTATTCAGCCATAAAAAAGAATGAAACCTGTCATTTGCAGTAACATGAATGAGCCTGGGGGGGGCATTATGTTAAATGAAATAAACCAGGCACAGAAAGACAAATAACCGCATTATCTCACTCATATGTGGAATCCAAAAAGTAAAAGGTAAGGGGATGTAGCCATGGGCTTGTCAGGGGGACGTGAGTGACACGAGTCCACCCACAGCAACTGGAAGTTGCTGGAAGTAGAGTAGACTAGTGGTTACCAGAGGCTGGGAAGGGTGGGGTGGGGAATGGGGAGAAGTTGGTGAAAGGGTACAAAGTTACAGTTAGGCAGGAGGAAGTTAGATAAGAGCAAGATAGCAGTTGTGGTCTGGGCATAGTGGCTCACACCTATAATCCTAGAACTTCAGGTGGCTGAGGTGGGCAGATGGCATGAGCCCAGGAGTTTGAGACCAGCCTGGGCAACCTAGCAAAACCCCATCTGTACAAAAATTTAAAAAATTAGCCAAGCATGGTGGCAAGTGCCTGTAGTCCCAACTACTCAGGTGGCTGAGGTGGGAGGATCACCCGAGCCTGGGAAGGTCCAGGCTGCAGTGAGCCATGATCACACACTGTACTCCAGGCTGGGTGACAGGCTTAAACATTTTTGAAACCCCATCTCAAAAAAATAAAAAATAAGAATAGTTACAGTTAGATAAGCTCTAGTGTTCCATTGCACAGTAGGATGACTATCGTTAATAAAAATTTATTGTGTTTTTCAAAGCAGCTAGAAGAGAGGAATTTGAATGTTCTCAACACAAATGATAAATGTTTGAGATGATGGATATGCTAAATACACTTATTTGATCATTAAACATCGTATACAGGTATGGAAATATCACTTGTACCCCATATGTATATATAATTATTATGTATCAATTAAAAATAAAAGAATAAAATTATATTTCAAAAATACTTGGTTACAAGAGAAGATCTATCATAAAATGAATAAAGTTTAATAAATAAAGGACCTGAGTTACAGGTCCTTTCCCATGCACGGCCCCTGTGAGAGCCTGGGTTGCTAAGAGTGATAGAGTTCCAGGTGGAGAGAGGAAGCTGGGTTACAATCAGGAAACATTTCTATGTCAGCATTTTGGGTAAATTGCTTAAAGGGATCTCAGAAGAAAAGGAACTAATTCTCCAGCACTCCTGTAATTTGTCATGATATAATTTCTCATTCTAAGTAAATATTCGCTTTCATGCCTAATTTTGTATTTGCAATTTTGCATTCTTCTTCTTAAAGAGGGCTCCCATAATTGTATAAGCCTCATGCCTCACAAAACCTGAAGGTGCCTTTGGTGAGGAGGATCATCAGAACACCAGCAGAGTACCTCGACGTGTGAAATCTAGCACTGGATTCCATCCCTGACTTTTCCTAAGAATCACTGTGAATGCTCTGGACAAATTGCTGCTGCGCTGGGTGCTCCCTGTGTCATCACACTTCCTAATTGTACTTCTGGGTCCTCTGAAGCTGTTCCCAGTGCTTAATCGTAAGAAAAGAAGCTCCAAATACTAGTTCAGAAACTCAGGTAGAAAGAGACCTTAAATGTCATGTCCAGCCACTCTTCTGATGCTTGAGTCTTCTCTTCAGGAGGCATCTGGGCCTGGGCTTGGACCCCTTGCCTCAGTCAACCCATTAGAAGTGTCTTTCCTTGTCTTGAGTCAAAACCAGTCCACTGCTACTGGCATTGCTCTATACTTCCAGGCTGTACAGAAGATGTCTAACCTTTCAGATGAGAATGGCAGAGGAAAGCAAGAAGAAAGAAACTTTAATTGTTCCTCAACTTCCCAATTAGGCACACCATTAGGGGTTTTTAATATGGTTCTTGATTTAATCTTCTCATTAACTTTCTGATGTAAGTATTATTATTTTATTCTAGGGTTCCCAGATGTAGCAAATAAAAATAGAGGATATCCAGTTATATCTGAATTTCAGATCAAAACAAATGATTTTTAAATAAAACATACACTCCCAAAAGTGTGAAATTAATTTGTCCTTGGACAAGAGATATGGAAATGTCATGTATTTTACCTGGAAATCCTGTTATTATGCCCATTTTTGGAGCTGAGGAAACTAAAGGTAGGAGCCTAGGTAAGTAGTGGAGCTGGAATCTAAGCCCAGGTCCTTGATTTCAAAGCACAACCCCATGCCCCACAATATCATACACTGATTTAGTATCTGCCTCCTACCTACCCCCAAGAAAAATGTGAAATTAATTTGTCTTTAGAAAGGAGCTACCAAAGCTATAAAAACAAAACAAATGTATTTGCAGCTAAGAGAAGACAATCTCCAGGAAACTACTGCTTCAGTTATTTGACACTGGGCAGAATTTTTGGTGAGAAATCAGCAAGATCATAGCCTGGAGTGAACACTGGAGGCATGAGATGTCCTTGAGAAAGAGGCTAGAACAGAGGGTGGAACGCCCCTTCTATTAAAGCAGTTGTTTTCCAGGGTCTCTGGAAAGCTCCTTCCTTTGTCGTGGCGGTGGTGGGGAAGGGGAGGCTGGGACCCTAATGCATGACTTTCCACCTGGGTGTCACTGGCACCTGATGTCCTAATCATATTTCCCTGTCACCTCTCAGTGCTGATTTACTTTCTCCTCCCATTCTACATGCTGCAGAACTAATTGCCTGCCTAATTGCCAAAACGAATTGCTGTGACATTCATTGTTCATCTGCTCCTTTCTCCGGCTTGAGCTCAGGCAGGTGGCTCCCATGAAGGCAAGGGTGGAATTATTCCTGCTTTAGGGCCAGGATGCTTCAGAGTGATGGCCCAACAATTATCTTCCTCATGGAGGCGGACCAAGGAATCACCTTCCTCATTGAGCAGGGGACAATAATTCTTGGCAGGGGTTCCCCTTCTTCTGCTGTAAGATTGGGTAGCTTTGACAGGTTGTGAGTCAGTTAAATTGTACTTTTCAGGGAGTTCCTCTCTCCCATTTGGAGATTAGGATTAGATTTGTTGGTTAAGAAACTGACCGAGAGAGGAGAGACAGCTCCTTGCTGGCCACATAGCTCATTCATGGTGAAGTTGAATCTGGGGCTCAGATATCCCAATTCATAGCCCAGAATGATTTCTACTGCACCACACCACAACTGTTGCAGTTGCACTAATTACGGTTTTATATTTCCTTATAAACTTTTATTAAACCCCTATCAAATAGTATGTCCTCATTGGTAGCAAGAATAATAAATATTTATTGAGTTGTTATGAATATTAAGCCTACTTTTTTTTCATGTAATCCTGAAAAAAGGCAACATGACAGAGATGCTCTCAGTATCCTTATTTTATATCAGGGAAAGTGGAGGCAGAGGGAGGTTAATAACTTGCCCAGGTCTGACACCAGATCCCATCCTCTTACCCCCACAAGCCCATGTGCAGATTCCTCCTGACAGCTTCTGGATTCTGATACACGAAAGAACTTATGAAGATGACTTGAAGGCTGGAGCTGGCGCAACATGAAACTAATCAACCAGATTATGCAAATTATTATGTAAACTCCTATTATTGAGCCAGGATTCATGACAGCCCCTTTTTTCCAACGCTGCTGAGATAAAAGCAAATGGATTGCAACACTAGCTTGGGATGAATTCAGGGAGCTTGGAAAGAATTCCTGGGATTTTCTGGGCAGTGGAAAAGACAGTGGGTTGGGAGTCAAGAACCTGAAGTTTAGTTCCGGATCTGGCATTAGGTAGCTGCATGGCCCTGGGAGGACCTATGTGCCTCAGTTTCTTCAACTGTGAAACGAGATAAGACTCCATGCTCTGGAAGACCCCTGCCATTCTAGGCATCTCGGATGGCATGTCCAAGATGGAAGCACACAATGGCAGAGGCTTGTAGCGACCTTCAGGACAGCTTTCCAGTAGCTGTAAATAAAAGTCTTATTGTTTGGTTCTTGGTCTTTCCCCCCTCTCAGTGACAGGAAGAATAATAAAAGCAATGGCACTATTGTGTGAAATAAGTGTTTTCTCATCCAAAAGAAAACATGACATATACAATAGCAAACCATTTGCAAGCTGAAAAAGTAATTAATTGTATAATTCACTGAACATGATAGGAAAAGTGAATTATGATAAAGGAGAAGGACTGAGAGTTAACAAATGAAAATTTTATTTAAAAGTTTTAAAATTTTGTTTTTTTTAAAAAAGGAGAGCATTGAAAGGTGATTAATCTACAGAAACAAAGAACTATTTCAAACACATTTAAAAAGGCACAATTAGAAGAATACCGCAAAAATAAAAAGAAAAATTCAGTTTGATCTGAGGGGGAAAAGAAAAAGCTGTTTTCATGAAAAACAGATTTTGAAGTACTTTTGTCATCAGCTTCCTTTCAATTCTTCTGGTTAATTTCATGAAGGCTGTGCGACCTTTCAACTTCCAAATGTTTGCAGGAGGGAAGGGTGGTAACGTGTGAGTGGAAAAACAATTAATTTTCAAGGTATGGGATTTTATAGTAGAGACTTCCTTAGCAGGATGGACCGTGACAGGGTGTTAGTGATGGAGACCTTAGGAGGAGAGGGCAGAAGATATGGGTTTGAGGTCCTGATGTACTCTGCCTGCTGTGTGATCTTGGACAAGTTCCGACCCCTCTCAGGGGTTCAACATCTTCCTACCTACATGAAGTGATGGGATCAAACACCTCTGTGGCCCTCTCTAGTCTATATGTTTGCATTTCTAACTGTAGAGCATGATAAAAAAATAAATCAGAAGTCAGTGATCTTTAGGTTACTAGTCAGGATGAAACTCAAAAGATCTATTTTTAAAATTATGAGTATTGGGTGTGGTGAAAATATTCATATTTGGGGTCAGAGAGTTTTTCTAATAGAATCAATTCTAGAGCATTCAGACTTGCTCTCACCCCAAAGAGGAAGTGAATGAAAGCTCTTCTTTCTCCTCTGCTGCTTTCTTTGTCCATGGGAGTATGCAAATTTTTCTGGCAACACAGAAGACTGAACACAGGAAGCCTGAACCCCGTGAAGCCATAAGGCTTAGCATGGGTGTGGAGGGTGATCAACCCCTCATCTGTCATTCAGAACTCCATGCTGCAACACAGAGGGGAAAAAAAACCTTCTGCTCCCTGTTTCAACCTCAAGGGCAGAGAACACAGGCCGAGTTGCTGTTCTTGTCTCACAATCTGGAGGCCAGAAGTCTGAAATCAAGGTGTCGGCAGGATTGGCTCCTTCTGGGAGCTGCGAGGGAAGTATCTGTTCCAGGCCTCTCTCCTTGGCTTACAGATGGCTGTTGATATGGTTTGGCTGTGTCCTCACCCAAACCCCATCTTGAATTGTAGTTCCCATAATCTCCACGTGTCATGGAAGGGACCCGGGGGAGGTAATTGAATCATGGGGGCAGTTACCTTCACGCTGTTCTCGTGAAAGTGAGTGAGTTCTCAGGAGATCTGATAAGGGGACTTTCCTCATTTTACTCACTCAGTTCTCTTCCTGCCACCACTTGAAGAAGGACGTGTTTGCTTCCCCTTCTGCCGTGATTCTAAGTTTCCTGAGGCCTCCCCAGCCATGCTGAACTGTGAGTTAATTAAACCTCTTGCCTTTATAAATTACCCAGTCTTGGGTATGTCCTTATAGCAGCATGAGAATGGAAATACAGCCATCTTCTCCATGTGTCTCTTTACATTGTCTTCCCTCTGTAAGCGTTCGTTTCTGTTATAAGACACTAGTCTTATTGGATTAGAGACTGTAATGACCTCATTTAAATTTGATTACCTCAGTAAACACACTATCTCCAAATAAGGTCACATTCTGAAATATTCAGGGTTAGGACTCCAGTAATATCTTTTTGTGGGGAGACACACTTCAATCCATAACATACTATAAGAGAAGGGAGCGCTTACCACTGTCCATTACCTGGAACCAGTTCAGACAACCATCATCTTTCTACATGCGATGGAGAAAACAGTTCACCTGGGCATTTTTGCTATGACAGGAGGAAACGTCAATATCAAACCATTGGAGAAGGTAGCTGAGTCATTCATTTGTGGCAGCAACCATCTTTCCTTCCCGCACCCCCTGGCTAGGCTGCTCCATGTTGGGAGGTGGTGTGTTCAGTACAGCCACAGTGAGCTAAGTGAGGGCTTCAGCTGCAGGCTGGAGTGACCCAGGGAGGAACTGCCGCCTATCAAAAGGAAACACCTGCCACAGAAGGTTCACTGAAGCCTGAGAAAATAAACGTCAAGAGCTCTGGGCTGTGCCACCACCAGTCTCCACCACTATTCTGAGGCAGAATGCACCTATTGGCTCACAATGCTGTGAAAGAAAACAAGAAAGTCGTGATGGTGAGCGCTGCCCTGCAGAGATAATGAGCCACTAGAGTAGTTCTGAGGCAGGAGCCAGAGGAGCTGTGACACAGAGGCAGTCAGGGAGTGGGACTGGGGTCACAGGAGGGGCTGGACCCAGTGGTCTAGTGCCTCATCTCATTCCAGATATGTGACCTAAGATCTGCATGTGTGTGCCTGTGCATGTGTGTGCCTATGTGTATGTGGATATGTGGCAACATATATGTGCATGCATGTAAGTGAGTACACATGCATGTGCATGTGGTGGGGTGTGGGTGACTGGATAGAGGGAGCATGGGGAAAGGGAGGGAAAAGAGGGTTAAAACCGTGACAGGATAATAAGCATCTGAAATACTTAACTACAACAAAATGTTCTGAGGCTTTGTACAGCCTTATTTTCCAAACTGCAGGTTGTGGCTCAGCAGTCAGCTGGGAAATCAATTTACCCATGCAGAGATTCTTAACCTGGGTCTGTGGACACTGCCCTTTCCCCACAAGAGGCCCAAGGATAGAATTGTATTTCAATATCATTGATTTCCTTTGTAAGCCTAAGAGTTTTGCTTTATGCATTTAAAAACACTACAAGAAAGGATCCATAGGCTTCATCACATGGGGTAGAAATGGCACGTGCACACATGCATACACACACACACATACACACAAACAGATACACACACACACACAAACACATATACACACACACACAAGGTTAAAAATCTCTAGGTCAAAACCAGCATTTTAAAAAGTTATTAAGATAACTAGATTATAAAGAAATTAAAAAATTTGAGCTATGCATGTAATGAGGGTACTGTTTTGTGAAACTGGTTTTAGATATACAAATACTTGTGTATATAAAATATACATATGTATATGTGTGTACATATTTATGCACACACATTTATTTATTTGTTTATTTTGTGATGGAGTCTCGTTCTGTCACCCAGGCTGGAGTGCAGTGGCATGATCTCAGCTCACTGCAACCTGTCTCCCGGGTTCAAGCAATTCTCCTGCCTCAGCCTCCTAAGTAGCTGGAACTACAGGCATGCCACCATACCCAGCTAATTTTTGTATTTTTAGTAGAGACGGGGTTTCACCATGTTGGCCAGGATGGTCTCGATCTCCTGACCTTGTGATCTGCCCGCCTCAGCCTCCCAAAGTGCTGGGATTACAGGTGTGAGCCACCCTGCCTGGCCATTTATTTTTAACTGTAGGGCATAGGGCAAAAAATTGATAGCTAGTGTTCAATAGCCTACTGGACATTAGGGTAAAAGATTTTTTTAAAAAATTTTTAAAAATTATGAGTGAGGAATGTAGTGGGCCATTTGTGTTTCAGAGTGGAGGGCTCTGCTATTAGGCAGACATTTGACTTTTCACTCGGCACATCCACATTCCAGCCAGTCTCCCAGTGAATGGTGATAAGCTGGCCCTGATCATGCCTGTATGGCTACACCCCTCTCTGCCTTGTTGAGGCCTGAGTTAATTTGAAGTGTTGCAGAGACATGTGTTGATTCCTGTGGCTACAAGGCTCCCGGAAGTGTCAGAGGCAGAGGTATTGTTTCCTGGGAGGGGTGTCTTCCTGTGTACCGCTGGTGTACCACTGGTGTATGCCTGCCCAGAAGTTTGTTCTTTCACACCCACAGGGCCACCTGAAGAAACAGAGATAGGGTCTCCCACGGAATGGGGCAGCAAAAGAAGTAAAGCAAAAGTGAAGAAAAGAGAAATAGGGGGCAGCAAGTGTTCAGGAAAAGGGGGGTCAGATAGGAGAGAGAAGCAAAGAGAAAAATCAAAGTGTATAAAGCAAGTGGCGGGACTCGCTGAGCTGTAGGTGTAGTAAGAAGCTATCACACCAGCCTGTTAGCTCCCTGCAGGATTCACAGCATCAAGGATGGTGAAACCGAAAGAAAGAAAAGGTAGTTCAGCAGGAAAGATCAACAAAGACAAATCCTGGGACGAATCCAAGCTGCTATTAGAATCGAACCAAGCAAAGATATGACCACCTATGTTAGCGACCTGTTGCTTAGTTTATTTTAAATGAAACTCATATTTACTTGATTAATTTAGAAAATCTGAGATTCACTAGAGCAGGAACTTTGCCTTCCTCAGTTCCTAGACCAGTACCAGTTACATGGTGAAGGCTTAATAAATATTTATAAAGGAATGTTAATTAATCAGCTGGTAATTGATATGTAAAATTGCTTGAAATTATAAAATAATAGTGACAACTAAAAGTAATACAGTGCATAATAGTTTAGAAATCAACTTCATGATTATCTCATTTAATCCTCACACAGTCCCATCAGGTATCACCATGATCATCCTCACCTTAAGAATAAGACACTAGTTCGAAGCCACTCTATGATTTGTGCCTGGGATTTTAATCAATATTCTCTGATGCAAAAGCCAACCTAGCACTTTGCCTCTTTGGTCATGTTGTATGTGCCCACTCATGATAAGTGCTTGGTATATTTAAGTAGTCATATCCATAGTAGGTATAGGTATCAGTTTGGATTCTCCAGGAAGCAGAATTACGAGTGTATGAGGAGGAGGGGGTCACACCTGGGAAAGATAAAGGGAGACTGATCAAGGTGGGGCAATGTATTAGTCCATTTTCACACTGCTGTAAAAAAATACCTGAGCCTGGGCAATTTATAAAGGAAAGAGGTTTAACTGATTCACATTTCCACATTGCTGGGGGAGCCTCATACTTAGAATCATGGCGGCAGACAAAGAGAAACCAAGGACCTTCTTCACATAGTGGCAGGAGAGAGAAGAGCCAGTGAGTGAGGAAGTGCCACTCTTTTAAAATTATCAGATCTCATGAGAACTTCCTTACTACCATGAGAACAGCTTGAGGGAAACCTTCCCCATTATCCAATCACTTCCCACTAGGTTCCTACCTTAACACCTGGGGATTACAACTCAAGATGAGATTTGAGTAGGGGCACAAAGCTCAACCATATCAGACAGGGGTGCTGATGTGCCACTTATGAAAGGAGAGGCAGAAGGAAGCAGGATGGAGCTGGGAGTGTCTCAGTCCATGATGTAGATCTGACGAAGTCTTAGCCAATATAATGGAAGTCCCATAGCAAAGACTGCCTGCAAGAGAGTCCCACACTGGATAGAAATGGCCTGGCCTGGCCATGAACCTCCATGCTCAGGCAATGTCTGGGTCTGCCTAGGATGTGCATGGCCTTGGCTTGAAAGTTAAGGTGGATTCTACAGACGGTGTAGCTGGATGCTGTTGGCTAACTGCACATCTTGCAACCCGACAGCAAGTTATTCCTTGAAGGGAAAAGCAAGTGGTGCACCTCATGACTATATATGTTTACATTTTTAAAGACATGACATTTTAATATAATTCCCACTTAAATACTTTAGCTGGCTATTGTTTTCTTTACTATACCCTGACTTTCTAGTTAGTGAACTATAGCCAACATAGAGACCAAATGTCCCAGTTTGAAAATCCTAAATTCCTACCTACAGGGTTGAGAGAAGAGAAGGGATTATGCTAGATTGAGCAATTAAAATTTGATACACTGGATCAGGTCAACTGTTACAAAAACACAGGTGCTGCCAGTCCATTTTTCATATCCCTGGCAGACCTGGCCGATTGATCACAGCACTCTTCCTTATGAGTTGTGTTGTCTGCCTCAAAATTATTTTCAACATTGTGATCCAGACAGCCATTCCCAATCTATCACCATTGGCGCCTAAGATGAAACCAATTTATCATCCCATCACTAGGTAATAGGGGAAAAACACAGGTCTTGGAGCAGGTGTGTGTGCTCAAATGCTTGTGAGGGTGCTAATGAGAGTGTGAGATTGAGGGAGAGGTGATGAAAATACACACTTGAAATTATTTATCAATTAGAAGGTTATGTTTTAATTTTTTAATTAATAAATCTGTTTAAACCCAGAATACCTTTTTCCCAGAGGCAATATTACAAATAAGGATTATATACAAAAGTCAGCATCTAAATCCTTACCTATCTATATATAAGTATTACTGCATTTGCTTTTGGATCCTAACAATAAACTCAGTGCTCATTGACCTTAACAAATAGGGTTTTATTCTTTCTCCCATAAAAAGAAATCTGTAGGTAGGCAACTATCAGCATAGGTTCAGGGTTTTAGCAACAG
This sequence comes from Homo sapiens, assembly GCF_000001405.40. Lineage (NCBI taxonomy): Eukaryota > Metazoa > Chordata > Mammalia > Primates > Hominidae > Homo > Homo sapiens. The sequence continues at coordinate 108,130,049 of NC_000003.12, forward strand.
ATCTTTGTGATTCTCTTGCTACTTTCCTTGTAGTTACAGAATGGCTGTTGTTCCAGGCATTGTCTTCAATATTATTTGGAGGTAATTCATCAGGAAATATAAAACTCTCTAAGTAGTCTCCCCCAGAAGAATTCCATGTACATTTCATGGGCCAGACAGGATGACATGACTGTCCCTAGCTTCAAGAAAGATGGGCAAACCACATATTTTATTTTCCAGCCTCTGTGCTGGGAGGCAGCAAGGGAGAAGGGGTTAGACATAGCTTTTAGGTAGCTTGCCAATAGGGAATGGTACTTAGACCTAAAAGATAGCAGTACTAGTTTTCTAGAGGTTAAAATAATACTCGATGTTCTCAAGCATGAGCAGAAATATCCTGCGTTCACTCCTTTACTACTCACTTCCGCTTTCTAATAAAAAGAATTTGATAAATATAATGAGCATCTCAGTATATTTGCCAGGTGAGTGTGGATTCTACACGTTTGTGCTTTAGCAAAATAAATTACTACTTTGAATTTTAATAGACTTATGTCTTAAAATCCAGTCATTGGATAGATTTAAGGTGAAATGCTGTTGATACATTACTATTCATTGTAGGATTAACCCAACAATCCACCACAATTTAAATGAGAATTTAAAAATCAAATTAACAGTGAGTTATAATGAAAGGTAAGAATGGCAGAAATGGAAATCTCCAGCCCACTCATGATAACAACACTCAAAATGTATAGCCTATTTACTAAAAATTACAGAAGTTCCAAACTATCTCCTTGTCTCTAAGTGAGTCACATGCCAGAATTAACAGTTCTTTGGTGCTATGCAATCTTCTTAGTATAGCACAGAATTAAGTCATTGGTAAACTGTAATAATGTGCTAATTTTAGATCATTATGCCATAATGTAGTAATCCTTAGTAAATACTTAGTAAGTTACTAGAAAGTAGCTCTTCATCATATGCAAAAAATAAAACTGAAGACATTGCATGTCATTGGCTTCCAAGAATTGGAGAAAGGAAATTTTAGAGTCAGTTTTTGGTTCATCTATAGGACAGTATGTTGGATCATATTGTAAAGAATTGAGATGCATAGATGAGAGCACTAGTTTGAAATCAACAGCTGGATTTGACTCCATTCCACCTCTGACAACTTAGGACAAGTGTCTTAAGCCCTGCATAGCCCAGTTTCCTCATTATTAGACTGGCAACTACTAACACAGAAACTATTCTACTTACAATATGGTTGTAATTGAATCTGTTTGTTGGAAATTCCAAAGTGACTAAGCTTGCTGTCACAAATGCACTTCCAGGAATAGGAGCATGAATCAGTTTCTCAAAGCTTTTAATAAAAGCTGGTGTTCTTGTTTATGCATGTTCAATGCCATGTCTGCCTAGGTGATAAAATAATGTTTGGTGCATAGAAGGCACTAAAAATATAGCTTTTGAATGAGTGAAGGACATTTTCCCCAAAATTATTGTCATTTGTCATTTGTCTCTGCTGGAAGTCTGTGGGGGCAGATAACTGTTCTTGGGGATCTCCCAAGTGTCCTGAGGAGGTCCTTAGGAGCCACAGCCTGCATTCTCGTCGCCTCGCCCCTCATGTGGATGTGAACCAGACTGGAAGAGGCATCCCTTTGCCTTGAGGCAACAGTTTCAAGAGCAGAGTCTCTTTGGCCAGCTCTTAAACTTCTCCCAAGTTAGCCCTCCCCGGAATGAACAGGAGGCTCCTCTGCCCATCTAGTGTCAAGGTGCCGACTCAAGAAGTCATCCTTTGTCTTCCTCTTCCATTCTCTTGCTGATATTGTCCACGGACACAGGCACAGCACTTTTGTACGTTGCACGATTTGCTCTTTGCCCTTTATAATCATTTCTACTATTGAATAATTCATCCTATATTCGTGTGAAGAGTTCCTCTTTTTCTCATCACTTCCAGTTTTTAAAAATCTCTTCTGTTTCCATGGTAATTGTATATATCAACAAGGACTTTGAACACTCTCCATTTTCTTGGATTTATTGAATCTGATGTGGTTAATAATGCTTGGGAAAACTTCTCAAAAAAAACTCTCACAAACACAGCAAATGCATTGATGGTGAACAGCACAGTTTTTGAGTTCAAAAGGCAGCAGTGTACATTCCATATCATCTGCTGTTACCATGTAGTATGTTCTCACAGGAGAGCTTGGGATTTTATCTGTGAATATCCATAGGTTGAAAGTTGGTAAGCAAAAGAACATCTGTAACTAACCTACTCTTTTTCTGCAGGTTTGTTGTTGGGATAAAAGTTAACGTGCTCTAGTGCACTGTAGCCTATAAAATGTTATCCTTTCTGTGACGCATGCCCCATTTCCACCATGCCATGTGGGGACACAAGGAACAGATCTTTGTCCACAGGAAAAGTGGAAACTCAGAGTTGAATTTCCTCTTCACTCCAAAGCATGACTATGCATGCACACACACACACACACACACACACACACACACACACACGTGCGCGCACACACACACATGCACTCAAACTCCTAAGAGCTGGAGGCAGGGATCCTGGCTCAGAGTTAGAGCTCTCACAACAGGAAGGATAGAGACAAAATTCCTAGTTGCTGATCACTTGCTAACTCTCTTCATTTTCAGAAGAAAACACCTCCTGGCATTTGCTTAATGGAAGGCACCTTTCTAGTCAATCACTTGACAAGTGTTCTGAATTGGATTTTAAAAGGACAGAGGTTGAGATTAGGGTTAGGGATTTTTATTACATCTCAAAGTGCCTGTATAAATTACACAGTGGGGATTTTCAGTTGAAAGCTTTTCCAGTTAATAAACAGGAGACTCATGTATCGGCATTTTTGTAATGCTATAAGAATGGGGAAGTGTAGGTTCTGGCACGTATTCATGTAAACAAAAAGTGAGTGACGAATTTTTACCTTGAGTTTTAGAATCACACTCTTATAAATAATTTACATACAAGGAGAGATCATAGAGATAACCTGTAGAAAAACAGAAAGATGAATTTTTTCCAGCTAAACTTGTCTTGGTGCAGAACTATCTTGGGCATATCAGATTTTATAAAGATACTTTTCCTCTTACATTTCACACTTCACTTTCACTATCCAGAAGCCAAGTGGAGGCATTTTCCCTGATGAGTGGGAGTTGTAAGGACTAGCTCAAGAGTAGAATAGGCTTAGGCAAAACTATAATGTAGGGGAAATCATCCATGTAACCTGAATCCTATTTTAGTGTCTTGAGCCTAAGCCCTATCTTAATCCCCAGAACCCCAAAGTTCTGCAGACAAAAAGTTCCCCATAGAAGTGGCCTCCTGATCTTTAAACAGAGCCATGGGCTTAATCTTCCTTTTGCTGCCATCTAAAATTTAATAATTCTAATATTCATTTCCTCAGGGCCTTAGCTTGTGGACAAGCTAATGTATGCCAACATACCCAGAGTTCTTATGATCTAAAAGTGTTATTCTCCTGGGTAAGTGGTAAGTAGTTTGCATTTCAACAAGGATAAATAAATGCCTTGGTTCAAAAGAATGACAGGGTAGGGTTGTTAAAAATATTACTTCCTCCAGGAAGCTTCTGCCTCCCTCTACCCTCATGGATTAGAAGTTCCCAGGAAGGCTCCTATGTAAAGCATGCTTCTCCTGTCATGGTATTTGGCACCCGTCATTGACAACACTTGTTTAATAAGCTCTGTGGGTACAGCCCCATGTATATTCATACACATATACTGTTGTATTAATTCCCACCACCCGGCTCCCTGATGGAACACTTGAAGGACATTAATAAATACTGTCTGTTGAAGAATGAACAAAGCTAAGGGTTTCAGGGACTCTAGAAAGATAATAGAGTGAGGGAGAGACAAGCAGTATTTGAAGGCCAGATGGCTTTCACTGATGCTTCCTACTTGGTTATTTTATAACTGACAAACCTCTGAAAATGCCACTTAAAAGTAATAGTTTTCAGTATCACTTTAAGTGCTTTAGAATCACACTCAGCATTGGATGTAAATGGTTAAGGAGGGTAGCCTCGGTCTGCTACTGCCATAGATACCTTTAATATACAGAAATTACACAGAAAGTGTCATGGCATTCTTGTTTTACCCAGTGAGAAAATCCACTGTTCAAATCGAAACCAATATGGAAATTACTCCTTCCATCAAAAGGAGCAGAGGACGAAAACAAAAACAAAAACAAAAACAAAATCTCCTCAGCTCCACAGTGATGACATAGAAAGTTCAGATAAGAAAGAGAAAGAAGGCTTTGGGAAAACAAAAATAAGAAAGTATTTCAATGGCATTCCAAGTAAATAGTGGCTAGAGTTTTGGCTCAATGTACTAGCAACACAGTGATAAGGGCTCTTCTCAAAGTAAAGTGAACTTGGAGCAAGTGAATGAGGAAACACTGAAAACGGGTGGGCTGAGAAAAATGCACCCTCTCAGAGCATGCAGTGAAGGCTCAGCTGAATTAATACAAGGAAAGGAAATTTTACCCCAGACTATAGATCACTCGTTTAACCTTTCTCATGAGAGTCTTCTTCAGTTGTTAGTGAGGGGGAATTGTAGATTTATATTAGACCTGCATTGTAATATAACAGAGTTTAGCAATGCACTGTGGCTAAGACAGCTATATAACCAACTGGATGTAGTTCTTAGTGATACCACACTCAGTCATTTTCAGTTCTGCTTTCCTTTCGTTTTCCTTTTTTCCTTCTCATTTTCTCTCTTTCTATCATACATCAAGTTAAAGAATGTCTTTATATGCTGCCATAGACAAATATATATGAACCAGGTAGACCAAGAAACTAAGTAGTACACAAAGTGGCCAAACCCAGTAAAAGCCTATAACTTCTACACGTTTTACACATACACACACACACACCACACTCATTTAATTCCCTCAACACCTCTACTCTATAAAAATTTTATGCCTCCCCTTTTTTTGGTTTAGTAAACAAATTCAGGTAGGCTCAGTCATTTGACCAATGACAAACAACTAGAATATGGAGCATGAATTTGAAGCATCAGAGTCTGTACCCTTTTCTCTGAATATTTTGGGAGATAATTGGTACAAAGTAAATAAAAATCAATATTGTCATTATTGTCTACTTAGATAACAATGCAGTGTCTTCATTCATAATGGATTGCAGTTCCCCACTCAGGAAGAGGACATTTTTTTTAAAACTACATGATACAACTGAGAGCTTGGAAGCTATCCATGCATAAGTTTTAAAACCCAGCAGCTTCATGGTTTCCTCCTTCTGTTGGCCTGGCCAGTGGACACAGTGGTCACGTTCCTGGCATGGAGATGTCATTCATGGTAGGTGTTCTTGAATTGGAGCCTAAGGCTCCAGGACTTTTGTGGGTTCCTCCAGAATCCTACATCCTTATACACTCCCACGGGGTGCCTGCCCAGGTGAGTGGCATGCTTCATGGTATCCTTTCAGACTCTATCACTCCTACTTCTCCAACCCTGACTTACAATATGACCTGGGGAAGGATTAGAATGTTGGTATATTTTAATTTGCTCCTATGCCAAATCACAGTGCTTATATTTGCAACTCTGAGAATTGATGGGGACAATACATAGATTTAGAATTCACATGTGTGAGCACCATGAAGTACTTTGAACTTCACTAAATGGGGAAAATACAAGACACTACATTTAGAAATTGTTTAGGAGCAGCAAATGGAGAGAAGCAACATTTTTGCTTTAAAAAAAAACAACATCACAACCCCTTGATTATGTGCAGCACACAATTTAACAGGTGTGTGATTTATTCATTTATTCACAGACTCATGGACCAACCATTCCATCACAGCACTATTGTCTGTGAAGCAAAACACATTTACAGCAAACTGTATCAGCTCCTCAGAGAGACTGAATTAACCCATCTAAAAATCCTTTGCTTCCGATTGAAAAAGAGGGTTAATATCATCCAAATGATGAACATAAATAAACTTTACCTCAGTAAAGTTCTTTCCATCTTTGGATTTCTGGGTCATCTCTAACCAGTGCTTGATATGAAAGGGGGAAAAATAAAACTTGTGTATTATTTTTAGTGGATAAATGGAATATAATTGTTTCTCCATGTGTATCTAGAATTATGGCCTTCTTGGGGAAAGTACTACAGCCCCTCCCTTCCCTGCTCACTCATCTCTTTTCTTGGGAGAAAGATGGTTTTTCTGATTGGTGAGACTGGGGAAAACTTGATACCCACTCTGCCAGGTTTCTTTACCTGACAAAGTTAAGTGTTCATGAGTCATTTCTCTTTTTCTCTAGGTCTCTCAGACCCAAGTGTTACCAGTGAAGGGTGTCCAGGTTCTTGGCGCTTTGAACAAAGAATTGGACAAAACTCACAAACAAAGCAAGAAAAGAAAGAAGCAACAAAAGCAGAGATGTATTGAAAATGAAAACACACTCCACAGGGTGGGAGCAGGCCGAGCAAGCAGCTCAAGGGCCCAGTTACAGAACTTTCTGGGGTTTAAATACCCTTTAGAAGTTTCCATTGGTTACTTGGTGTACACCCTATGTATATGAAGTAGTGGCCTGTGATCAGTCTGATTGGTTGGAAGGGACCAATCAGAATGCAAACGTCTGATTAGTTGTGGAAAGTGACCAATTAGAGGCTGAAGTGAAGTTACAAAGTAATACTCCCACGCAAATGAAGACTTGGCCCACAACCAACCTGATTGGTTGTGAGAGGGGACCAATCAGAGGGACTTTCAGTTTTTCACCTGCAATGCAGAAAAAGGGTGGCAGGTGAGGGGTGTTGCAAAGGGAGTAGCCTCTGGTCCTTTTGTTACTTGGGCACTTGGGCGTGGAAAGTGGGGGTTTTCCTTTTGATTTAGTTCTAGGAAGTCAGCGTGAATTGGCCTTACATTCCCTGCCTCCAGACCCTATTCTCCTGCCTCACAAGTGCTCCTAGGAGCTGTACATGCCTGTCTTTGTCCCCATGTAGTCAGCTCGTTACAGGTGGGTCCTGCTGGGTCTTTCGTTCTTGCTTCTCTGCTTCAAGATGGCTAATAAGTCCTGGTCCAGTGAGTCCCCAGTGCAGACATAGAGCAGAAGGGAAGTGGGTCCAGTTGCATTTCCTGCAGTTTAATAAAGAACCCTGTGCTCTCTGGCCCATTACCTAAAGCTGATATTGTGCTTGGAACGTGTAGTGTTATCCAATCCAGCTTTACCACTGCTAAAGCTGATACCACGCTTTGATCCTCTGCTTGCTCATTTTGCCAAGTTCTTAACTGCGTGGAACTGGAAGGTGAGGGCTGGATGATTGATTTTTCACCCTGCCCCCAAACTCCAACAACCGAAACCAAGGGTTCTTGAAGAGAGAGGGGCAGGGCAGCAACAGGGAGACTGAAACTTGGGGTGGGGGGGGGGCGGGGGGAGGGGGGCGGACGGAATGTTTTTGAAGTGTGTGTTTGCCTAAGGTGTGTGTAGAAAGGTAGCTACTTTTCAGTCTCTGCCTGCCTTTAATCCATTACAATGTCCTAATTAAAAACATTTAAAAAGCTACATTGGAAAATGATCCCTGAGGCTAGAATGCTGTTGGCACAGTGAAAAAGACGCAATCAATAAGTAAACAGGCAATGTCAGCCCGGAGAGCTTTCAGAACAACATGCCTACTCGGGGGAAAAAAAATTACAAGTCGCTTTAGCCTATTTAAATATTTTCCAAGATCTTTGTTAAATTTCAGGTAATAATATTTCTTCCTTTGAACAAGCGTTGTATGTTTGCCTTTGACTGAGAATGGCCTAGGCTAGAGACCATTTGGTATTCAACTTGTGACTATTTTAGTATGGGGCTGGACCCCAAAAATTCATGCTCAATGAAATGATTTTCACTTACTGAGATGAATTTACTTTTTGCTTCCTTCAGCAATTCATCAATCTAATGGAAGAAAGAGTAGCTATCATCATAATGAGAATAGACTTCTACGAGTATGAGTCAATGTCAATACTTTATTTAATAATGCAAATTCTATTACTATATATTTGGTCTCAATCCAAATTTGCTTTAAATTGAGTTTCCTTGCCATTGCACACTCCTATCTTTCTGAACACACACCACCCCACACACACACCATACACACTTGTTTCATTGCGCTTCATTTTATTGCACTTCTCGAAGAATGTGTTTTTTACAAATTGAAGATTTGTGGCAACTTTTCATCGAGTGAGTCTATTGGCATCATTTTTGCAAGAGCATATGCTCACTTCCTGCCTCTGTGACAGCATTTTTTAGCAATAACATATTTTTAATGAAGGTATGTACATTGTTTTTTAGACATAATGCTATTGCACACTTGACTAAAATGTAGCCTAAGTATAATTTTTATATGCCATGGGAAACTAAAAAAAGTGACTTACTTTATTGTAATATTTGCTTTATTACTTTGGTCTGGAACTGCCTCACACTATCTCTGAAGTATGCATGTATAGCTTTTCATAACACAGATATCACATTTGACCAGATCCTATTGTTACTGAACAATGTTGATGCTAACATTGATGATATCAATCACTATTACTGGAATCATTATCAACATATCAATAAATATTTTTAGAACATTTTGAAATTGTCAGCTGGGTTTTGGTTAAATACTTCTTGTCTGATATATTATATCCCAAAACAATAACAGTAGCTGAAAATACCAGAGAAGATATACTTTTTAAAGTAACATATTGTCATAACGTATAAGTATCAAAATTTCATACTGCAGCATGACTGACATAAAGAACACTTTGTTGTTGTTGTTGTTGTTTTGTTTGTTTGTTTGTTTTGAGATGGAGTCTCGCTCTGTCACCAAGGCTGGAGTGCAGTGGCACAATCTGGCTCACTGCAACCTCCACCTCTCTGGTTCAAGCAATTCCCCTGCCTCAGCCTCCAGAGTAGCTGGGATTACAGGCGCATGCCACCACGCCTGCCTAACTTTTCTGTATTTTTAGTAGAGATGGGGTTTCACCATGTTGGCCAGACTGGGCTCGAACTCCTGACCTCAGGCAATCCGCCCATTTTGGCCTCCCAAAGTGCTAGGATTACAAGTGTGAGGCACCACGCCCAGCCACAGAACACTTTTAAACCACTGAACTGATAAAGGGGCTATAAAACTCTTCTATTTCATTCTTTTTTTTTTTGAGACAGAGTCTTGCTCTGTCATCCAGGCTGGAGTGCAGGGTGGCAATCTCAGCTCACTGCAACCTCTGTATTCCAGGTTCAAGCAATACTTGTGCCTCAGCCTCCTGAGTAGCTGGGATTACAGGTGTATGCCACCAAGCTCAGCTAATTTTTGTTCTTTTAGTAGAGACGGAGGTTTTGCCATGTTGGCCAGGCTGGTCTCGAACTCCAGACCTCAAGTAATCTGCCTGCCTTGGCCTCGTAAGTGCTGGGATTTCAGGCATGAGTGACTGCACCTGGTCTATTTCATTCTTTATAAGCAGAAAACTCTAAATACTTCTAGGATAGGTGGTTCTGAGCAGTAGGCATCTATGTATTTAAGAATATTATGGAATCTTCTGGTTTCTCCAATCCTGTCCACCTATCTTCATTAGGATGTCCTGGGCGTCTCATGTGTTAGCAGTGCCGTTGACCCTTGAACAACACAGGTTTCAACTGCACTGGTCCACTTATACATGGGTTTTCTTTTGCCTCTGCTATTCCTGCTAAACAAACCCCCTCCTCTTCCGCCTACTCAACATGAAGATGATGAGAATGAAGACCTTGATGACTGATCCACTTCCACTTAATGAATAATAACTATATTTGTTGTAATTTTCTTAATAACATTCTTTTTCTAGCTTACTTCATTGTAAGAACACAGTATATAATACATATAATATACAGAATATGTGTTAACTGACTGTTAATGTTATTGGCAAGGCTTTGGGCCATCAGTGGGGTATTAGTAGTTAAGTTCTTGAGGATCAAAAGTTATACTTGGATTTTCAACTGCATGAGGGGTTGGTGCCCCTAACCTCCACATTGTTCAAGGGTCAACTGTAATTTCCCAGCTCCTGTTTCTCTGGTTTCTGACCTGCTACTGACCTGCTTCCAGCTTGGCTTTGTAGTCTCCTACTTCATATCCTCCTTTATTCCTTGAACCAGGCCTTTGACTTTGGGATCCCTTCAAGAACACTTGGCTCCTTCCCTCCTGGCTACACATACACATTGTTAGGAGGGATAAGCACCCTAGCAGGCTCTAGATGCAGCTGCTGTCCTAGTTTCTCTTGTGGGTGGATTTGGGACAGCAGGGATTCAGACCATAATGTGGTTGTTCCTCATCCTTCTTTACCTAACTATTAATCATTGGATTTCTTCAAGGCTTAGTCCTAGGGAAGCCTACTTACTAACCCTGTACGCTCTCTGAAAGAAGAAAAATCTACACTTATTGAGTAGTTAATTGAGTGGTTACTAAATACTGAGAACTATGCTAAAAGTTTCAAATGCAAGAAGCCATTTTAATACTCCCAACAGCATTATAAGGTAGGGAATAGTATATTCTCTGTTTTTAAATATATGGGAAATTCAGAGTATTTGAGTAATTTCTTCATGGTTGCACAGCTAGGAAGTAGCAGAGCTGGGCTGCAAACTGAGATGGCTTCATTCTAGGACTCCTGCTCTGAACCACTACCCTATATTGGCATTGGTTTCTATGGAAATCTTTAAGTTATCTCATCCACACTTTTGAGTTCAATTGCCATCAAAGCATTGATGACTCCCAAACTTCAGTTGCCTACTCAACATCTCCATTTGAATGTCTCAAGAACACTTCAAACTAACCGCATTGAAAAGTGAACTCAGGTACCCCAACCCCTTCAAACCCAATCTTCTTACGTGTTTTCTTCATCAGTGAAAGGAAATCATCTTCCATTAGTGGGATGAGCCAGATACCTCGGTGTCATCACTGGCTCATCACTCTGCTTCAGTTCTGTACCCAACCCATTATTAAGTCCAGTGATTAACACCTCTGAAATGTGTTTCAAAGCAGTCCTCTTCTCTCTGTCTTCGCAGCAACCACCTTTGTCCAAGACACATTATCTTTCATCCAATCTAGTGGATAACGCTGTGCTAGTTAGGGTTCTTCAGAGAAACAGGAACAATAGGCTATATAGACAGTCCTTGACTTTGGGTGGTTCAACTTAAGACTTTTTGACCTTACAATGGTGTGAACCTGTCTCAGTTTTGACATAATATAGTACAGTATTCAATAAATGACATGAGATGTACAACACCTTATTATAAAACAGGCTTTTTGTGGCTGGGCGTGGTAGCTTACACCTGTAATCCCAGCACTTTGGGAGGCCGAGGCGGGTGGATCACAAGGTCAGGAGATCAAGACCATCCTGGCTAACATGGTGAAACCCCATCTCTACTAAAAACACCAAAAATTAGCCAGGCATGGTGGTGGGCGCCTGTAGTCCCAGCTACTCAGAAGGCTGAGGCAGGAGAATGGCGTGAACATGGGAGGCGGAGGTTGCAGTGAGCCGAGACCACGCCATTGCACTCCAGCCAGGGCAACAGTGCGAGACTCCGTCACAAAAAAAAAAAAAAAAAAACAGGCTTTCTGTTTGATGTAGCCTACAGCCTCAACTGTAGGCTAATGTAAATGTTCTGAGCATGTTTAAGGTAGCCTGGGCTAAGCTATGATGTTTGAGAGGCTATGTGTATTAAATGCATTTTCAACTTACAATATTTTCAATTTACAAAGGTTTATGGGAACATGACCTCATCATAACCTGAGGATCCTCTCTATATATAGATGTATAAAAAGAGATTTATGAGGGATTGGCTCATGTGATTGCGGAGGCTAAGTCCCACAGTCTGAAATCTGCAAGCTGGAGGCCCAAGTCAGCCAGTGGCCAAAAGGCCTGAGAACCAGGCCAATGGTTTAAGTCCCAGTCTGAATCTGAAGGCCCAATAACAGGGAGCACCAATTTATGAGGACAGGAAAAGATGGATGTTACAACTCAAGCAGAGAGAGTGAATTTGTTTTTTCTCTGCCTTTTTGTTCTAATGGGGATCTCAAAAAATTAGATGATGCCCATCTATGTTGGTGAGGTGATCTTCTTTATTCAGTCTACCCACTTAAATGATCTTTTCTTTTGGAAATGCCCTCAAAGATACACCAAGAAATAATGTTTTCCCAGCTATCTGGACAGCTTTTAGCTGAGACAAAGTGACACATAAAATTAACCATCACAATACCTGGCTGGTCTCCTCCTACACAGCCTTGTTCCTCTTCATCTGCTCTTTACACGTAGTCTAAGTGATCTTTTCAAGATGCAAATCTGACTATATCAACTCCTGCTTCAACTCTTTAATGATTCTCATTGTTCTTAGAGAACAACCTGCTTAGCATGAGACCTTGCAAAGTCTGGCCTCTGCCTGGAACTCCAAACCCATCCAAATCTGTTCTCGCTTGCTCTGCGCTCAGGCACAGTTGCCTTCTGTCATTTGGACCTCTTCAAACCACTGCAGAACCTTTGCACATGCTATTGCCCCCACTGTTTGGAAGGCTCTCTACCCCTGAGTTGGGTTAACTTTCACTAATTCTTCAGTTTTTAGATCATATATCAATTCTTTATGGACATCTTTCCTGGCCCCCTCCCAGACCGGGTTAGGTTTTCCTGTCATATACCCTTACAACACCATGAACCTCACTGTCATAAAACCTAGTACAGTTTATAATTATGCTTTTATTTATGTGATTATGCAATGGCTGTCTTCTCCAATGGAATATAAACCCCATATGGGCAGGGACCAGGTCAATGTCAGCTGAGCAGTATATACCCTGTAGGCATTGGATAAATATTCATTGAATGTATTACTTTAAAAACACAACAAAGTTAATTTAATTTAATTTTTTTGAGACAGGGTCTCACTCTGTCACCAGCACTCAAGTGCAGTGACATGATCATAGCTCACTGCAACCTTGAACTCCTGGGCTCAAGCAATCCTTCCACCTCCACCTCCCGAATAGCTGGGACTACAGGCATGCCCTACCATGCCTGGCTAATTTTTTTTAAATTTATTTTTTTGTAGATACGGCATCTCACTATGTTGCGCAGGCTGGACTCAAACTCCTGGCCTCAAGTGATCTTCCTGCCTCAGCCTCCCAAAGTGCTGGGATTACAGAAGTGAGTCACTGTGCCTGGCAGTTAATTTTAAATATAACAGATTAAAGAGTAAAAACTAAATCTATGGTGAATGATAGATCATATACTAAATTTTAAGTCAATTAAAATGTTTCTCCATTCTTCTGTTGTGAACTTCTTTTTTTTTTTTTTTGAGACGGAGTCTCGCTCTGTCGCCCAGGCCGGACTGCGGACTGCAGTGGCGCAATCTCGGCTCACTGCAAGCTCCGCTTCCCGGGTTCACGCCATTCTCCTGCCTCAGCCTCCCGAGTAGCTGGGACTACAGGCGCCCGCCACCGCGCCCGGCTAATTTTTTGTATTTTTAGTAGAGACGGGGTTTCACCTTGTTAGCCAGGATGGTCTCGATCTCCTGACCTCATGATCCACCCGCCTCGGCCTCCCAAAGTGCTGGGATTACAGGCGTGAGCCACCGCGCCCGGCCGTGAACTTCTTAACATACTCTGAATATCTCATTGTATAATCCTTTTAATTTTCTCAGTGGCATGTGACAGAAGAACATGATCTGGTCTTTCCCTTCCCTGGGTCCTGAGACTTGTCCCCACTCTGATGTTTGGAGGGAGAGCAGGCTGCCCCAGGACACTGGCTGGCTGCCCGCTTTCCATCACACTCAGGACACTTCCCTGCATCTCCACCTTCTGGGGTTCCCAGCTTCCTGCCTTGATGTCAGAACCTACTTGACTGGGGCAACTCCTCAAACTCTTTTTTTTTTTTTTCAATTTTGTGTTCCTATAGGTTCAGCAGAAGTCGGGAGCTGGGGGTTGGTGGGGGCAAAGGGATGGTGGTGCTAATACCGATGGCTGGACTAATTCTTGGGTCCTGGCAGTAGGAGAATTTGTGAAGCACTGACCTGAAATCCAAACTGTCTAGAAGAAAGGACAGGAAATGATTGGATTTGCATGGAAGAATGAGATGCTGGTAGGAATCACTATTTTCAGTGTGTTTCAGGGGAAATGATTAAGTGCTAGGCCTACCAACTCTCATACTCTGAGACTAGCCCAGAAATCTGCATTTTAATATGCAGCCCAAGTAATTCTGAGGCATTTGGTCCCTGTTTTGCAGTTTGAAAAAATACTGGCATTCAGATACCTTTGTCTGGGCATGGTGGCTCACACTGGTAATCCCAGCATTCTGGGAGGCTGAGGCAGGTGGATCGCTTGAGCCCAGGAATTTGAGACCAGCCTGGGCAACACGGTGAAACCCTGTCTCTATGAGAAATACAAAAAATTTAGCCCGGTGTGGTGGTGTGCACCTGTAGTCTCAGCTACTCGCCACAGCACTCCAGCCTGGATGACAGAGCAAGACCTTGTCTCAAAAAAAGAAAAAAAAAAAAAAGAGAGATACCTTTTATTCAAAACAACATTAACCCTTATTCTTAAAACAAAAAAGCCCTACTATATTCTCATTTCTAATGACTTGCTTGGAACAACATACACAGATACCATCACAGGGGCTGATCCACAGTTCCCTTCCATTACAGTATCATTACAGTACAGTAATGGGTATCATTGTATTTTTGTGCTAAGAAGTATACAGGAGCAATTACCTGTTTTTCTTTGTGAGTCTCAAGAACACCTGCAGACTAACACCTGGTGTTCTCTGTAACAGGTGTATGCTAGAGATAGCAATGGTAAAAGAATTATATGATGTTAGCCTACATTATAATTTGCAGACTGTCTCTTCTGCCAAGTGGGTCAGTTGCGATGGAGACCACAATTTTAGCAGATGTGTATTAATGATTAAGGGAAGCATAACAATTTAAGAGTATAAGAATATGGAAGTAATGGGAAAGGCAATTTTCAACAGTCCAGGAAATTCATTTTCTTCCTTTCCCTCTATAAGTTTTCATCCCCTGCACTACTTATCCACAAAGCTTTACCTCCTCCCAAAGACTTTCTGAAGGAGATGAAATTAAGAAAGTTGTTTGAACAAGGAAAGCAGTTGCATAAATGATGGAGACACATCAGAGTTGGAAGGACCTCAGATAATCTCGTTCAAACTCTCCATTATATAATGAGGAAATGAAGGCCCAGGGATATTATGTGACTAAGCCAGGAGATAGGCAACATTATCTTTTATTCTGTTTGGAACCCAAAGCAAGACTGGAGTCCAGGTGTCAGATATACTTCATTATTCTTTCCACAGTACCACAACACATTAACTCAAAGAGCTCTAGGTAAGGGAAATGGTCAATGATATTCTCTCTACTACGATGGAAGTTGTATAACAACAGACACCTTGCCTATCTGGTTCTCCACTGTCACCTTAGCATTTAAAATAGGGCTATGCACACTTTTAGTGCTTAATAAGTCTTAAGAAGGCCTGTGCAGCTTCCACTTTTGTGCTTCTGAGAAACTTGAACTGCTTGTAAGTTCTCTCTCTGATGGAGAGTCCATGTAGAGACCACATGGAGAGGTGCACTGAGCTGAATAGTGTCCCTCCAAAATTCATGCTCACCCAGAACCTGTGAATGTGCCCTTATTTGAAAACACGGTCTTTACTGATATAATCAAGTTAAAATGAAAGCATACTGGTTTAGATAAAACCTAAATCCAGTGGCTGGTGTCCTTATGACCTGGCTATCTGAAGACACAGACACACAGAGAGAAGGCCATGTGATGACAGCAACAGAGATTGGAGTAATATAGCTGTGAGCCAGGAACATCAAGGATTGTCAACAACCACCTAAAAAGAGGCAAGTGGGGATTCTTCTCTAGAACCTTCAGAAGTAGCATGGCCCTTCTGATACCTTGACTTTAGACTCCTAGCCCCCAGAACTGTGAGAGAACAAATATCTGTTGTTTTAAGTCACCCAGTTTGTGGCATTTTGCTATGGCAACCCTAGGAAACTTATCCAAGAGAAGAAGGGAGGAAGACTAGCTATCCCAGCATTCTGGTTAACCTTTCAGTTGACTCTAGCACTAGCTGCTGTCTGACTACAACCATATGTGCTTGGTAAGTCTTGATATGTGAGACCTCACAGAGGCAAACTAAACTCTCAAGGACTGAGGGAATTCCAGTATGCAGAACTTTCAAGGGGGCCTCAGATACATGAGTGTGCTGGCATGAGACATCTTAGACATTCTAGCCCGGAGAGCCCCCAGATGACTGCAGTCACACCTATCATCATGTGAAATAGAAGAACCACCCTGCGGAGCCCAGCCGACCCACCAATTGTGATGTCAATTATTGTGAGAAATAATTAAAAAGTTGTTTTGATCACTATATTTCGCAGTTGTTTATCACACAGCAATAGATTACCAAGCCATTTGGGGTCTCCAGAAGCAGCTTCTGAGATAAGGAAGTGATTTGTTACGACCTGTCCCCAGGGAAAACCAGAAGCATCATGGAGTATTGGGACAATAAAGTGAAGCAAACCAAACAGGTGTGTTATCAAGCAAAGTTCTGGGGAGGGTAACTTTGATTTAATCCTACAGGGAGTTTTGGAGACAGTGTAAGTCATAACTCAGCATTACCCAATCAGGTCAAAGGCACTAGAGTACCTAAACTCCTTTAACTGTCAGTCATTGGTTAAGGGCTATGTCAGGGATACAAAAACTCGCAGTCACTTCAGAGAAGTGTATCCCTGGGGAACAGTCCCCATGACCCACTCACTGGGGGAGAAAACACAGGGGCATTTGGCAGCCTAAGGGAAGTCCTCCAACAAGGAGACACAGGTGCCAGTCTTTGGGAGTGAAGGCACACCCAGAGGCAGTCTGTGTGACAACGGTAAGCTTGGGTGACCAATTTGTTCTGGTTTCCCTAGGACTGTCCATGTTTAAAACAGAAAGTTCTGCATCCTGGAACTTCCCTCAGTCCTGAGCAAACTGAACAGTTGGCCACTCTAGAAATGGATCCCAGGGGTCACAGGCACATCCTGATAGTATCTTCTACAGCGAATGCATGAATATCTCCAAACTAGAGTAAGTGGGGACCACAGGATCCTCCAGAGGCGGGTCTGTGAGAGGCCAAGGATGTGGGAGGTTAACAAGCAGGCAATAACTCTTTTAATGATAAGAGCCTATGATCTGTGACAGGGATAAGCAGTTTCACACTGTGTCAAACACTGCAGCAGAGCTAAGGATGATCTGAGTGGGGAAATGTCCTTTTAGTTTGGCAATTAGAGGCATGGGTGAGAAAAGAGGCATGTTGGTGCTACTAGGAGCTGAGCTGGAATAGGAATCTCAACAGTGGACACATGGACACAGCATCATTCTCAGACAAGGATATAAAGGGAGTCAGAGCTGAGCTGAAAACTGGGGCTAGAGGAAGGATGGGGGACAGGAAGAGGTGAATTTATTGTTAGGATTTTGAAATAATTTTCTGTGCTTCAAAAGTATCATTTTTGGATGTTTTCTGAGAGAAAGGAGTTCATGGATAAAAATGTAGGTAAAAGGTAGTCCTGGGGTAGTGAGGCTGGCGGCTTTTGTAGAAGGAAGAAATGGAGTCCTAGTCACCTCAATTACAAACAAAGATGGTTTCATTTACATTAAAGTTTATGTAACTAACAGTATGGAAATTATGAATTTGTTAGCAGGAATCAGAACTCTTCTGTGAGAGAAGACAAAGGTAACAGGGAGTTTTCATTAAGGTTTATAGGTGTATTAGTCAGGGTTCTCTTAAAGGGACAGAACTAATAGGATATATATATTTATTTCATATCCCTGGCACAGCCCTTTGTATATCTTTATGTAAAGCGGAGTTTATTAAGTATTAGCTTACACGATCACAAGGCCCTACAATAGGCTGTCTGCAAGCTGAGGAGCAAGGAGAACCAGTCTGAGTCCCCAAACTGAAGAACTTGGAGTCCAATGCTCGAGGGCAGGAAGCATCCAGCACAGGAGAAAGATGTAGGCTGGGAGGCTAGCCCAGTCTCACCTCTTCACGTTTTTCTGCCTGCTTTATATTTGCTGGTGACTGATTAGATGGTGCCCACCCAATTAAGGGTGTATCTGCCTTCCCCAGCCCACTGACTCAAATGTTAATCTGTTTTGGTCAATACCCTCACAGACACACCCAGGATTAATACTTTGTATCCCTAAATCCAATCAAACTGACACTCAGTATTAACCATCACAATAGGTTAATGGATGGTTCAAGGACAACAAACACGAATTTGTTAATTTAACCTCAGAATATTAGATGAAAGGGGTGTTTTGAAATTAAGAAAGAAATTTCTATAAGAGAAACAAAAAGAATACCATTTTATTTAAATTCCACAAGTAAATATATGGAAAAGGCTATGCTAACAAGGCATAACACTTAAGGTAAACGATAAAGGGGTTCAAGACAGGTTTGGATAAATTAATGAGTGCAGATCAGTACCAGATTAACAAAGAAAGGTGCTTAATCTTTACCTGTTAATGAGAACAGATGGACACAGGGAGGGGAACATCATACACTGGGGCCTGTCGGAGGGTTGGGTGCCAGGGGAAGGATAGCATTAGGAGAAATACCTAATGTAAATGATAGGTTGATGGGTGTAGCAAACCACCATAACACTTGTATACCTATGTAACAAACCTGCACATTCTGCACATTTATCCCTGAACTTAAAGTATACTTAAAAATTTTTTTAAAAATTACCTGTTAATTTTTTCATTTGTATTTTATTTAGTTTAAATATTTAAGAAACATAAAAGTCTACACAGTGGCAACCTGCTGTCTCACATTTGTCCCACATCTGCACAGTCCCTGCCTCCCCAAATAGAAATTACTGATATGGGTTTCTTGTGTATTGTTTCAAAGATTTTTAAACATGCATATAAATAAGCAAATAGAATAACCTTTCTGAAGACAGGATGTTAGAACTGTTTTCTCCACTGTCATATCCCTGGTAGTTAGAATGGTCCCTGAGACACAGAAGGTATTCAGTAAATATATGTCAAATGGTTAAAAATATTTAACCCCACAATTTTAAACAATTAATATCATCTGACATAGTTTGGATGTGTGTCCCTGCCTGAATCTCATATTCAAATGTAACCCCCAGTGTTGGAGGTGGACAAGGTGGGAGGTGATTGGATCATGGGGGTGGATTTGTAATGAATGGTTTAGCACCATCTTCCTTGGTATTGTCCTCTTGAGAGTGAGTGAGATCTAGTAATTTAAAACTGTGTAACACCCCTCTGTCCCTCTGCCTCCTTGCTCCTGCTTTTGCTGTGGAATGCACCTGCTCTCCTTTTGCCTTCTGCCATAACTGGAAGCTTTCTTAGGCCTCCTCAGAAGCGGATGCCACTATGCTTCCTCTACAACCTGCAGAACCATGAGCCTCTTTACTTTATAAATTACCCAGTTTCAGGTATTTCTTTGTAGCAATGTTAGAACAGACTAATACAGCATCCTATACACACTTGAGTGTGCGCATCTTGCTTTATTTACTTTACATTATATCCTTGAGATTGTTCTTTATTGATACATAATTTTATTTATTCTTTTTTTTTAGAGCTGAGTTATATTCCATTGTATACGTACCACAACTTATTCAACCAATCCTTTATTCAGGGTTGCTTAGTTCATTCCCAGGTTTTTTTGCCATTACAAACATCACTGCAATGAATTTTCTTGTGTGATTTTTGTATTTGTAGGATAAAGTTTTCAGAAGTGCAACACTAGTTTTTAGGAAGTCATGCTATCCCACGAATGTCTCAGATAATGGTGACAGAATTCTTGATCAAATGGACCACTGATCTACCCAGTATGACACTGCGTATGTTCTTTCAGTGTTTATTGGGATTGGTAATGCCAGGAGTCTTTGGCCTGCTTTTTTAAAAATGCAGAGAGATTTTGCAGAATGAGAAATAGTGAGAAGCGATGGAAGCAGTGAAATTGACACATAGATGCTCACAGTGATGCTGAATGATCAGAGCAGAATCAAATCTAAAATCCCAGCTCTTGTGTGGCCATGGCTTAGATCTCTAAGATGGCTGTTTTAACTGTGAAGTTTAGGTTTTAATTGCCATAGTATAATAATACATATCTGTGTTTTAGATATTTTTCTAAGAACATTTGAGTACCCAGGCCTACGCATAATGGCTTCTTTGCCAATCTCCCTTTATCACGGACTTTCATTTTCATCATAGCCTTAGGGCTTTGATCTTATTACTTTTGGTCAGACTCTGATACTGGGGACATCAGGCTGAAATGACAGCACCCCACGTGGTTTATCTCAGCGTTGTTCCTTACGGGGGAGGGCAAAGCCGAATCAGACATGGGCGATGGTGCTAAAAGGAAACAGTCTCCAATTCCTGAACCCAGACACACAGGGCTCTGCTTCTTCTCACTGCCTATTTCCATCTGAAACGTGAAGCTAATGATACATGCTCCACACCCTTTGCGGTTGTGGTGGTGAATATTAATTAGATAAGCTTCAAAATGCAGTTTGAGCCTTCAGGCCCGAGGTCCTTGATAAAAATTGGGTTATAGAATTAGTGAGATAAAGGAGCACATTCAAACCATGACCATTTTTCATTAAAGACTACCTTGACAACTTCTTTAAGCCTCTAACTCCAATACAATACCTAGGAACTTTCACTACAGTGCAAATGTATTTGTAATAATCTGCTTTATCTTCTTATGTACTAACTGCCAAAGACAGTGGGTAGTTTATCCATTTAGCAGATATGTTTTAAATGTTCACCTAATTCTGATGGAGTCATTGGTCTCAGAGAGTGCCTTGGGCTGCCGGCAAGGAAGTCTGCTTTTCTCTGGCTCCACCTCAAACATCTGAATGGCCTTGAGCACTTTACCTGAGCCTCGGTTTCCTTTTCAGTATATCAAGGTAGTCATAACTTCTGCCCCAAGCATCTTTGTGGATGAATGGGAAATTCCAATGAGAATGGATGTACAAGGTTGCTCAGCAGAATAAGGTCCATTAAAGATTAATATTACTATGAGCATCTACACAGGTTACTTTTCAAGTTGAAAAGAAAACTGAGATGTTGGGAAACAAGCCCAGTATACTCTAGGCAAGGGCTTCCTATCAACTGAACCACAGACCAGTAACATATCTAAATTTTCTACTGTAATATAGCAAAATCATGTAGGCCTATTATACATGCATAAAATGTGTATAAAAGATATATATAAAATATGCACATATGGATATAAAATATAGGGATAATAGTTCAGTAATAACAACAACAAAAATCTTTTCAGTCAGTGCACATTGAACTGGCCTCTGCGGGGACTGGCTTTCTGTGCCCTGGCAGAGTTAGGAGATGTCAAACCCAGAGCCTTGCCAGCATGCATTGCATCCTTCAGGGTAGTCCTGTGGCCTTTGGTTGGTCTTGGGAGCCTAGTACAGAGTTTTATTATGAGAGCTCTAGGGACTCAATGAGAGGAAAACCACCTGTTGATCTTTTATTTTTCCCCCTGAAAGTGGATGGCTACATGGAAGCTGGTGGTGCTGGTAGCTAAGGTGATGATTAGAGTCCAGCAGGCAGCGGGGAGAAATGGAATCTCTAGATTCCATTTGAATGCCACCTGGGCTAAGTAGATAATGCAGAAGAGTAAAGCAGGTGAGATAAGAATTCTTATAATCCAGGGTCATTATATTTAGTGTTCAGAACTGCTACTGATGGTCTCATTTCAGGAAGAGAGTAGGGAGTGGTGAGGACTGAGGTACAATGGAGAGCAGTGTTCTGCTTGAACTGATTGTCACAGGTGGGAATGCAGGCTTTGCATTGTAGCATCTTTTGTTTTTTAGGATATCTTCAATCTGGATTTTTATGTGAAAGTCTTTTTTGAATGTTGGTGTGTGTATACACATACTCATACCTTTACAACCACAGATCATGACATGAGGCAAACTGGAGTGGTCTCCTTGGGGACCCTTGGGTCCTCTGGTGGTTGGTGGGGAGAGGGTGGTACCAGGCCAGGAGTGGGAGATGTGATTTTAGCTTAGCACTGCAGCAACATGATCCTGAGTTCCTACTTCCCCTGCTCTCCTGGAGCTCAGCCCAACCTCCAGGGTGGAAGCAGAGAGGCTTCTGGGCCCAGATGTAAAAATGTGTCACCTTCCTAGGGACTGGCAGCTGAGGAACACTGCTTTAGAACTGTTTTAGATTTCCCATTTGGTGTGTCCAGTATCACGGGTCCTCTTGGCCATAGGGAGTTAACATGTGGATAATGGAATTATGCTTTGGAAGCCATGTGAGTTTCTAAGATAGACTATATGAGCTGTATTACAGGAAAGGTGGGTCCATGAAGCGGAACTAATGGTGACTCCAGTAAACATAAACACCAGCTACTTCTGATAAGGGGGAGGGTAACAGGCCAATGATTATCACCTTTGCACTTGTAAAATGCAGTGCTGGGGTGTAATAGCTAAGCAACAGACATCTTACCACATGATTCTGGGGAACTGGCTTGCTCCAGGATTGGAAGGATAAGCAGTATTAAATGATTCATTATCTTGCTTATTTCCACTTCTTGGAATGTCCCAAATGGTAAGCAATGGGCGGGAAAGTGTTGGCCAGGGCACAGACTACAACTATGAATTTGGAGAAGGCACTTCTGCTCAGCCGATTATTTCAATTTTCTCACCCATAAAAGGGTATAGCCAAAGAGCACCTTCTCAATACACTGTGAAAGCTGATTTGAAAACCAAAGACTTGCTTCTTTTTTTCTCTCTCACTGTTAAGCCTGTATGTAGAAATCAGTCACACCCAGTTTAATCAGACTTGTTTCTGTTTTGATGATAAGAGCAAAGGACTAATAAACGAAGGCACGTTAACCCCTGGGAAGGGGAGAGTGGGCAGTGATGCTGGGGTGGTGAGAATTAATACACATTTGATTGAGAACCAAATAGATGCAGACACCTACATTATCCCACTGAATTCTCACAACTTCCCCCCGAGGGAGGCATCATTACCTTCATTTTCCAGAGAGGGCAGTTTTCTTTTTGAAGGTTTGTTCCAGTTACAGATCAAAACTAAAAATAAATGGGATACACAGGAAATGAGGGAAGAAGAGAGAGGAAACGTTGGAAGCTACATTCTTCTCTGTTGCCTTTAACTTCTCTGATGAATCTTCCTTAGTTTCCTTCCTCTGATCAGTCCTTAAGGGGAAGCATTTCCAAGCCTTGGTCCTTTTCTCAGCCTCTATTGCTGACCGATCTTATGCACTCTGGGATTGAAGCACAGCTTCCAGGTAGATGATTTCCATTTCTAGCTCTGATTCTACCCCAAGTGCCAGAACCGTGCCAGCCTGGCCCCCTCCCGGAAGGCTACCTGAACACATAAATGAGCGGGCTTAATTGTTCATGAGCAACCGGTGTTGTCAGGCAAGTCCCTCTGGCCTCTTCAGAATCCCAGTAAGTTTAAGACTAAATAGCATCTGCTGAAATTAAAATGTCATGAACATGACTGAAGGGGGCGCCTCTGGATCAGCACGCCTTTTGTAAAGCTTGTAGGCTGCTGAATGGTTTCTGAGAGCCACATAGAGTTTTCTGATGTCTCAGACTTCTTGGATCCCTTCCAAAAGTAGGGGGAATCTCACTCAGTATCCTTACCCACTTGCTATTTCCCTACCAGCCTCAGGCGCTAGGAAGACCATATCTTCCTCTCATTCTCTACGACCTGGCATTACTCAAAGTTTAGTATTTGATATCCTACCAGCTCTTCTGCCCTGATCCCTGGTTTGCTTACCCCAGATTGAAACTCTAGGACTGCCACTTCCTCATTCCTAACTAGATGAAATCATGGCATCCCTGGACAGACTTGGTTTTTGCCCTGCTGCCTCCTCCGAAGGAATGGAAGCTTGGCCATTGCTTCACATTTCGTTATAGTTTCTGGTCCAGTTGCCCCACCATTGCCTATTATAAGATATTCCCTTACCAAATATTGTCTGATGCTATTTGCAGCTGACTCATTGAGCATATCCATCTGGACGTTTCCAATATGCTTCAAATTCAACAAAATTCAAATCTAGTAGGGTCTCCTTCTTGACCCCGAATCAGGATCTTTTCCTGTTTGCATTATGTAAGAAGGGTCAGTGGCAGTAGGCACAGAATAGTGTAGTAGTCATCCATAGCTTCCGAAACTTCTTTGCTGTTTTTCCTCTGATACCGCTCTGAAAAGTCATGACTGGAGTCCTCTCTCCCTCCCCTCACCAGATCCCTCTGCCCTTTTCATGTGGGAGAAATTTCTAGCTTTGCTACTGACTAGGTGACTTTGGTCAATTTTTTCTTCAAGCTATTGATTTAATACACATATAAAGTTCCCTGCAAAATAGTAGCTGCTCAATAAAGGGTATTTACAATTTAAAAAATTTTACATGTTAACCATCTTGACTTACTATTGTCCTCATGTATCATGTATCATTACATTTCTCAGATTGAAGGTTTTATGGCATAATGGGTTCATATAAAGTCCACTATTATGTGGCCTTGGGCATGTTACTTATCTTCTCTGGATCTCAGTTTTATATCAGTAGAATGGAAATTATGCCTCCCTCAACTGCAAAATAAAAGGTGATCATATAGGTAGGATGCTCAGCACAGTGCCTGACACACATAGTGATAATAAATGATCATCAGTACTATCCCAGTGCCTTTGCTCATGTTAGTTCCTCTTTCTGCTGCTTCTCTTTTCCATTTTGAAAAATTCTAAAAGACCTGGCTCAACATATTTTCTCAACTGTGCTCCACTGTGCATAGTTTTGTTATCATATTTTATTATTTTATGCCTATTTGCTTTGCCCACTTTTCCTGCTTGACTCCTTAGCCTAGCATTCAAAACCCTCCACTTTGTTCTTCTTTTTCCCCCAGTGGTCTTCTAATTCTTTCCCTCCACCACCTGATCCCTTGATGCCCTTCCAGACCTCAGAACGTTGTGTCTTTTTCTCTGCCCAGAATGGTCCTTCCCATTTTTCTCTGCTACCAGGATCTTACTCATCCTTTAAGGACCAACTCTATTAATTCTTTCTTTACTCCATGTTAGAATTCCTTCTTCACCCCCATTTCAATAATACTGTGTTTATATCTCTATTATTAAACTCACCATTATAACATTTTAATTATGTACACAAATATTTCCCATTAGACTATGAGTGTGTGGAGGGAGGGATTGTGCCTTGTTCATTTTTGTTTCCCTCAGTACCCATTACTGTGTTCGAAATATAGTGGGTAGCCATCAAATGTTTGTTGTATTTGCATGACATGGATATACCATGTCACATCTGCCTAAACCAAGAGGCCAGAAATGTGATTAAAAGTGACACTTCTGGGTCCACAGCCCCCTCTGTAATGCTTGTAGGCCACTGAATGTTTTCCAAGTTCCAAATGAAAAGATGGTCTAAAATTTATCACAATCTCTATTTGAAATAAAATATCTAGTCACAGCCGGGCGTGTTGGCCCATGCCTATAATCCCAGTACTTTGGGAGGCTGAGGCAGGCTCATCACCTGAGGTCAGGAGATCGAGACCAGCGTGGCCAACGTGGTGAAACCCTGTCTCTACAAAAAATACAAAAAATTAGCCGGGTGTGGTGGCACACGCCTGTAATCCCAGCTATTCAGGAGGCTGAGGCAGGAGAATTGCCTGAACCCAGGAGATGGAGGTTGCAGTGAGCCGAGATTGTGCCACTGCACTCCAGCCTGGGCGACAAGAGCAAAACTCCATCTCAAAATAAATAAATAAATAAATAAATAAATAAATAAATAAATAGTCATGAACATAAGTATAGGCTAACACTTAATGACTAATGAAATCCAGGAAGCATAAGAGAAATTGGGTCACATACAAGGTAAATAGGTCAGTAAAACAAAGAAAAAACTAATAAACTCTGGCTATGATATCTAGTCCCTGGGTATTAGGTAGAATCCTTATTGAAATTTATGGTTGTGGAAAACTGGCCAGTTTCATTTTCAGCATGGTTGGGTCAGGGACATTTCCTCTTATCAATAGGAAGCTGCTATACAATTAAATGGATCAATGATGCAGTGAGCTGAACTAGTCTTTTTATGGTCATATAATGGGACTAGTGTGCATTCTACATTGTTTCAGTTGTACAAACATGATATTTGAATCTATCTTATAGGAAGATGCTTGGGCTGCTTTAGCCTATTGATTTGAGGAACAGTAAAAGGAACTGGTGATAGGAAGGCAGTAAAGTAATATCAATAAAATTGTGCAGGGGATTCACATTTGACACACTGAATAGCTTTATGTAGACTTAATGATTTTTTAGAACAATTTACAAATCTGCCCTAATTCAATTAGTACTATAATAATCTACCTTAAAATATGGTGGGGCATTCTGTTACGTATTTACTGCGTCTGGTTCTGGTCTGTGGAACATTATAACACTTGTTATCAGTGGTATGCTGGTAAACTGGCTCTATGTTTTGTTTTGCTTTTTAAAGCCTTGATTTCTAGTGTTTTCCTATTTCCATGATATAAATACAGTACTCTCGTAAGGGGCTGGTTTTAAAATACCAAAAGTTTAACACCCAGCTTTTGAGGTTTCTGAATATGTGACAGTTTGCTTTTTGGAGATGGTTAAGAGTGGCCTCCAGCACACCACTGAAAGCTATTGTAAATAATAAAGATAGTCTGCTAACAATTTAAAATCCTGAAAGTTTAGGACTAAAAGCACTCAGAATATTGTAGTCCTACCCCTAACTTTGTAGGAAAAAAAGATTAAACTGAAAAATAGTGACGTCCTAAAAGTCATGCAGAAAGTTACTAGCTATGATATTGTGATGTAAGAAATATTTGGTCTTTGTTCCAGGTTGCTGGTACAAAACTCCTAAAACCCTTGTAATTTCCTGAGTGATAGGGATTAAAGGAGCATCAGCTGTTATTCATAATAAGCCCCTTTCAAGCATACTTGAGTTCAGGCTGATGAGGTATCTCTTGGAGGATAGCGGGTTGAAGAACCATGTGATTAGACAGTAGGAACTTCTACCCTACCCTCTGACCTCTGGGGAGAGCTGAGGGCCTGGAGATTGAGTTCAATCATCAAAGGCCAATAATTTAATCAATCATCCCTATGTCATGGATCCTCCGCAAAAGCTAAAGGGGTTCAGAGAGCTTTCAGGATGGTGAACACATGGAAGTGCTGGGACAGTGGCATGGAAACTCCATATCCCTTCTAATACCTTCCCCCATGTCCCTCTCATCTGGCTCTTCATTTGTATCATATAAACTGTCAAATACAGGTGAAGTGTTTTCCTGAGTTCTATGAGCTGTTATAGCAAATGCTCAAATCTGAGGAGGTCATGGGAATCCCCAGCTTACAGCCAGTTGTTCAGAAGTGTAGGAGGCCTTGACTTGTGATTGGCATCTAAAGTGGGAGCAGTCTTGCAGGATTGAGCTCTTAATCAGTCAGGTCTGTGCTAACACTGGATGTTTAGTATCAGAAATGAATTGAATTGTTGGACACTCAGCTGGCGTTCAAAGAGCTGGAGAATTAGTTGTTGGTGTGAAAAAACGCACACATTTGGTGTCAGAAGTGCTGTGAGTACAAAAAATGTGTTTCTTTTTTTTTCCTTTTACTAGCAAATTTGGGATTGGAATCAAGGTGTCTGGATTCCCAGTGTATTCTATACACAAATCTTCACATAGGGAGGATAAAAGTCACTGGGCATGAATGAAAACATGACTGTATAATCTTGACTTGAAATATGGGACAAGGTAGGTGACAGGAGCTATAGTCATGAAGCTCTCACAGGGCTGCTCCAAACTACACTGAAAACCATTTAGGAAACCATGAAATTGGTTACCTTGCTCTTTGGTTTTCTGATTTTTTTTAAGTGATAGTTTTTAATATCAATATGTCTTAAAGTCCAGTGTGTATTAAGTCATCTAGGTTATTTATTAAAAATCTCCAAGGCAGGGCTAATATTAAGGCAATCCACAGGCCACACTGAGAATCACTAGTTTAGATCCTATTTAAAGACCCCTTCTGAGCTAAGATGCTTTGTTTACACACAGCCAGGGAAAAATTCTAGATTGGTGGCTCCCTAAAGTGCTTCCTAAATAAGCTGCATCAAAGGCACATGAGCAGCTTTTTAAAATTTCTGACCCCACCCCCCTCATTCCTACCCAAGCCGACTAAATAAAAATTGAGGGGAAGGGAGCTGAGAAATTGTATATGAGGGACTTGAGCATACATGCATTTCAGTATCCTCCGGGGGTCCTGGAACCAATCTCCCAAGGACACTGAGAGGTGACTGTATATATTTGTAAAAAATAATGGGACATTTGCTGATTGCAGATTCACAGTGTAGACAGGAAATTGTGAAGAAAATGAAACAATTCTCAAATTTCCCTGATTACACAAATTTTGTTTTTGCATAAAACTCATGGGAAGTGCTGACCTAGATAAATTAGAGGGCAGTAGAAAAATACTTCCTTAGAATTGTCAAAAAATTGTTTTACTTGTCCAGCAAACCAATGACTATAAAATTATTAAAGTTGCATCCAATGGACCACAGAATTTTGAGAGTGAAATACTATTTCAACAAATTGATTAGCTATTTGATTCAGAGAGAGACTGACTTCCATATAGAGCGCATAATCTTTAAGAACTATCATTTTTAAACTATTATTTTGAAATAATTTCAGATTATAGAAAAGTTTTAAAAAGTACAATTGAGTTCAGTATTTCCTGCTCCCACATTCCCAAAATGTTAGCAATTTCCTACATTTTTTTCACTATCCTCTCTGTATAT
The DNA here is from genome assembly GCF_000001405.40 of Homo sapiens. Lineage (NCBI taxonomy): Eukaryota > Metazoa > Chordata > Mammalia > Primates > Hominidae > Homo > Homo sapiens. The sequence goes on from NC_000003.12 coordinate 108,158,867, forward strand.
GTATGAATATACAAACACACATACCTTTTTTTTTCCTGAACCATTTGAGAGTAAGTTGGTGACAGGGTGCCTCTTTAGAATCAAATACATGTGTGTATTGTTAAAAGTATATTATCTTATGTACAGCATAAATATCAAGAAATTAACATTAATACTATTATCCAATCCACAGGTCTTCAAAATTTTCCTGTTGCACCAATAATATCCTTTATAACAGGGGTCCCTAACTCCTGAGGCCATGGACCAGTCCCAGTCCCATTCCCAGTCCCTGGCCTGTTAGGAATTGGACCACACAGCAGGAGGTGAGCAGCGGGCCAGTGAGCAATACCGCCTGAGCTCTTCCTCCTGTCAGATCAGCAGCATTAGATGATTAGATTCTCATAGGACCGGGAACCTTATTGTGAACTGCACATGCGAGGAATCCAGCTTGCGTGCTCCTTATGAGAATCTGACTAATGCCTGATGATCTAAGGTGGAACAGTTTCATCCCAGAATCATCCCCGCCCCCTTGCCCCTGGTCAGTGGAAAAATGGTCTTGCACAACAGGGGTCCCTGGTGCCAAAAAAGTTGGGGATGACTGCTTATATTATATATATATATATGTGTGTGTGTGTGTGTGTGCACGCACATATATATGCTATATATTATATATATACACATATGCAGACACACTAAAAATATTCATATTTTTTCCTTTCCTGGCCCAGGGTCCAATCTGGAATCTCCTGTTGCATCTAGCTGTCTTATCTCTTTAGTCTCCTTTGCTCTGGAACTGTTCCTTAGAACTTTTCATGACATTATTTTTGAGGAATATAGGCTATTTTATACAAATCCCTCAGTTTGGATTCATCTGATATTTCATGAGTAGATTCAGGTTATGCATTTTCAGCAGGAACCATGTAAGTGTGTGCTCTTCTCAGCAGGCCTATGGTCTCTATTTGTCCCATTACTAGTGGTGTTAACTATTATCACCTAAAGTGGTATCTACCAGGTTTCTATACTGTAAACAACTTTTTCCTTGTAAAATGTCTTACATAATTCAAGACTATGTAAATATCCTGTTTCTATCAAACTTTCACCTACCAATTTTAGCATCCACTGATGAGTCTTGCCCAAACAATTACTACCATGGTAGATGCCATGTGGTGATTTTCTAAATCCAGCATTCCTTTTACATGAGCAGGAAGACCTTTCTCACCTCTCCATTTATTCTTTCATTCATTTATATCTGTGTGGACTTGTGGTTTCTTATTCCATGTGTTATTATTTATTACTATGACGATTGACTTTGATGCTCAAATTGTTCCAGATTGGCAGATGGTAAACCCTCAATCTGCTGTGTCCTTTAGATACTTCCCATCATTATTTAAGTACTTCCTTTCTGGCAAAGCAAGTATTTTAGACTCACCTTGTGCTTTTCCTGTTGCAGCCCAGGAATCAGAAATCTAAGACTTCCTTTTTTTTTTAAAGAAGAGAATTTAGACATCAAGATCTGAGTGCCCACAGTTGTAATTGGGCTGTCACTGCTACTAGGCTCTATCAGAGGACACAACTAGGAAATATGTGTGTGTGTATTACTACATGTTAAATATTTCTATATTTCTATTAATCTATACTTACTTTTAAAAACCCATGAGTTCATACTGATGTTTCTAATTCTAATCCAATACCATAGGAAAAGAACCCATTGTTTTTAATCGCTATCTTGAAACTATACCAAGCACACAGGCTTAATGTCATTAAACTCTTCATGCTATAGAATGGGAGCTAGAAGGTATCCTGGATCCACACAGTGCCAGTCATCTACTCATCCATTTACTAACTCAATACATTTACTAGACACTTTCTATGTGCTGGGCACCTGGCAAGGAATACGGAAATAAAAGACTTTGTCCTATCCTAAAGTAGCTCAATTCATTAGGTAGGATGGAAGAAAATAACAATATAGTATAATAAGCTCTTTATTCAAGGTATGCACAGTGTTCTATAGGAAGAGAGGAGGAGCACAGAACCCAAGCTGAGTTAACTGGAATATTTCAGAGAAGGAAGTAAAAATAGGTGGCTTATACTACTCATTGCAAGAATTTTTAGATTTTTTACATGTCTGCATAAATAATGGGTGTACTTTGCTTCTGATTGAAATGCATTTTAAGGAGAGTTCTGATTTATCTAAAAGCGTTCTCTGCATTGATTGAATTCATCAAAAAACTACTCAGCCATGACAACAGCCATGAAAATAAATTCCCAGGACCAAAGGTTTTCAGTTTTTGTATTAGACTCCTCCCAAAGACCACACAGGAAAAGAGCAACTTCAGATTTTAAAAAATGCTTATTTTCCCATGGTGGGTTTTCTGCCTTTTTTTTTTTAAACAAATTAAATAAACTGGCATATTTGTCATTGTATTGATTGTCATCCTTTCAGGTAGTTTACATACACTTTCTCCTGTCTAAACTTATCTTAAACTAAAGAGAGGTCTAGTAAGGAAAGGGAAAGATCTGTGTATGTGAGCATGTTGGGGAATACATCTAGAAAGAAAAAGCTAAGAAAAAAATAATAATATTCAGTGGAGAAAAGTATTAGGGTAAAAAATAACTTTTTAAAATTATTTTTGTTGTCCTAAACATAAAGCATTCTTATCAAATTTTCTACCACTGCTTTTGAAAATTATTAAAAAAAAAAAATTAACGCAGGCTGTCTCCTGCTTTGTGTTCCCCTGGCCAGTTTTCCCCAGTGCTAATTCTGGCACTCTAATGCTGCTTTTTTCACCAATTTAGAAATCCTAGCCTAGAAAGTTGCTCAGGAAGATGCATAAGTAAAGATCATCAGTACTAGAGGCTGATCTTCATGCGACCTGTCATCGTTCCTTCTTCTACAAAATGGTTCCCTAGTATAGCCGATACCACAGAAAAAGGTAGAAATTGAGACATGCATATGCACCTTCTCTTCATTCTAAGAACAGAGTCAAACATGAGTGACTGACTTATCATCATTCATTTATCCTTTTATTTAGTGGCTTAGATCCTAGAAGATAGATTCCCTATAAAATCATTTTAGCCACGAAATATTCATAAGAAACCAACTTCAAATGTTAATGAGGATACTGAAGTTTTTTTTAACCTAAAAAAAGTGGCAATTTTAGGTAACCATAAAGCTGAGGCAAAGGCAGTTTGGGTTCTTGGAAAGAATCCTGCCTACCATCTTCAGTGGCCTCTGGGCACAAAGCACTTATGATCACTGCAGAGGTGGAGCAAGGTAAAGGACTGTGTCAGCAGTTCATGTTGTGACAGCAGCAGCATCTGCAGAAAACGCAGGTCATATACCTTGGCTTACACAAGGAATGCTATGAAAAATGAGCCACCAGGTGGGAGCTTTAACATAGGTAATGATTAGTGAAAGCTTCTTAGAAAGTGAGAATTTGTAATTTCTTTATTAAACATTACATTCAGTGTAAAGGCTTTAACCATCATAATCACCATGATATAATATGTGAGTATGTATATGTAAAAAAATACCCATTGAACATAAAATTATGTTTTGAAATCTATGCAACATGAAATATAGTTTGATATAAAAAACCCAACTAATCAGAAACATGAAAACCAGTATGTTTTAATAAAAGCCTGTTGCTGGTTCTGGAATAACTGTGGCATGCATGTTCCTAGTCATGTTGGACTTCTCCTTCAGCTTTGATTGGAGTAGTGTGTGTTCCACAATGCCAATTCTAATGTCCATCTCTACAGTTTCTTGCTTCAGTTTTGTTAAGCTCTGTTTAATCTTCACCAAAGGAGCTGCAGAATGAAAATAACATGAAATAAAAATGTTCATTTGGAGTATCAGTGTATTACAGAATTGTATGACATTTTCCTCACTTTGTCTTAAGCCCAAAATAGGGTTAAAAATATAGCCAAAAACTTACTGACATTCACACAGTTTTGCTGTGGCATTTTAAGCACCTGAGATTTTTTAGGATGGAAAAATGATGTAGTGTTTGATGTATTGAGACTAAACTTTCTTCCTTTTCTAGGGGAAAGAGCTGCTAAACAGGTGTTTAAGGATGTGTTCAAGATGATTTTATGAGCTAGTATATTTGTCTGTAGGAAAAGGAAATACAAAAGGGGAAAAGGGGAAGAGAGAATTATCTTTGAGATGTAGATAATGGGCCCACTTAAAACATATTGCAAAAAAAAAATCCTAAACATTCCCTTTTGCAAGATCATTCAGTATATATCAATAGAACTCTAGAAAATTTTTCTAGGGCATAGAAAAGCCTTCGGCAATCACTACTGGCCCATATCAAAGTAACCTGCTCACAATGGAGGATGATTACCAGAGGATGATTAATTCTTCTCTATTTGACCCCTGCCCAGTCAGTTCTACTGGGGAGGAGGGAAAATAAACTACGGGTTATCACATCACTGCCTTAGTGTCATTTGGGCATATACTTAGTGCCCTTTTGTATATAAAATAGAAAAAGTGAAGCTCATTTGATGAAAACAGAACACAATATTATTTTTTAAACTGGCATAACAAAGTACATATTTAAATATTTCCCACTCTTTGAATCAATAGTTTGAATGTTAAAAACCTCTAAATTATAGTTAAAAAGCCTACCCTTCTCAGCTGATTTATAAGAAAAACAGTACGCTGATTATCAGACATTTTTGTACAATGAATCTCTCTTCAAACAAGCAACAAATAATTTGTTTTATATATTAATACTATTTTGTTAAGTAGGTTTCTTGAAGAGCTATTTTTCTCTTGCTCAGTTTTTCCCCTAAAATGAGCATGTACTTACCACCATCAGTCATGCTGCTGCCCTTTTCTTCCATTTCTTGTTTTACCTTTTCTAATTCTTCCATAACCTTTCATGAAAACAAGTTTTCATGAGCATTACATTTTAATAAACTTTCACAATTTTTGAATTATGTGTTAAGAAAATGTAATTTAGATATTAGCCACACATATAGAAAAATAAAGATATTAGGAATATTTTGGACATAATTCAAATAATATAAAGTATGCAGATATACAAAGCTTTTCAGTTTTTCAGAATGCTCCTAATGTTAAACTTCACCAAATGGCTGTCACATCTGTTTTCTCATGTTGCAATATACTAAACACAATCAAAGTTGTTTTAGTCACTAGACACTCAAACCTCGCAATTATCTCATCGCATATACTTTGAAATTCTCTAATAACTGGTTATTAATTAAAATAGTATAAACATCCTGAAGAGATTTTAGATTTCTAAAGCTTTTCTGGGTATCTTTCTTAATATTATAGTTCTATAAGACATTATGTCACTTTTTCCTCTATAGGACACTAAAAAATGTTTATATCATATGGCTATATATAAGAATATTCTTATTGCTTTATCCAAATCATGAACTCCGAACTCCAAGGAGGCATACTTTGCTGTCACACTTGTTCCTATCTGCACTCTATCTGGCGATTATACTACTATAACCTCTATTATTAGCAAAATTCCAAACCAGCATTAATATAAGTAGAAAATACTATCTTTAAGAAATTGAAAATTTTTTACATGATCTACAACTAAGCTATAATTATTGTGACTTAGTAGGCTTTATTTTTATCATACTGGTGAGTAAAACTTTCCCTGGGAATAAAGTGCTCATCCAAGTAAAGCAAATTAATTTTTTCAGGCATCTGAAATGTTACAACTGGGGATAACTATCTACTCCAAAAGAAGTAAATGGTTCCCTGGACTCCCTTCAAGTGTTAATTTACCTAACATAAGTGAACACTTTACTTCTACATACTGTTTTATTTGCTTAGAAGCACCACAGGATTACAGTCTAAATATTTCTGATGTTATATTTTTAGTGTTTTAAAATAACTTTATTCCTCAAATAATCTCTATAAAAGAGGTTTAATTCTTTCCTGTCAAAACAGTAAAGTTTGTTCCAATTATACTGGATTGTAACCAAAGATCATCTTGGATTTTAGTCCCAAATAAACTACTGACCTTTTTTCAAGGTTTTTTCCTCCTTTGGCTCTTCAGTGAAAAATGGGAATATATATCAGGTCCTACCTCTCTTGCAAGATCATAAAAATAAATGCAACTATTTATTTTTATGCAAATATTCTAAAGGAGGAGGTTATAAGCCACTCCCAATTGTGGACAGAGAAATACACCCAGGATCACACACAAATTATCAATAACAGTCACTAAAAATAAACCTTATATCTTGCAGACTAACGTTAAAATTTGTTATAGATTCCTTAAGTCAGTGCTTTACTATTCATCCCCATGTTAATAATAATTATTATGTAAAAAATGTTGAGGAAAATTATAAGTGTGCTAATATTATGAGCAGGTTTTATGTTGAATTTAATACAGAAACTTCAGGCATCCTGTGGAAACAAGAAATGTATCAATTATTGATTCAGTCATAGGAAAATTAGGGATTATCTCCTAAAGAAAATGATTTAAAGGCACAGGAAGCAACTGAAATTAGCAGTGTTAAACCATTTGTAGGTTCTCAATGGCTGGGGCCCAGCTGACAGGTGAGAAGCAGGGCAAGAGCATCAGTGTGTACCTCAGAGAGGAGTCTGGTTCTTTCCGTCACTCCTCCATTTCCCTGCTGGTATCGCTCCTTTGCCTGAGAGGAAAAACATTTTGTTTAATGGCAAATTCAAAGCAGCAGCAGATTAAATACGACTGACCTCTTTGTGTTTGCAATTTCTGCAGGTCATTTTATGACAACCCTGCTCCTTGTTTGTGAATACATTTGTGAAAGTGACATTTAACTGTAGCTGTTTTATGTCCCTAATAGGCAGCATGTATTTAACTAAGTACTACAAAATGATGAACTACCTTAACCTTCACAAACTGACTGTGTACCTCGCATGGGCATGGTTCACAATAAAAACTGTCCTTGGTCATTCCTAAACAGTTTAGGAGAGGGGCTCTTGGTCAATCTAATTTGCATGCTCCGCAGAGAAAGTCCGTTCTAAAACCAAAAATCAATCAAAGTAGAGCATGAAGCTCAATGATGAATAAGGATTAACATCCCGTAAGACAGTACACTCAACTGGAGTATGTCAGAAACTAACAATCAATTATATAATATTAATATTAGACAAATACATGGTGGCTTTGATCAGAGAGTTTTACATCATTTTGATAGTTAAAATATTCATAAGTAATTGTGTATATGAAGGAATAATACATTTAACAAATAACATCAAAAAGTGTAGATTTCTATTTAGTCTTTGAGGACTTCTGAAAGTATAGAAGTATCTCAAATTTACTTCTACTTTTTTCTCTTTCTCAACTTTGTCTGCTGAAGACAAAAAATATGCCTTCAACTGATGTTTGCAACTGTCCTTACTAGCCTTCTTTAACATCAGAAAATAGGGGGCACAAATCCCAAAGGAAAGCTTTTAGATCCCTACTGCTGGGACAAAGAACTGGTGCTTTCAAAGTCTAGTGATTTTATTTTTTGGTTAAAATTCTAAAACTTTGAAAGAATGAAAAATTTGTCTCATTTTATTAATTAAACTGCTTGTCTCTGAATGTATCTTGCTTTCACATTCCTTATTATGTGGTTGTAAGCCAGAATGGCAAGGACTGTCTTTTTCCTTTGACACATGTAAATGCATACTATTCTTCTTCCTCCTACGCCAATGGTAAATTAACAACAGACTTATAGAAGCAAAACCAGGTGTCCTGATACTCTGTTCCTGTTCTAAGCTATGTTCCCCCAACAGCATATGCCTTCATTTACTTAAATCAAATGAAGACGTGCATTTAAAGACTTCCAGGAGAAAACAACTTCTATTACATGTGAAATGGAAATAAGTTCACTCGGCTCTCTTGGCTTCCTAAAGTGGGCAGAAAATTGATGTTTTGCTGTTCATGAAAAGCATTTCATGATTCTCAAATGAACAGTATTGTGTCAAGTTTAGGGTTTAGGGTTGTTAACTTGAATAAATCCTTGGAAATCATTCTTAAATTACCTCACTCAGCTGGGCTTGAGCTGCACGATATTCTTGAACCAAATTCTCAAGCTGATTGTTGATGTACTTTTCTCGGCTGCTGATCTTTTCCAAAGTCCTAGTAATTTCATTATGGAGTTTGTCCAAAAATCCCTAGAAATTCCATGGAATTTGCAGATAGAAGAACTCACAAACATATTTTTTCAAAAATATTAAAAATGGGTTACATCTCAATCCATTCTACAAATAATCAACTACATGTGCAAAAGAAGACAGCTTGAAATTTTCAATAGCACAAAATATCTGTGATGAGAAATATTTTAACCACACTTAGAAGAGTTTTAGAATAAAAATGCACCTGGCAGTGTTAGTCAATTCATTTGTCATTATACATACCATAAAATTTATGTGACTATAATTAGCATTATATAACATTCACAATCAAAGTAAGGGAATAACGTGAGTTTCCTATAGCACGATTCAAAGGTGACTGAAATATTCCAGTTGGAAATAGATCCCTAAGCCTATAGCTCTAGCCTGGGACACATAACTTTTCAGTCTAGCTTTGCTTCTTTGTGACATTCTCCAAAGTCCTTGTTTCTGGCAGGACAGCAAGCCTGCGGAGGCTGTAAGTTCTAGACCTTGCTGGTCTGGTGTTCTTTCCTCCTTTAAGATTCAGAGAGGAAAGGATGATGAAATGTTTCTCTCTAATATATGTATTATCTATATATTATACATATATATCTTATATATATACATATATATAGCTTTTATTAATATGTAAGTTAGCTTTCTTTAGTTGGTTTAAATGTAAGGTCAGTTGAAATGTAACACGGTACATTCAATTAGTAAGTTCCTTAAAGGCAAAAATTGTGTCTTTTTATTCTTTCATGTTCTCTTATAACAGGTGTTCCACAGATGAGTAAATGTACATTGATTCACGTAAAGTAATTCATATACCTTGGTCTCCTTTAGAGCAGATTCAATTCCACTTCTGTGCTGGTGCATTTGGTCAACATGGATTCTCCAATCCTACAGGCATAGAGCACATAGAAATAATGTAAAAAATACTACATTTCCATCTTTCCCTACTTCTTGTGAAGTTGTAACCTTTAATTACTTTGGTTCCTGCCCTATTTCAGGTGGGATAGCCCTATTTATAGCTTGCAATCAGATTATAAAGAAATATGTGTAGAGCACTTTAGGATAAAAGGTTCTAAATAAATGTAAATTATTTCACGTGTTCACAGAGTGATGTCTGACAATTTAAATTATTCCTGCACTGCTGGTGGTTAATATTTATGACTACCCATTAAAATGAAAAAAAAATTCTAATTACTAGAAAAGAACTACTTGTTTAAGCAGTAACAATTATGTTTGCCAAAAGCAATTCTGAACTCAAATATCATATATCAAAGATTAGTTTGTCCCTTGGAAATGAAAATGGGGCCCTCATCTTCATGAAGCCTTTTGAGTCCCTTTCTTAATAAAGGAAGTTTATAATGATTACTGGAGTTCATGTATTTTAAAATATCATCTATTACTACTAGACTGATCTGAATTAGTGTGCAAATTTGAAATCTACATCAACATTTTAATTTCCTACAAAATATATTAAAAATATTTCAGTTTACTACAAAGTAATAATTTTTTATTTTATTTTACTTTAAGTTCTGGGATACATGTGCAGAATGTGCAAGTTTGTTACATAGGTATACTATGTGCCCTGGTGGTTTACTGCACCCATCAACCTGTCATCTAGGTTTTAAGCCCTGCATGCATTAGGTATTTGTCCTACTGCTCTCCCTCCCCATCCCCCATCCCCCAACAGGCCTGGGTGTGTGATGTTCCCTTCCCTGTGTTCATGTGTTCTCATTGTTCAACTCCCACTTATGAGTGAGAACATGCGGTGTTTGGTTTTCTGTTCCTGTGTTAGTCTGCTGAGAATGATGGCTCCCAGCTTCATCCATGTCCCTGCAAAGGACATGAATTCATTCTTTTTTATGGCTGCATGGTATTCCACAGTGTATATGTGCCATACTTTCTTTATTCAGTCTATCATTGATGGGGATTTGGATTGGTTCCAAGTCTTTGCTATTGTAAATAGTGCTGCAATAAACATATGTGTGCATGTGTCTTTACAGTAAAATGACTTAAAAACCTTTGGGTATACACCCAGTAATGGGATTGCTGGGTCAAATGGTATTTCTGATTCTAGATCCTTGAAGAATTGCCACATTGTCTTCCACAATGGTTGAACTAATTTACACTCCCACCAACAGTGTAAAAGTGTTCCTATTCTCCACATCCTCACTAGCAGCTGTTGTTTCCAGACTTTTTTGATCACCACTCTAACTGGCATGAGATGGTATCTCATTGTGGTTTTGATTTGCATTGTTCTAATTAACAGTGGTGATGAGCTTTTTATCATATGTTTTTTGGCCACATAAATGTCTTCTTCTGAGAAGCGTCTGTTCATATCCTTTGCCCACTTTTTGATGGGTTTTTTTTTTCTTGTAATTTGTCTAAGTTCCTTTAGATTCTGGATACTAGACTTTTGTCAGATGGATAGATTGCAAAAATTTTCTCCCATTCTCTAGGCTGCCTGTTCACTTGGATGATAGTTTCTTTTGCTGTGCAGAAGCTCTTTAGTTTAATTAGAGGCCATTTGTCAATTTTGACTTTTGTTGCCATTGCTTTTGGTGTTTTAGTCATGAAGTCTTTGCCCATGCCTATATCCTGAATGGTATTGCCTAGGTTTTCCTCTCAGGTTTTTATGGTTTTAGGTTTTACATTTAAGTCTTTAGTCCATCTTGAGCTAATTTTTGTATAAGGTGTAAGGAAGGGGTACAGTTTCTGTTTTCTGTATATGGCTAGCCAGTTTTATCCCTGATGAACATCAATGTGAAAACCCTCAATAAAATACTGGCAAACCAAATCCAGCAGCACATCAAAAAGCTTATCCACCATGATCAAGTCAGTTTCAGCCCCAGGATGCAGGCTGGTTCAACATACACAAATCAATAAATGTAATCCATCACATAAACAGAACCAGTGACAAAAACCACATGATTATCCCAATAGATGCAGAAAAGGCCTTTGATAAAGTTCAACACTCCTTCATGCTAAAAACTCTCAATAAACTTGGTATTGATGGAACATATCTCAAAATAATAAGAGCTATTTATGACAAACCCATAGCCAATATCATACTGAATGGGCAAAAGCTGGAAGCATTCCCTTTGAAAACCGGAAAAAGACAAGCATGCCCTCTCACCCCACTCCTATTCAACATAGTATTGGAAGTTCTAGCCTGGGCAATCAGGCAATAGAAAGAAATAAAGGGTATTCAAATAGGAACTGAGGAAGTCAAATTGTCTCTGTTTGCAGATAACATAATTGCATATTTAGAAAACCCCTATGTCTCGGCCCCAAAACTCCTTAAGCTAATAAGCAACTTCAGCAAAGTCTCAGGATACAAAATCAATGTGCAAAAATCACAAGCATTCCTATATGCCAATAATAGACAAGTAGAGAGCTAAATCATGAGTGAACTTCTATTCACAATTGCTACAAATAAAATAAAATATCTAGGAATACAACTTACAAGGGATGTGAAGGACCTCTTCAAGGAGAACTAAAAACCACTGCTCAAGGAAGTAAGAAAGGCCACAAACAAGTGGAAAAACATTCCATGCTCATGGATAGGAAGAATCAATATCATGAAAATGGCCATACTGCCCAAAGTAATTTATAGATTCAATGCTTTTCCCATCAAGCTACCATTGACTTTCTACCCAGATTAGAAAAAACTACTTTAAATTTCATGTGGAACCAAAAAAAAAAACCCCATACAGCCAAAAAAATCCTAAGCAAAAACAACAAAGCTGGAGGCATCATGCTACTTGACTTCAAACTATGCTACAAGGCTACAGTAACCAAAACAGCATGATACTGGTACCAAAACAGATATACAGACCAATGGAACAGAATAGAGACCTCAGAAATAACACCACACATCTACAACCATCTGATCTTCGACAAACCTGACAAAAACAAACAATGGGGAAAGGATTCCCTATTTAATACAAAGTAATAATTTTAAAAGAGTAATTGAGAAATACCCATTGTAAAAGAAAAATACAGTAAGTTAAAGTAAGTGATGCAACTAGGCTATTTCTTCATTGCACATATCTGTTTGCATACCCTGATGCTCCACTTTGCTAACTACACTATTTTGTGAGTAAAAGGATATTTTGTGAATAGTCCCATTCTACCTATTATTTAACTTTGAAATGGCCTAGTGACTGCAGGGTAAGAAACTGCTTGGGTACTTCAAATGTACCAATTATAAAATTATAATATATTAAAGCTGCAAAGAGCCTCAAAAAGCATCCAGTCTCACCCTTGTCATTTCACAGATAAGCAAACAGAGGCCTGGTGACAGCAAGGGGCACACCCAAGGCCACATAGCTATTGGTGCACCTGGATAGAAGCCAAATGTAGTAATTTCCACACAACACATACTGGCAGTTTGACGTAAAGAAAGGGGGCAACTGGCTACCTGATAGTGAGGGTGCTAGAGTAGAAAACAAATCAGCACTTTCCTTTATCCTTAAGCATTTTTCTGTTTCATGAGCAAAAAGTATCGCAGAATTGGAGAGCTGAAAAGAACCTTAGAGATCATCTATCCATCTACTTAACAATCATCTAGTGTAACGTTTTCATTTTATAGTTGAGGGGACTATTCACCACCCGTGACTATGACTACACAGAGTTGACAACGGAACAAGGCCCCTCCAAGTCAGCTAATCAACACTGGAATAGAGAGGAGGGACAACTGGCTGGCCTTCTGCACCTGGACCAAATATGGTTGAGCCTCAAAATGGAAACCTATTGGAGCCCAAGTTAGCATCTTTATGAAAGAAAATGAACCTAACACGCATCATTATATTATCATTAATTTTTTTTGAAAAAGTACTCATCCTGCCTGGTTCCAAAAAGAATTTCAGAGGCCTTAATAAACACCAAGCTCAAGTATTTACATTGCTTCCCTCTTCCTAACAGTCTCTGTTTCTCTTTGCCTGTTTCTCTCCATATATATGTATTTAGAAAAATGCATACATACATACATATACAAATATATAGTTTTTATTATAATGGATATGTTAAAATAGTTTGTGTTCTGCTATTTCTACCCAGCATTATTTATAAATATATTTTTGCCATGCATTGACATTTAAAACATTTCGAGAGAAGCAACCATGCCTGACTCATTTAGGTATAACTACGATAGTGTACACTGATGTAAAACTCCATGGAGGGGCTGGTATTTCTGTGGAACCTCGAAGCATGAGTAGCATTTCAACAGGCTGCAAAGATGTGCGGAGGAAGCATATTCTTGGCTGAGGGAGTAACATGAACAAGGAAAATACATGGAGACCAAGCAGCCAACAGCTGTCTAGCATGGAAAACACAAAGTTCTTGGGGATGGGCTGGGGAGGATGGATCACAAGAAAATAAAGCTGGAGAGAGAGGTTCAATTAGATCAAGGGCTTTGCTTATAACAACTAAAGAGTATAGATTTTATTATGTACATAATGGGGAGCTATCAGATATTTTTGGTTTCAGTTTTAAAGATAAGTGTATGTTTTGAGAAAGTAACAGAGTAAAGGACTGATTAAAAAGGCAAGAGACTGAAGGCAGGTAGGGACCCAGTTAGAAGGCTAATAGTCCACATGATATAGATTAGCCAGGTCTGAATTAGAGCAATGCTTGTGAGAATAGAAAGGAAGGGATGCATCAAGGGACATTGTAGAGGCAGAACTAGCAAAACTTGAAGACTGACTAAAGTGAAGTACGCATATGGGGTGACTGAAGTGAAGGTGGGGTAGTAGAGACAATGTGTCTTTAAGGTTTCCAGCTTGAGGAACTGAGGGGATATTAATACTACAGTGTGACAAGAACAGCAGAGATTTTAGGGAAGTTAAAAATACTAGGAATTTGTGTTTGCACTTAAGTTTGATAAGCTACTGGGACATTCATGTATTTATAAAGCCCATTAAAGTGTTGAGCCAGTGATGATTTGTAATTACCTGTGAGGCAAATCTGAATATTTGTTTTATTAAAATCTTCTAGATGGACACATGCCTGATATAAAGTTAAAGTCAAAAAGTATTCTTACCCTAACTTCTAGAAATTATTCTCACAGAAATAATTGGGAATACACAAAGATTAATGTACAAGTTACTGATAAAAGTAAAACAGCAGAAAACTAAATATCTAACAGCAAAGGACAGATTAAATTAATTTTGTAATATTCATTCTACTACTAAAAATAATGTGGTATGATACTGTTTTTATAAATCTGGAAACCAAGTAAAACTCAGTGATACACTGTTTGGGGATACAAACATATGCAAACACACACACACACAAAGACACTGTATACAAACTTGAGGATAGTGATTACTGTGGGTGGGAAGGGGCAGCAGCAGAGGAGCACACAGCTAACTTCAGGTGGTAATGGTCTAGTTCTCAAGTTGGGGGTGTGTTTATTATTGGGCTTCATAATTAAAATTGCTTCTCAACTTAAGATGGGGTACAACCTGATACACCCATCATAAGCTAAAAATATCCAGTCAAAATTGCATGTAATACACCTAACTTTCCGAACATATAGCTTAGCCTAGCTTACCTTCAATGTGCTTGAAAGGCTTACATTAGCCTCAGTTGGGCAAAACCATCTAACACAAACTCTACTTTATAATAAAATAGTGAATATCTCATGTAATTTATTGAATGTTGTACAGAAATTGAAAACCAGAATGGAGGTCTGGGTGCTCAAAGCACAGTTTCTACTGAATGAATATCACTTTTACACCACTGTAAAGTCGAAAAATTGTTAAGTTGAACCATGGTAAGTCAGGGACTCTGTGTGTGTGTGTGTGTGTGTGTGTGTGTGTGTGTGTGTGTGTATATAATATAGTATATTATATACAGTAATATTAAACATTAAAATGTTAAATTCATGTTCTCAAAAAATATTTAATGAACAGCAAACATGCATGCTAACAACATATATTAAAGTGGAAAATACAGTCTCAAAAAGAGTATTTTCATTAGGTGTCCTATTTAGTAAAAATCAGTATTTGCATATATTTGAGTGTGTGTGTGTGTGTGTGTGTGTGTGTGTGTGTGTGTGTGTGTGTGTTTAAGACAGGGATTTGAATATGGGTACTTTTAAATTTCTTCTTTACCATTCCAGAATATTCTAAATTTCCTATAAGGAAATTGTATTACTTTAATTATCAGGAAAAAAAGACAAAAACCTTCTAGATGCCCAAGAAGTTCTTGAAAGGGGTTTAATATAGTTATAATGGAAAAAAATATAAATGATTATAACTGTGGCATTTTAAAAACATGAATATAAAAAGGCAAAATATATATCTTTTGAAAAACTATTAACATAACTGCGATAGTTAAAAGCTTTACAGAAGTTTGTGTCAAAATGAAGAAGAAGAAGTGGGTTTTAATGATATGTAAGGACTTGAAATCTATCTGGATCCCTGAAATAAATAACATTAAAAGGAACTGTTCAACAATAAGAGTAATTCTTACATTAGTAGAGAATCCATTAGATTACAATGCACTTTTATATGACTTCCTTTATTTGAGACTCCCAAAGGTTTGGAGAGATAAATAGATATTGTCATCTCTTCTTATACTTCTACCTTCTCTTTAAGAGGTTTATGAGATTTGCTGGCTGGTTGTGGGACGAGAACACTTTCCTGCTTCATTGATGCTGACCTTCACTATGTGGTTCTCTTTAGCCAGTGGAATGATGGTGGACATGGTCTATGCCAGGATTGTGCAGAAGCTGTCAGAAACATCCATTCATCTGCTCTCCTGCTCTTTCTTTCAGCCATGATAATAATAAGCATGCCCCACATAGGGACTATCCTTTCAGCCTGGGTCTGAGAGTAAGAAACATAGAATCTAGCTGGAGCAGAGGTGCAGCTGAAGCAGATATCAGCAGATATGTATTGTATGTGAAAATAAATATGTTATTGCAAGCCACTGTGATTTGGGGGTTGTTTGTTATGCAGAAAAATTAACTACATATATGTATTTTATAGTGAGAAAAACTAAGAATCAGATAGGCTAATTGACTTTGGCAAAGTTTTATGTCTGAAAAATGCAAAGCAATCTCAAAACAGTGTATTTTCCGCATATTACATAATGCTTTTTTGGGGGATAAAATAAACTACCAAAGAATTTATAAGATAAACCGAGAATTCTTTTTGCTATTTATCAAGTTCTTGCTGGGGTCTACTGGTCACCTATTCTAAAGTGCTCTAACGTGTTCATTAGGCATCATTTCTTCTTTCTACTGAAGATGAATATTTCACTCAATTTTGCATATTTTCTCTCTCAATGGAATTGAGAACACTAATACTACAGTATATCATTTCTTTAGAATTTCTATGTTTCAAAATCCTCTCATATGAAATCACATGTATAATGCTATCACTTATTAGGTAAATAGCAAAGGTATCATTGTAACCATAGATCCCCTCCCCACTCCAAATTCTTTAGCACTAAATTATAATATTATCTATCTCCCTTCTTCAGAAACTGAAAAACTGTGATGAAGTATCTGGAGATGGTGATTCACAGTACACCATAAAATCAAAAAGTATGAGATGTAGTTGCAGCTGTTAAGGTGACTCGCAAGACTATAAGGATCTCTGGGTTTTACTTCAACACAATAACACTTGAAAGATTTCCTTTGTGTATGAAGAGGCATTTTCTTTGTCTAGATCTCCAACTCAATGCTTAAAGCTTCTCTCTGAAACTGCAGGAAAAAGAGAAACTAAATCATGAGCTAGAGCTAGAGATGGTAAATGGAATTTACATCTATGTATCGGTTTCATTAGTTTACAACTTGTAAAATACCAAACCTTCTTTAAAAAAAAAAAAAGTTTGACTTTGCGAGTGGAGAGGCATAGTGCTAAAGAATTATTGATAGAAAAAAGCCATGGAAGTCACCTTCCCGTGTGCTGGGATGCTTTTTTCTATGCTCAGAAAAAACCCTCACCAGACCACAACTGACTGTAGCAGTTCATGGAGGTCTATTCGCACTTTTTGCTTCTCCCTGCAAAAAAGCAAGAGCAGAGCTCCAAGGCTCTGATGTGTGTTGAATCACTTTCCATCAAAAAACGTTACTTCTATCTGACATTGACTCTACCCTTCTCTATTCTCACTGCCCACAATTATAATGGTAATTACAATTCCATTATAATTACCGGTGAAACCTTAATTCAATGTTCTGTTTTGCAGTTTTATTTTAGTGAATTTAAAACTATTTACAAGGGCGCTTACGGCTCCATTTAAGACATCTGCATTTTTCTCAGGCCATTGTTTCAACACAGAATTCATTTTCTCTAGAGATTTTCAAGATCACTCTAACGTATGAGAAAGAAATCCTATACCTCCATTTCACAGATCGGGTAACAAATTGAGGTCATGTGATTTTTTAACATCATCAATCACAAAATGAATAGGAAACCAAGTATCTTTTCTCTCTCTTATAGGTTTTCTATTACATCAAGCAGCCTCCTTCATTTCCTTTCTTTGTCACCCAATTTCAGTAAGAAGCACAAGAAGTTCTCATAACTCTCAATTCAAAGTTTGTACATTAAATGAATGTTTATTATCCTGGTCGTTTTGCTAAAGCATGAACACGAGGGAAGGTTGCTGCTTCTAATCTTCTGCAGACAGACAATCCAGATAAAATAACCTTACTAGAACCATTACTAAAACAAGGATAAATAAGTC
This sequence comes from Homo sapiens, assembly GCF_000001405.40. Lineage (NCBI taxonomy): Eukaryota > Metazoa > Chordata > Mammalia > Primates > Hominidae > Homo > Homo sapiens. Next base: position 108,176,673 of record NC_000003.12, read on the forward strand.
CCAAAGAAGGATTTATAGGACTCTCCTTCAAACAAAATGCATAAAGCTTCAGTACAGTTTCTTCTGTGTTATCCACTTTAGTTACTTAGAAATTTTTTCTCTCTCCTTCCTTGGGTATGGAGTAGTACCTCAACAATCACATCCCTCCAGGGATCTTTTTAAATCTAATAATGATAACTATAATGTTAACATTCATGGAATGCTTAGTATGTGTTAGGCACTATGCTAAGCACTACTGGTAAATCAACACATATAATTCCCTTAAAATGTCTACTAAGATGAGGAAATGGACACTTAGCTATTTTTAAGCAGACTGTAAACTCACACAGGTCAATCCATGGTAGAGCCCAAAGTTGCAATGACCACTATATTATAACATCATTTTCCTTGATAAAATGTAGTAAAGTATACCTAAAAATTTTAAGTGGATAATGGTTAGGGGAGACTTCAGTTCACTTGTAATATTTGAGTTCTTACAAGAAGGTTATTCATATATTAATAATGCAATAAAAATGAATTGAAAACATTCTTAGGATAAACATATGTAATTATCAGTGTTATCAGAAAAAATATCCAGACCCCAGATGGCTTCATTATCTTCCCAAACATTTAAGAAATAATTAACAACCTTACACAAACTCTACCATACAATAGAAAAAAACGGAGAGCAACTGCCAACTTGTTTTATGAGACCTGCATAACATTATACCCAAACCTGACAAAGATCCCTAAAAACAAACAAAAATTACAGATCAATACCTTTTGTAATTACAGACATAAAAGTCTTAAAATATTAGCAAATCAAACCCAGTGATATGTAAGGAGGATAATATATCATAATCAAGTTGCATTTATTCCAAAATGCAAGGTTAGTTTAACACCAAAAAAATCAATCAATATAATTCAACACAAGGTGGGGGGACAGGAGACAAATTGTATAACCATTTCAAGAGATGAAGAAAAAAAAATTTGAAAAAAATTTAATGTCCTTTCATGACAAAACCTCTTGGCAAACAAGGAACACAAGGGAACTTCCCTAATTTACTACAGGATATTTCTAAAAGACATAAAGATAATATCATACTTAATGGTGAAACTGAAATACTGGAAGCATTCTCCCTGATAACACCACTTACACCCAAAATAAGACTACAGTTCTTAACCAGTATAGCAGGCAAGAGAAAGTAAAAACACAAAAGGCTCACAAAGAATGACGATTGATGTTATCTGCGAATGACATAATTATAAATCAGAAAAGTCAAAATAACTTACAGGCCTACTGTTTAAAGTGAATTTAACAAGTCACACACACACACACAGCTAGATACAGATATACATAAAAAATTGTATTTCTATATACCAGCAACAAATAAACATAAAATATATTTAAAAGAAACCATTTTCAATAGTATCAAATAACAACAAATAGACTAAAGTGATAAAATACAGAGTACAGATACAGACTCACACATACATGCTCACTTGATTTATGACAAAGCAGTGTACTGGTGAAAGAATAACCTTTTCAGTAAACTGTCTGGGTTGGTTGTGTATACATATGAAAACCAAGTAAGTCTTGAGTTCTACCTCACAACCATACACAAGAATCAAACTTAGATGGATTGCAAATCTTCTGAAGGGCAAAACAATAAAGCTTAAAAAAGAAAACAGTCTGAGAATATCTTCATAATATTGGGGTAAGCAAAGATTTCTTAAAACATAAGTATTAGCCACACTTGCTCCCCCCAAAAAAAATCATTTTGAGTATATTAAAGTTAAGTCACTGTTTATCATAATACAAAAAGGAAAAGGACAGCTAGAGTAGATATTTGCAGTACACATATCTGACAAGGGATTCATATCCTGAATATATAAAGAACTTCTATAAATCAAAAGGAAAAGCAGATGGCCCGATGGCTAAACACAAAAGAAGATATCCAAAAGCTAAATAAGCTTATGAAAAAGTGGCTCAACCTCATAAGTCAACCGGGAAATGCAAATTAAAATGACAATGAGATATCATAACATACCTACCACAATGATTAAAATAAAAAAGATTAAAACACTACTGAATGTTGACAAAGATATGAAGCAATTGGAACTTCACACAGTGCTGGCAGGAATATAATTTTTATCCACTTTCAAAATTTATTTGGCAGAGTCTACTACAGCTGATCACATACTTACACCATGACCTAGCAATTCCACTCCTAGCAGAAATTCCAGTAGAAATGTGTACATTCCAGTAGAAATGTGTACATAATGCTGCTATGAAAATTCTTCTATGTGTTTTAGCATATAGAAGAATTTTCATAGCAGCATTATGCATAATAGTCCCAAACTGGAAATAACTCACATATACTCAGATGCAGGAAGGATGAGACCTTGAGTTAGGCAAATCCGCCACTGAAAGAGTGGAGAGCTAGAGGCTGTCTGCTGACCATACTTTCTGTAGCTGGGCAGCAAGGCCCTGGGGGATCTGGATAACAAACTCTATTTCAACCACAGGGAGAGACTCAGTTATTAGATTTTTAATTTTAGTTGCAGTGGTAGAAAGGTAGGGCCAAGTGAGAGCTATATTCCAAAAGTGACAAGTCTTGAGATTTCCTGTGACATGTCTAAAAACTCATCTAGGGTCAACAATTCTTTGCAAATCTGAATGGCAGAAAATCAGATTAAGTAAAAGGGGCAAGGAAAATACCATGATAGAAGGAGGTGCACATATCTAAGTTTACTCTAGGAAATACTTCTCGGACAAAAATCTATAAATTATCATGCTTTCTGCAAGGATATGAGCAGCATATTTCTGTCCTCCACAGAAAATCCTCCCTTCCCTAATAAAAGAACATTATCTGTATTCTCTTTTTGCCACTTGGCACAAGCAGATTTGCAATCTCTTCTTTTTCTCATTCGCAGAGTTTCTCATTTCATTACTGCCCCCGTTTGTGTATCTATTTGTGTATGTGAGTGTATATGTGTGAGAGAAAGAGCAAAAAAGAGAGTGAGACTGTCTATTCAATTAAATAACTTTTTAAAAATGAGATTGAATAACTTTTCTAATGAAAAATGCCCACTAGGTTGCAGGATAATTATAGAATGTGGCTTTCCTAAATTTTTAAATCTGACATTTTTTTCTTCCATTGCCAGCAGCTTAAAGTCTTCTATGGTACACTCTTGTGGTGTAAAAGCATAATTTTTATTTTTATGCGTTAAAGAACTACACATATTACTTTAAAAAAGTATCTATGTGTGGTATATATTGTGGTGTATTTGTTGCAGGCAATGTGGGAATAATCATGATCGCTGGAAATATGTGTTTCCTCAGGGATGTTCCTGCTTTCTAGAAATTCATCTCATTGTAGAGAAAAATAAAACACTGTACATCATCGGTAAGGAAGGCTATGATAATCACTGGTATTCTCACACCTACCTATCACAGAATTGAAACTGGAGATCTATAACCTCTAAATATAATACCTTTTAGTGAAATAATTACATTTCTAACACGCTCGAAGGCTATCTTTACAAACTACCATCTGTTACTAAAGAGTTTTCATATGTTGACTCAGACCTATTATTTATGCTTACTCCATTAACACCCCTTTCATATGGCCACATCGATCTTCTGTGTGAGAGTTTCCAGGCTTTAGAAGGAGTTACAAGCAAAGAGAAGAGATTTGGCAAGTCAGACAGGGAGTGAATCAGGCCTCTGTGAGAATGTGGGAACACCCAGAGGCCAAATCAGAATTTAATTATTTTATAAGATGCTGAGTAACCACAGTGGAACACCAGAACAGGTGACCCCAATAGTACTCCCACCTTCAGGAATGTATGAATCAAAACTTGGATCTCATACTGATAAAACTCCCCACTTCCTCCCAGCTCAAAAAACTCTAAAAAACAAGAGTTAACTCCTGCATATTTGAAAAACCAAGAAACATAAATTGTTACTTGGTAGAAGGAAACAAAATCAAATAAATGGGATAAAAACCATAGGCGTAAAATTTGTTAGAATATTAAGAAATTTTTAATAAAACTCAGTGATAGAACTACTCTAATATAATTGATTAGAAAAATGAGTCAAGCCAATAAAAAGTATATTTTATAGCAAGGTCCATATGACAAAGGCTTTATGCTTCAATTCATAGTTCATATTAAGTAATTTTAAAAAACAAATCATTCTTTGCAATCATAAAATATTTAGGTAGTCTAGAAATTTTAATTATAATCAATGTGTATTAATTCACTGCTTTCAATCACAAATATCTAGTTGAGGTATATCAACAGTGAGGCATTAGCAACTTCCCTCTGCAGTATTTATATAACATGAAGTCTATTGGTTATTTCCTTAAAATCTGCTACCACTCTTGATGCTCTTTAGTTACAACTTACGGTAATCTCTAAAGCAAAAACAGTCATTCTCTTATTTCAACTTGTGATAAACGGAACCTTTCTCTGATCCAGTTGAAACATTTATCACACTCAGGGTAAATAGGAAGGCAGGCATCATCAACTATCTTTAAACACAGAATATCCTGAATGTTCAACAAGACTATGACAGAAGCAACTAAAAATCTTTTTTAGTTGCTAAGAATAGCTAGGTTTTTCTCCACCCCTTTACTGTATTTTTACATGTATAATTTTAAGCACAATATTCCCACAACTCTGATACCTGTCCAGGATCCACATGAAACAAACAAACAGCTGACCTTGCAATACAACTTTAAGTCCACAAAATAACACTTGTTTAAAAATACAACAGCCCAAAACAACATTCTGTTTTATGTAGTCTCTCTTAAAGAAAGCTTGTCTGTAAAAGTCCATCAGTGAATAGTTCCCCTCGTTCTCTGAGATGTCATGGCAGTTGAGTAATCATACAAGCTGCTCTAAAAATGTATGTGTGTCTAGTTAATTTAGGCAGTTTATTTTAATAGCATTCACCTCTTTTTGATTATAGCAGGTGTTTCAAGGATAAATTTGCTGAAAATTGTATTTTGTTTAAACAGCAGCATGTACATTTATGGCCTTACTATATTAAAAAGCATTTATTGTCTGGCAGCAATAGATACAATTACAAACATTTGTGACAGTAATTGGAGCTATTATTCCTGCATTGAGCCACGTGGAGACCGACTTATTGCCACCTGTATTTACATTTGTTACTGGTAATTGTAAAAGCTAATTTTTTTTATTTGGCACCTTGTTTTTCTTTAAATTACGTGAATATTTCTCAACAGAGGTCTACCAGAAAATCTGTAAGAATTATAACTGTAGTTTCTCCATTATTCAAATAACAGGCAGAGTCCCATTTTAATAACGATTATATACATAAAACGTATTCCCATATTCTAGGCCACAGTTTATATATATTTTTGCTCATGGATGCAAGGATCCTATCAATATATCCTAACTAACAACCAGAGTATAAGTCTTAACAAAGACTCTTCATTCCTAAATTATAACAATTTATAAATCCCTGCAGGTCAAAAATATTTAGAGAAGCTAAATTTTATTAATACCCACTTATACTGCATCCATGGCAGAAGGTCAAATCAAGTTACTCTCTCCACTGCTTTGGAATGAGGGGGAAAAAATCCTCTATTGTTTCTAGAGGATACAGATTTGTCTATAATATGAGAACGCCTACCACTGTAAATTTCTGCAGGATTTGGCTTCCAATTCTAAGAGACTTAGATCTAATATAGCAATTCTGTGGTCCCTCCAGGTTCATTCAAATGGAATTCTACCTGCTGATTAAAGGAGGCCTCTCTTCTCCCTCTCAGGTTTTGGCTCTCACTGTGACTAGAGAGGCCCAGGGGTTCAAGACTATTGCAATGATTCCATCCTTAGCACAATGACTCTTCCAGAAATGTTTCCTGCTGTGAATCACTCAAGGCAACGCTTATACAGTTTATTTATGTTAAACCAAAATCCAATGGCTTGGAGTTGAAATTTAAAGTTTAAGGTTCTTTTTACAACTGCACTCTAAGTCAGACACTAAATGAATAGGTAAGTATTAAAAAAAGCAGTTCAGTAAGTCAAAGGTTTGAGATAATTAGAAAAACATACTGTAATACTTCCAAGGCCTTTTAAAAATAATCTCTTTATCTAAATTTCTTGTAATGAATCTGAAGATTTACATAATTATTAATACTAGAGACATTTTGGTGGAATGAAGGGGATACCTACCCAACTATCTTTTAAAACAACAAAGTAAGAAACATTTAATTATAATTTGGAAAAAATCTACTTAAGTCATTAATCAAAATTCTAATTACAATATCCACAGGGCATTAAAGCATGTTAGAACATTTTTTCATTGCATTAAATGCCTAATATTAAATCACTATAACACACAATCATTTAGTAATAAGTACTGCATAATTGAAGAAAAGGGCCTAAGTAGGGTTTAGTTGAAAACTGATTTCACACTTTCTGCTCTTCCTTATTTCTAGAGAACAAGAATAAATATTATTAATGATTATTTGGTTTCCATTGTGATTTAAAAAAAACTTGCCTTGAAAAAAAATCATGCTCTTCATGAAGAATAATAGGATTGATGACTTTAGAAGCCACTTTCCTTTGGGTCAATACATGAAGTTGAGACACTAATTGTACAAATAAACAACAGACAACAGCCAGCTCATATACAAATATATAACTCTGACCCACAATCTGCAGCAGCCAGACCGGGAAGCAAAACCACAGCCTCTGTAGCAATCAGCCCCAAACAGGGTTTAATCAATGACTGCTGGCTTCCCCACTTTTGTGTGCCACCCACTTTCAATGTAGGACCAACCAGACCAAGCCAAATATCCTCCCCTCCCTTAACCAGCCAGTCACATATTATACCCTGCTTCTAGTTTAGCCCACCTGAAGATTACCAGCCATATCTGAACATATAGTAAATCTTCCCTTTTTTCCACTAAAAATCATTTAAATTTTCCTACCTGCTTTTGAGTCTTTGCCAAACACACATGACGGTGGCTGACACCCTTGCTATACAGTAAGCTTTGAATAAATAGCCTTTGCTTGGTCTCACTTGCGTGGTCTCCATTTATTTTAACAAAGTCTAAGGTTTGCTTTTTATAGTAAAAACTCAAAAAGAATATTCTTCCTCAAGAAACAGCATTAAATATTTCTTTAGCAATTTAAAATTAATCAAAATTACAGAAAGTAAAAATTTATATGAATATGCATTCACCTTTTCTATTTCTCCAGAAATATGGAACATGGAGAATTCTTTGGCAGCTCAGCTTCAACTATTGTTATATTCAACTCAGCAACTTTCAATTGATTCATGTAAAAATTTAAAAAGTTTATATGTTACTATAAGGAATTTAAAATTTTTTAATTATGTAGGAAAGTATTATCCTTCAATAATTGTCCTAAAGTACTACTCTAGTTTAGGCATCCTCAGACAGTCAGTTTCTAAGAAATGGACTCCTGAGCCATACTCATTAGGTCATAACCGAGGCATTGCTAAAGTGGCATGAGCTAGGATTTGGCTGATTTTTACTTCCTTAGCAGAATTTCTGGCTGCATCTTTAGACACATTATTCCAACTTGAGGCAGATCTGAATTGTTCTCTGGATACATAACCACCCTAGAAGTGCAGCTGTCCCTTAAACAACACTGGTTTCAACTCCATGGGTCCACTTATATGCGGATTTTTTTCAATAAATATACAAAAAAATTTTCTAGAGATTTGCAACAATTTGAAAAAACTTGCAGATGAACCACACAGGCTAAAATATTGAAAAAATTAAGAAAAAGTTAGGTATGTTATAAACACATAAAATATACATAGATACTAGTCTATGTTATTTACTACCATAAATATACAAAAAAAACTATTATAAAAAGTTAAAGATTACCAAAATTTATGCACACAAACACAGACTGTATGTGGCACCATTTACAGTTGAGAGAAATGTAAACAAAGGTAGATATGCAGTATTAAATCATAAGTGTATAAAATTAACTGTAGTACAATCTGTACTACTATAATAATTTTGTAGCCACCTCTTATTATTGTGATGAGCTCAAGTGTTGCAAATATTGCTTAAAATGTGTGAGGTTAATCATGTCCAAGTGAGCAGTTAGTCTCTATAGTAAATTGTGTATCACAGTAAAAAGTTATTTCTTGAGGTTTTCGTGTACTTTTCATGTTTAGTGCAATATCTTCAAGTATTTTTCATGTTTAGCATAAACCCTGAATAACACCATGGGACCTATACAAATGTCACTTGCAATGCTGGAAGTGCTTCCAAGAAGTAGCGAAAAGTCCTGACATTACAATAAAGAGATGAATTGCTTGACATGTACTGTAGATTGAGGTCTGCAGCTGAGGATTCTTGTCATTTCAAGATAAATGAATCCAGCATAAGAACCATTATAAAAAAAGAAAATTCAGGAAGCCATCACTGCAGCTATGACAGCAGGCACAAAAACCTTTCGCTTTTTGCAAAATACTTTTTCTCTTATACTGAAAATGCAGCTTTTATGTGGGTGTAGGATTTCTATAAGAAAGACATACTTATAGCCTCCATTATGATTCAAGAAAAAATGAAGATATAATACGACAATTTAAAGCAAAAGGAGGGTGAAGGATCTAAAGCTGGAGAATCTGATGCCAGCAAAGGATGGTTTGATAATTTTTGAAAGAGGTTTGGCTTTAAGAAATGTCAAGATAACAGGAGACTCAGCTTCTGATGACTAAATGGCAGAAGATGAGTTCCTAGGTGCCATTAAGAATATCACTGTGGAGAAAAGATATCTGCCTAAACAGGTTTTTAATGCAGACTAAAGTGCCCTGTTATGAAAAAAAGAAAAAGTGCCACGAAGACATTTATTACTAAGAGATGTGAGCACTAGGATTTTTTTTTTTTTTTTTTTTTTTTTTGAGATGGAGTTTCGCTCGTTGCCCAGGCTGGAGTGCAATGGCGCAATCTCAGCTCATCGCAACCTCCCCCTCCTGGATTCTAGCGATTCTCCTGCCAGCACTAGGATTTAAAGCAGGAAGGGATAAGCTAATTCTACTATTTTATGCAAATATAGTTGGGTTTATGATTAGGACTGCCCTTATTTATAAACTGCTAACCCCTGAGCCTTGACAGGAAGAGATAATCACCAGCTGCCAGTCTTTTAGTTGTGCAAGAAAAGGGCCTAGACACTGAGAACCCCTTTTCTGGACTGGTTCCATCGATGCTTTATCCCTGAAGTCTGGAAGTACCTTGTTAGTAAGGGACTGCCCTTTAAAGTTTTTTGATATCGGACCATGCCCCTGGTCACCCAGAACCCCATGACTTAAACATCGAAGGCACTGAAGTGGTCTAGTTGCCCCCAAACACAACATCTCCAATTCAGCTAGTAGATTGGGGGTCATAAGGACCTTTAAGTCTTATTACACATAGTACTCTATGGAAAGAATTGTCAACACTGTGGATCCCCAAAAGAGAGAACATCATAAAAGTCTGGAAGGATTATATCAATGAAGATACCATTGTTGTTATAGAAAAAGCTGTAAAAGCCATGAAGTCTAAAACAAATTCCTGCTGAAGAAAACTGTGCCAGATGTTGTGCAGGACTTCACAGGATTTATGACAGAGACAATCAAGGAAATCATGATAGAGACTGTGGCTATGCCAAAAAAAAAAAAAAATGTTGGTGGGGATAACAGGTTTCAAAATATGGATTTTGGAGAAATTCAAGAGTTAATAAAAATACCAGAGGAATTAATAGGAGATGATTTGATGGAGATAAGTGCTTCCAAACCATGCCAAACAATGAGGAGGAAGACGAAGAAGAAGTAGTACCAGAAAACAAATTTGATACTGGACAATCTGGCAGAAGGGCTCTGATTATTCAAGACTACTTTGGACTTGTTTTATAACGTGGACCCTTCAATGAAAAATTAAACCAAATTGCGGAAGAATTGGTAATATACAGAAACGTTTTTAAAGAAATGAAAAAGCAAAAAAAGCCAGAAATTAGAATGCATTTCCATAAAGTTATACCAGTGTGCTTGCCTCTCCTGCCTCCCCTTCCTCTTCCTCCACTTCTTCTGCCTCTGCCACCCCTGAGACAGCAAGACCAACTCCTCCTCTAGTCCCTCCTCCTTCCTCAGCCTTCTTAATGGGAAGACAATGGAGATGAAGACCTTTGTGATGCTCCACTTCCACTTAATGAATAGTAAATATATTTTCTCCTCCTTATGATTCTTTTAACATTTTCTTTTATCTAGCTTATTTTATTGTAAGAATACAGAATATAATACATATAACATACAAAATATCTGTTAATTGTGTATGTTATTAGTAAGGTGTCCAGCCAACAGTAAGCTATTAGTAGGTAAGTTCTGAAGAGTCAAAAGTTAAAATGCACAGGGGTTGGCATCCCTAACCTTCATGTTGTTCAAGGGTCAACTGTAATTACCAGGAACATTATAATCAATGCCAAAAAAAATGAACCATTAATATGGTCCATTCAAATCAGCATATAACAAAAATTCTTTATCTTCAGCTGTGAAGCATATTATTTGTATTCTTGGCAACATTTACTTTCCTAATTGTATTCTGTTTAAGCTAATATTAAAATTAGTTTGCATTCTTTGAGAACTGGCAATAGTAGCAAGTGGTGCCAGACAATAGGGATAAGCTAGTTTAGCAATAAAAACCTTGTTGCAATATTATGGTGAATATACAAAATAAAATATTGTTACATGATAAGATCTCATCAAAGCACATACATTGAAATACATAAAAAGAATAGAGAAGGAGATTTACTTTCCTGTAATTTCCTGCTAGGAAGCATAAAAAGAATAAATGTGTGAGAGAAGACTGCTCTGCCTATGGAGTAGCCATGATTTTGTTTCTTTACTTCTCTAATAATTAAACTTGTTTTCATGTAAGTTAAAAAAAAAAGGGGGGGAGTGTCTGAGCCTACTATGGCTCAGAAGGGTGCCTGATTAAAAAAAAAAAGTGTGAGAGAAAAACGCAAAACACATATTTGATCCAGAGCCAAATAAATATGGGACTTATTTACTACCAAATTTAAATAACAGAGGTCCTTTACTACTTGTCTCTCTCATCTCTAAACCACTTCAAAATTAATCCAACACTGACCAGTAAAACACACTGACCCCAAAATAATACATTTCTTTTCTTTTCTTTTCTTTAAAACACACAGGTAAAATCTCTAGATGTCCTAGATAGCCTGTGTTGAGTGAAAGGTTATTATTTTGGCCAAAGGGAAAACAAAGGTTTTTGTTTTTTTTTTTTATACTTTAAGTTTCAGGGTACATGTGCACAATGTGCAGGTTTGTTACGTATGTAGCATGTGCCATGTTGGTTTGCTGCACCCACTAACTCGTCGTTTACATTAGGTATATCTCCTAATGCTATCCTTCCCCCCTCCTCCCACCCCACAACAGGCCCCAGTGTGTGATGTTCCCCTTCCTGTGTCCAAGTGTCTATTTGATTTTGATAGAGTGAGGAGTGGAGAAGGAAAGGGTCGACCACGATGCTGGAGTCCACCTCTTCTGGAGGAGAATGAGTCTGTGAGAAGAGAGCTCATATGTAACCAGATGGTTTATTTTTATTTCTGAGGCATGAGAAACTTTTCATTAGCTCCTTATTTTCTCAAGCCAGTATATACATTTATTTTTAAATAAGCTAAATAAAGAATTCACCTGACCCTAAAGGTGTATTTCCCAATTGCCATATCTGAAAGACTTAAAAGAAAGAGAAGTTTGTAAAATACTAGACACAAAGATCAAACTATCTAAAGAAGAATTCTAAAAAAGCAATCGAATATGACTTTGGTCAGTAGTTTTTACCACAAAGATCTAAATTCAAAATGATATCTACATATTCTAAAAAATAATGAAAAAAACCTTTATCTGATATTTTGGAATGCTGGCCATAAAACTTAATTTTATAATTAATTTGACAGGGTATATCCTCATAAGATTAAGGCCTACAGAATGGCATGAGAATAAGGGTCTAACTTTCAACTCATTAATTTTTCCCCAAATCAGGAGGACACTGATGATTTAAAAACTCAGGATTTTGATGATGGCAATACTGGTCTGTTATAGAATTTGACCTGCACATAGTTTTGTAAAAGAGTGTGTGTTAGCAGTTACATTTATATTCTTAAGTTACTCCTATTAATGCAAAAATCAATAACCGCAATCTAAAAAATCCCTATTAGACTTTAAATGAGATGTCTGACTTCCAGAGTTTACTTAGCTTGAAAGTAAACAAATTAAACTTGCTTCCTTGTGGGATTAAGCTGTACTTGAGAGTTTCCAACTATACAATTATTTTAACACATCATTATAACCAGAATCACAATAATAGTGACTTTTAATTTTATGAAAAGAATTTGTTCTGACAAAACCAAAAAATCAGAAATCACATTTTTGCAAATGAAGACTTCCAGAAGATTTTGCTTAATCAGTGAAGAAGAAATTCTTATTAATATATTTTTAGATATGAGAGCTATACAAAGAATTCACCTGCAATGCAATCAATTAATAGTTGTCCTCTATAACAAGTAGGTAAATGGACTACAGGATTTGTCCACTTACATTGAATAGAATTTGTTCTACAGCTGTTCACAGTGTAGTAAGACCTCTGTTGCTCTCGCCCTATCCCGGGACTGCTCTAGGAATCTAGCTTACTTCCTACCTGCTCTGAGACACAGTTGTACAAGCTCAAATGGAGACATTCTAAGAATAAATTAGCTTCTAAGGCATTCTGAAAACAGCAATGTTTGTAAGATTTTTTGGTTTTTTTGGTGGGGGAAGCAGACACAGGATCACATTTTCAGAGTGATAAGCTTATCTAGAACCTCATTCCATAACACTGGGGGCTTATGTACAACCTCCTCCAAGGATGAAAATTCTCCTTCAGTTTTTTATCTAGATGTCTCTTTAGCCCCTTTTGTAGAGATATTTACACTACCACTAGAATAGTATTGCCTAGTTACCTATTAACTTATTCTGAAGTCATTACAGTTGACCCTCGAACAATGCAGAGGTTGGTCGTTAGGGGCACTGATCACTTTGTGCAGTAGTTTTGACTCCTCAAAAATTTAACTAACAGCTTACTTTTGACTAGAAATGATACTGATAATATAAACAACACGTATTCCTTATGTTATATGTATTATATACTGCATTCTTACAGCAAAGTAAACTAAAGAAAATATTAAGAAAATCATAAGAAAGAAAATATGTATTTACTATTCATTAAGTGGAAGTGGATCACTATAAAGATCTTTATCCTCATTGTCTTCATGTGGAGTAAGAGGAGTGGTTGGTCTTGCTGTCTCAGAGGTGGCAGAGGCAGAAGGGGAAGAGGAGGTGGAAGAGGACGCAGAACAGCAGGCATACTGGTTGTAACGTTTATTGGGAAGTCTGCCTATAAGTGGACCTGTGCAGTTCAAACCCTGATTTTACAGGCTACTAGGTGGAAGGGACTTGCCTTGTCTCAGATTAACCTTGTTTTTGGACTTGGACTTTTGGGGTTAATGCTGGAATGAGTTAAGACTTTGGGGGACTGTCAGGAAGGCATGATTGTGTTCTGAAATGTAAGGACATGAGATTTGGGAGAGGCCGGGGCAGAATTACATGGTTTAGCTTTGTGTCCCCACCCAAATCTCATCTTGAATTGTAATCCGCAAGTGTTAAGGGAGGAACCTGGTGGGAAGTGATTGGATTATGGGTATGGTTTCCCCATGGGGTTCTTGTGAAAGTGAGTGAGTTCTCACAAGATCTGATGGTTTTATAATTGTCTGGCATTTCTCCTGCTCACTTCTTCTCCTTCCTGCGGCCTTGTAAAGAAGATGCCTTGCTTTCCCTTGGCCTTCTGCCATGATTGTTTAAGTTTCCTAAGGCCTCCCCAGCCATGCTGAACTATGAGTCAATTATACCTTTCCTTTAAAAATTACCCAGTCTTGGGCAGTTCTTTATAGCAGTACAAAAACGAACTAATACAACAGTATTTATCAAATTGTAACTAGAAAGGAAGTAGAAACTTGATACAATGGGCAAGTTAATCTGGTCTAATCCCTAAATCTTATTAAATATGACTTCTTGATTATTTTCTTAACATTTATTTATTTATTTAGAGATGGAATCTCGCTCTGTCATCCAGGCTGGAGTGCAGTGGTGCAGTCTTGGCTCACTGCAACCTCTGCCTCCTGGGTTCAAACGATTCTCCTGCCTCAGCCTCCTGAGTAGCTGGGATTACAGGCACGTGCCACCATGCCTGGCTAATTTTTGTATTTTTAGTAGAGACGGGGTTTCACTGCATTGGCCAGGCTGGTCTCGAACTCCTGACCTCATGATTTGCCCACCTCGGCCTCCCAAAGCGTTGGGATTACAAACGTGAGCCATGGCGCCTGGCCAGCATTTTATTTTTAATCACATGTATTGAATAGATTATCTAAGACCACTTCCAGGCTGCTTTCTGTTTTGCCATGCAGCAGAGCTCTAAACCATCTTATAACTCTAATCAGTTGGTATGGTCATGGAATTCCTATTCATCTAAACATAATATGATTTCCCAGAAAATCTTCTGAGAAAATACCCCTCAACACTAGGCAAATATGATGTCTTCCAAATCACTCTTTTAAAGATCTTTGCTTTGCTTTTTGGACCACATTACATTATTTAGTTATTTAACAACAATTTGTTAAATCCTTATTAAGACAAAATGCTGAAAACTGAATCCTACTGCCCTTCTTTAATAATTTTTATAATTGGGAGTACCCCTAACCCTGAAGTTTCCTTATAACTTTTTTTTTTTTTTAAGAAAATGTGTTCCCACTTTGATACCTTATTGTCAGTCCTAATCGTGACTTTCAGTTGCGGTAGTACACGTTCCACTTCTAGGCTCCATTCTGCAGCATCTGTTGTGGATTCCAAAATATCTTCTTGTTTGGCAGTCTCGTTCATATCCTAAGAAAGGAAAGATATCACAAGATTGAGAGTTTATAAAAAGAAATGGTAAAAATTTGAGGCATTTTAGCAGTACTGCACAATTTAAATCAAGAATTGGTAGTGTTAAAATTATAGTGGAAGAAGAAATTATTTTCTGTCTTCCTACAATGTTGAAAGAAAATAATGCACCAACCTGGTAGAATAGCAAAATATGTATTAAAAAAGAAGCAAATATATGATTCAACTATTTTTACAAGGAAAAATGTTTCTGAGACATCAGATTGAACTCAATAGGAATACCATCAAATGGACCAACAAGCCATTTAGGTATGTTAATTGGTAACAGTAGAGAAGATGTTTGGTAAGAAAACTCACTCATGTTTGGTAAGAAAACACTTAAATCGGGCATGGTGGTGGGCGCCTGTAGTCCCAGCTACTCGGGAGGCTGAGGCAGGAGAATGGAGTAAACCCGGGAGGCGGAGCTTGCAGTGAGCCAAGATCATGCTACTGCACTACTCCAGCCTGGGTGACAGAGCGAGACTCTGTCTCAAAAAAAAAAAAAAAAAAAAAAGGGAAACACTTAAATTTATCACACTGAAATACAAACCCCAAATCTGAAAGACAAAATATAAAAAAATTCCAGAAGCAAAGAATCACTATTTACAAAATTTGTATTCATAATTGAAGTGATAATTTATTAGGTCAAATTACAATATAGCTTAAAGCGTAATTTAATATAGACATACTTGAACTCAATTAGGGAGGGGGCCAAATTTCTGCATTTGCTTTCTGCATTGGAATAATAAAAATCAATCATGATTGTTTCTGAATTACAACAAAAAAGGCCTACTCTTTTCTTTTTTCTCAGCCCTTCACATTTCAGCATTAAGTATGTATGGATCTGAAAATATGAATAATGTAGATTAATGATTTAAAGATAAAATCTAAGGCAGTAATTTTGGTACCAATTCTTCCCTTTAACTCCCTTAATAAATTATAAGTAAATCTAAAGAAAAAATTAAAATATCAATATTTATATAGAGAAAAAGATACTAAAGGGATATAAACAGACTTAAAATGTATGAACCTTATATGAATTCTAATTTGAATAATCTATAAAAAGATATTTTTGAGACAATCAGTGAAATTTTAATATGGGAGATACTGGATGATATTAAGAAATTACTAATTTTATAGATATGACATGGCATGGTTTTTTTTAAAAGGGCCTTATAAGTTAGAAATAAATGCTAAAATATTTACAGATGAATTGACAAAATGTCTGAATTTTACTTTAAAATACTATGAGGCAAAGAAAAAAAGGGAGGCGGCTTTAAATAAAACATGATTGACAAAATGTTAACAACTGTTGAAACTGGATAGCGTGGCATGTTCATTATCTTATTCTAATTTTGTATATGTTTGAAACATTCCATAACACAAAATTTAAAAACAAAAACTAGGTGAACAACCTCATGATGAAATTACATTCTCAATATATATTTATGTCACTAAAATCACATTTCTTAAATGAAAGCTCATTGGATTAGTCTTTCCAATCAGATGTAACACTAATCAGAAGATTAATCTTACATTAGGGTTTGTATTTTTGTGGGAGACTGAGGTCATTAGAGGCTTTGAACTCACTCCCAATTAAGACTCTGGAACAGAGCTAACATAAGAAAGCCTCTCCTACCTCCTAGCTCATAACAGCAAGTCCTGTTTAGACTCAGAGCCTTAAAGCCTATACTGCTTTTTGTTCAGATTCAAGGGACTATATATTTCTAACTTCACCATTTGAGAATGGATAACTAATACATGTTTTTACACTGTATAATATGTGGTCTGAATGTATTCAGTTACATTCCATTTAGAAAACCAGAAGTATAAAAAAACAAAACATTAAGTAAAATGTGAAAAAAAAGCTCAAGATTCTACTTTAAACATTTAAATATGGAAACATTGTATTATTCTGAGTACTTAATGCTGTATACTTCTATATATATTGGATCTAGGGTAGCCCAAGAGTATCATAGCTGGGGAAGGAGGTGCTGCATTCACAAAGCAGATACATGTGAAGTTACATGAGAATGTGTACTATGGCAGGAAAAGAGATAATGGGTCTCTGTGTCAAAACCTAAAGCAATAGGGAAGGTTCTCTGCCATGTAAATCCACACTGGCATCAGTAAGATGCATATGTTTGGAAGAACTAGGCATATGCACATTCACTGGCACATTGAGTACCTGTCTTAGACTCTACGAGACCCAGCTTCTCATTTTCTATACCACACAGGATAGACTAATGGGGGCTGGGGTAGTGAGGACATATGCCTTGCTAGTGGTATGTGAGCCCTGACCTCAGGGCATGTGTGTGGGTATACACAAAGGGTTACTCCTGCCAGGGGTTATGGGCAATCCCAATCCTGCAAAACCAGGCTGAAACAAGACAGCATGCCCTCTCAGCAGCAGTTCTGAGTGATTCTTAATAGAATGCAGGTATTGCATCAAATGATAAATTCAGTAACATTATAGGGAACAAAATCAATATATAAAAATCAGTATCATTTCTATATGCCAACAGTGAACAATTTGAAGTAGAAACCAAGAAAGTAATTCCATTCACGACAGCTAAAATAAAATACCTAGGAATAAACTTAATCAAAGGAGTGAAAAAATCTTTAGAATGAAACTACAAAAACACTGATGAAAGAACTGAAGAGGACACAGAAAAGGGAAAGATATTCCAAGTTCATGGTCTGGAAAAATAAATATTATTAAACTGTCCATACTACCCAAAGCAATCTACAGATGCAATCCCTATAAAAATACTAATGACATTCTTCACAGAAATAAAAAAAAAAATTCTAAAATTTATAAGGAACTACAAAAGACCCAGAATAGTCAAAGCAATCCTGAGCAAAAAGAACAAAGCTGGAATCATTGCATTACCTGACTTCAAATTATACTACAAAGCTACCATAACTAAAACAGCATGGTTCTGGCATAAAAACAGATGCAAAGACCAATGGAAAAGAATACAGAATCCAGATTTAAATCCATGCATTTATAGCCAACTCATTTCTGATAAAAACACCAAGAACATACATTGTGGAAAGGACAGTCTCTTCAATACATGGTGCTGGAAAAACTGGATATTCATATGTAGAAGAATGAAACTAGATGCCTATCTCTTACCATACACAAAAATCAAATAAATATGGATTAAACACTTCAATCTATGACATGAAAACACTGGGGAAACACTCCAGAACATTGGTCTGGGCAAAGATTTCTTAAGTAAGACCTCAAAAGCACAGATAGACAAAGCAAAAATGGACAAATGGGATCATGTCAAGCTAAAAAGCTTCTGCACAGAAAAGGAAGCAATCAACAAAATGAAGAGACAACCCACAGAATGGGAGAAAATATTTGCAAACTACCCATCTGAAAGGGGATTAACAATCAGAATATATAAGAAGTTCAAACAACTCAGTAGGAAAAAAACCCAAATGATCTAATTAAAAAATAGGCAAAAGATCAAAAAGAGACATTTCTCAAAACAAGTCATACAAATGGCCAGCAATTATACGAAAAAATGATCACTAATCATTACTAATCACCAGAGAAATGCGAACCAAAACCACAAGATACCATTTTACCTCAGTTAAAATGGTTTTATCAAAAAGACAGGCAATAACAAATGCTGGCAAGGATATGGAGAAAGGGGAACACTTGTATAGTGTTGGTGGGAAAGTAAATTAATACAGTCACTATGGAGAACACTTTGGAGGTTCCTCAAAAAACTAAAAATCTATCATATAATCTAGCAATGCTGCTGCGGAGCATATACCCAAAAGGAAGGAAATCAGTATGTTAAAGAGAAATCTGCATTCGCATGTTTACTGCAGCACTATCCACAATAGCCGAGATAGGGAATCAACCTAAGTGTTGATCAAGGGATGAATGGATAAAGAAAACAAGGTATATATACACAATGGGATATTATTTAGCCATAAAAAGAATGAAATTTTGTCATTTGTAGCAACATGGATGGAATTGGAGGTCATTATGTTAAATGAAATATGCCAGGAACAGTAAGACAAATATCACATGTTCTCACTCATATGTGGGAGGTAAAAATAAGTAGATTTCATGGAGGTAGAGAGTAGAATGATGGTTACCAGAGATTGAGAATGGTAGCGGGGAGGAGGGATAAAAAGTGAATGGTTATTGGGTATGAAAATATAGTTATTTAAAACTGCATTAGTTATATAGAAAAAATAAGACCTAGTGTTCGGTAGCACAATAGGGCAACTATAATTAACGGTAATGTATTATATATTTCAAAATACCTAAAAATGTGGAACGGGAATGTTCTTAACACAAAGAAATGATAAATGCTTGAGGTGATTGATAGCCCAATTACCCTGATCTGATCATTACGCATTGTATGCCTTGTATCAAAATATCACATACACCCCATAAATATGCACTATGTGTTCATAATAACTAAAGATAAAAAAATAAAAAATATATAAAAATAAGTTTGATTTATGGAGTACCATTTGGGTGAACTGAAGCTAGATGCTGTTGATTAAATCCCAAAGCCAGTGCTCTCCAACCCTCATTTCCACCCTCATTTCCAACCCCTCTTTCTTTCCCTCCTTACAAGATTGAAGTTCAGAATCACCAAACAAGACAAGGGCGCACACCCGTCCATACTACCACTTTCTTCAGGCCTGGATGTAGGATTGTTCAAGTTGTGAATAACATACTCAAAATGTTTTACTGAAGGAAGGGCATTTTTCATAAAGGCAGATGGGTTTGCAGTGGCCATTTGAACTAGACCTAGAATCTGAGGCAGCAGGGTACATAAAGATCAAACACTGCATTAAGATATGCCACTGCATAAGCTATTTGTTTTTATGTTGGGCCCTTTAGTAAGTTGCATTTACCTTTACTAGCTTATTATTTGGTTCCCTTAAGCAACGATTTGCTAACTCCCACTCCCAATGTTCTAAAATGATTTAACATAGGAGCTCAAAAATTTTCACTCACTCGTAGGCCATAATTAATATACTAGGGGAAATGGCCCAGTTGCTAAGTGAATAAAGGGCAAAAAGAGAACATTAGGTTTGGCAGAGCAGCATTAACTTATTCAAACTATACAGTTTCTTTCTACATCCATGTTTGCATATCTATTTCATAACCTCATTCCTCACTCAACATTTCTTAATGCCTAATAACTTGATACATTAACTGAGCAAGCCCTATATATAAAGTATAAATCATTTTAAAACTATACTGTGCCTTGGTTATAATACTTTGAGAAAATTTTTCTTCCCAATTGTTTTTCCATTTCATAAATGGTACTTTATGTGGGTCACTTGTACAAGAGAAATAAACTGCTTTTCATTTAATCAAAATTTTATATCATCATGACAAAGTCCCTCTCTAACACATTAACTAATATAAAGCATTGCTTTTGGGAAATTCCATTTTCCAGTTACTGCTGCAGAAGAAACAATTAGAAGCTCATAAGACACAAGTTATCTAGAAGTCTCATTTATAATTAATTAAATTAATAAGCCATTTGTTAAACTCCTACAACATTCAAGGTAAGAATTCAGGCACTGTGCTTGGTGTGGAAAGCTAAAAGGATTTAAATGCTGCCTGCAGAGTTTGCAGACTACTAGGAAAAGTCTGAGGCCAGTTAATGGGAGTAATAATTGGTCCTAGGTAAAAGGAGAAACTGATGAGATGGGAACTGATCCTAACTGCCAAAGGAAGAACTGAAAATAACAGTCTACACTATCCCATAAAGTAACCTTGGGCTCAAACAGTGGGGCACACCATCGAAGTCAGTTCAAGAATCAAACATACAGTGTTAAAAGCCTACTTAGAATCCTGTTCCAGTAATCTTTGGTCAAGCATCAAAGAAAGGCTATGTTCTGTAAAAATATACATGAGATGGCAACTTCATGGATATACTAGTGTCCAGATTCATTTGAAGAGCTTATATCATATACCTACTGAGAGGGTGTTAAAAGTCCAATTAACTCTCAAGATTAAATACTCCCAAGACTCAAGGAAAAGGGAACTAAGTTGTCTTAAGAGTCACAACAGCATGGTGTAAATGTTAAGAGGATGGGTCTGGAATCACATCTTTGCTCAAATCCCACCTCCATGACTTACTAGCTGTTGGTCAAGTTACATAACCTCTCTAAATCTCGGAGTACCCATCTGTAAAATGAGAATAACAGCACCTTCCTCATTGGAAGGGTTGCTGTGAGCATTAAATGAGACAATGTATTTAAAAGGCTTGCACAGTGTATAATACATATTAACCCCTGGTATATTTTAGCAGTTATTATCATTACTATTACATGCCAAACACGGTACTAGATGCTTTTACATATGGGTTAAATGCCCAATAATAACACCATGAAACAGGGAGTCTTATTACCATCTTTTAAAGTGAGGAAACTGAGGCACAGAATAGTTACATGACTTTTTCAATGTCACATCTTGTGATTGGTAGGTCAGGCAGTGTTACTCTAGAGCACAAGCTCTAAAACACCTTAGCACATGTCTATCAACCCTTTGCACATAGGCTATAATTATTTTTCTCCAGTTCATCACTTGTATTTTAACTTAACGGTGTTCCCCACTCTGCTTTCTTGTAATATAAAGTTTTAATTTTTATGCATTCAGATTTGTATTTTATGTTTTTGATTTTCTTGTCATGCTTAATTATGCCTACTTCAAACTATAACACTTGTCACTCCTCATGTTTGGTGTGTGCGTGTGTGTGTCTTGTTTTGTTTTGTTTTGAGACAGGGTCTCGCTCTGTCACCCAGGTTGGAGTGCAGTGGCATGATCTCGGCTCACTGCAGCCTCCGCCTCCAGGGTTTAAGTGATTCTCCTGCCTCAACCTCCCAAGTAGCTAGGACTACAGGCATGCACCACCATGCCTGGCTGATTTTTGTATTTTTAGTAGAGATGGGGTTTCACCATGTTGGCCAAGCTAGTCTTGAAATTCTGGCCTCAAGTGATCCACCTACCATGGCCCTCAAAGTGCTGGGACTAGAGGCGTGAGTCACTGCACTCGGCCTCGTGTTTTTATTTTATTTTTGTGCCTTATTATTTGTTATTGTGATCCATGTGGAGTTAATTTGGGTGTAATGTATGAGGGAGGAATCCAGCCTTTTCTACAAATGGATTAGCCTATTATCTCTTTACCATTTAATTGAACAGTTCAGTTTTCCTCACTGATTTGCATTGCTTCATATACTAACATTACCACATATTTGTATTATTTTATAGATTCTATACTACTTTGTTAACTTCTGTGTATATTTTCAGACTTATAAAAAATTGCATCAATATCACACAAAAAATTTCCATATACCCTTCATTCAGACACCACTTCCAAATGTTCTCATCTTACATAACTTTGGGCTAATTATGAATAAAGGGGTACAATGTTTCTATCTGAATGCTGAGATTTGGGAAACTTTTCACATTTTTCTTTATACTCTTTTGTTGTTTCATTTTTTAAAAAAACCCACGGAACATATTTTACTTTAAAAAAGAATAAAGTTTTTTCAATAAGCAGGTAAAAATAAAATTTGATTAACTTCCAAAAACTAGCTGGTACAGGTGGTATGCTGTAGGAGTCTGAATGAGAAAGACAAGTATGTTTTAATGCAATAATGAGTTTTAAGTTTAGCCTAACAAGAATGTATGGGAATATAGACAGGCAGAAAAGAGACAAGCCAAGTGTTTACAGTGAGGAAAACGGCATAAGCCAAAAAACTGAAATAGGAATGAATATAACTTGTGAAGATCAAAATGAGAAAAGAGTCTAGGGGCTTAAAAAGGTGAATACTGGGGAGGAAAAAAGAGTTAAGTACATTGTGAAAGACCTTCAAATCTAAGGTAAGGAATATGAATTTTGTCCTCCAGCCAGAAAAGAAGCCAAGAAGTTATAGGCAAGGTGCAATCACTGTATTTATTAATATTTATCCAACAACTATTTACTTAGTGCCCACTATGTTCCACATACTGTTACAGTCCAGGAATAGTGACTAAAACAATAATCCTCACGAATAAAACATGCTAGTTATGTTTTATAGATTTATGGGTTTTTGTAGATTTTTGGGTTTGCTGTGGGACTAAATGGGGCAAGGTGATAAGGGAAGTGTCACTTAGGAGATAGAAGAGATAGAATTTGAGCTGAACCTTGAACATTTGAGTCAGGTAGAGAGACAGTGGGAAGGTATTTTAGAAAAGAGACAATAGGAAAGAGAAGCATTGGATGGGAGCAGATATGCTCACAAGGTGTTTGAAAGCCTATGAGGGCACCCATTTAACTGGAATAAAGGGTTTGTAGAAGAAAATGAGGTTAGCTGTGTAGACAACAGTCAAATTGCTAAGGGTCTTGAAAGCCAGATCAAAATTTTATTGCTCTACACTCTATATAAATGGACCTGTAGGCAATGAAAGCCATCAATCATTGAATTCAGAATGACCTGTAATAGCCATGTTTCAGTAAGTCAGACAGAGTAGCAGGGTGAAAAATATTGTGACAAAGAGTGGGGGTGGGATTGAAAGAGGAAGACCAAAGACTATTTAGAGCATTACTGTCATATAATCCAGACAGGTGATGAAAAGAACATGGCCTTGCAAGACAGCTGAAGGGATGGATATGGGAGATGTTTCAAAGGCAGCATCCACGGGTCTTAATGACTACCGAGATGGCCTGGGTAAAGATGAATCAGACATATATTCAAAGCACTAACATTGCCAGGGGTAGGTGGTAAGTGGTGATGAGGGTTTGAGAGATGGGTGGGTTTAAAAAATACAAAGTTATAGAAGACTGAAAAAATGTATATAGTCTGGTACCCATTTAATATATTGAATTATATAATAAATATCTGCTACTAGTGTTGATGGAAGGAACTATAACCTACCTATTTATAGAATGACAGCTCTCAAATAATACCTAAAAAAATCATTATATTACTTTTCATCAGATCTCCTTGAGTCATTTCTGTAGGGGAGATCTTGTGTGACAGCAAATTTAGTCTAGTGGGCCTTCAATAATAATCCACGTGACAGATTATGAAAATAAAGCCATGACATCACCAGGGCTTCCCAATTTACATAGAAATGCAAGCTTCTTGATAACTTATATCCTATGTAAGTATCTTACTCAAAAATACTCATGACAATCTAGGGACTTTTTGTATTGAGAGACTGGGGCTTTTCCTAGTCTTCTATGGCACATAAGAATGTTGAGAACTAATTCCAGTTTCTAGGAAAGGTAAAAAATTATACAAAATAAGAAATGCATGAAGCCCATACTCTATGCCAGCACAATGTCAGGTACTGTCCACAGGTTAGGTTATAATAATCTCAAAACAAGACTGGGTAGAATTATTTGTGCCCCATCCCCAGATAAGAAAGCAGAGTCATAGAAGTTAATTAACTTGCTATGGTCATGTGGCGAGTGACACAGAGTCAGGAATTCATCTCGGGCTGCTATTTCTGCCATTGAATCTACCTTGAAGGTATGGACTCAGATCTGGAAGGGACCTTGAAAAGTCCTTGCTTCCTACTTTTTGCTAGGCCCACAATGAAACCAAGAAGAAAATAAAGATCTCTCTTATTTCAAAAGTGGGTTGAAAAGCTACACTGAAGATCAAGCAAAACTGTCTTTTACACCCAGCAAGAAGTGCCATTTGAGCCTCCACTGAGCAGTGAGAAGCAGAGCTTTTTTCTCTAGCCCACATTTCCTATTCACCTCCAGATGTAAAACTGATGGGGGTGGTAAGGGTTAGTTACCACAGAAATAAAAGCATTTACTCAGTCATAATGTGTCCCATCACACTCAAACATGTGGCATTTTAATTTCTCCTGTGAAATACCAACCATAGACTTCTCTCATAACACAGATAGGAGGCCTAACACTCAACTGTTTTAGGAAAGCAGAGGAAAAAAACATTCTCCTTAAGCAGGAATCAAAAATTAATGGCAACTGATAGGGCAAGCTGTACATAGAACAGTTTTTTCTCCTAGATTACTCAGTAAGAATATTTTATCTAAAAGAAAAATATAAAACATATGTAAAATTAAAAAAATTAAAGTATTTAAGATATTAACCAAAAAAGATCCATCTTCTTCCTCTCTTTGATTACAATACTGCAGTTTTGCCTAGATGAAACTCTAAACTAAATCTGAAATGACATTTTTACTCTAAGACCATATTTTTACTTCCTTTCAGCATTTGCCTTTTAAGCTAAAAAGTCTCTCATTCTTACTTGGTATAATGAATTTCTTGCTAAGTAATTAAAAACCAATTGTGTTTAAACCTTTTGAGATACTTGGTTTTACACTGTGTAACTCAGGATTTGGTTTCCAAAACCTCAAATTTAGCATCTCAAGGAAGAATAGTATCTATGGCATGTATGAAAAAATGTTTTGAAATGAAGTGATGGGCATTTAAAAATAGAATTCAGAGAGTGCACAGCTCCCTCTCCTCTTTTTTTCACTGCGGGAGGAGAATGACACATCTGCATTATGCTGCCAGAAGGCTGTTGCCGTGATTCTGTTGAGTTTCACAAGGGTGAAGGGAGATACAAAGACTACTCATAATTACGGCATAGCCACTGTGAACATGCAAGCAGTGCCCAACTGACATATGCAAATTAGAAATGGAAATGACTAGCACACCTTGCTACCACCTCATCACTAGAGTCTTCCTTTCCTGCTCCCACTCCCTACAGCGCTGAATATTCTACTATACTTCTAAACATCACAGTCCCAGCCCAACTGTCAGAACTTTAATTCGGCACCAGTGTCCTTTCTCATGGCCACTCTTAGGGTAGCTTTGGCTAAATTTCAGATTTCAAGAACACTCAGGAATCAGAGGGACATAAAGAACGTGGAATTCTGTGGATTAGCCTTGAAGCCTAATATCCATTCGTAATGCTTTCCTTCTAAGAAAAGCTATCTGAAAATTCAAGTAATTAAATTACAAATGAAATGGTGGAAGATGAAGCAATGCCTCACTAATTGCAGTTGTTGGCAAAATCATAATTGGGGTAAGGGAATTAGAGGGGAAAATCACACAGAATGACTTTAAATATATTTTTTAAACCTCAAATAAATGTTCTGAAAAGCAACTCATTCCAAAACAAACCAATGTCATTGTTATAAGCATTCATCATCAGTAGGAGGAACATATCTTTTTCAGTGTTCATGAAACTACTGCTGTGTCATGATCCACTTAGGCAGACATTTAAAATTTAGTCAATGGGCAGATGGTATCTCTTTACAAATTCTTCAAGTTAGCAGTTACAGGCTTCAACTATGCTGTGGTAATTAGGAAGATGGGTCACCAGGACCTCTTTCAAGGAAGATCTTGCTGCTGAGCTTCAGAGAATGTGGCCAGCAGACAGTCTCCTGCTGTCAGCTTCCGCAGAGAGCCATTTCACCTGGAGTATGCCCTTCCCAGGGCAACTGGCCTCCAGGGGGTGAGCTAAGCAGGCAACACTTGACTCTACCAGGTTGGCCAATCTTTGTCAGGCCCGTATCACAGCATGACTTCTCCCTCTGCCCAATCCTGCTTTCCTCTCCCTTCCTTTCACATGTGTCTATTTCTAATAAACATCTTGCACTCCAAACTGTCTCAGTGTTTGCATCCAGAGAACACAACCTGCTTATGACATGTCTTTTTCATTTGCATTCTCACTTCATTTTACTGCAAATCTCAGGAATATGCTTGTGTAGGTACAACTCTTGGGATTATCATGATACTTAAAGAGCATGCTTCTCAAGGTCTAGACTTCACTTTATTTAATGAAAGGAAGGAATATAGGTAATTTCTCCCTGCATTAGCCCACATGGTACACAGAAGAGGATATGATTATTGTCAGTAAGTTCTTTTCTCTATGAAAATTGCCTATGAAACCATAAGTACAAAAATAGCACATATTCAGGCATGTATTCATACAATATTATTGATTATTGAGCAACTCCTACATACAAGACACTGGTGAAAAAAGCAGTGAAAAAGCTCCTGCTCCAGTGGAGTTTGCATTCCAGTGGTTGCGACAGAAAAAATAAATCAGTAATTAATAAATATAATGCAATACCAGGGTCTGTGAGGAAAAATAAAGTAGGGTGGGTGAGAGGACAGAGAATGATTGGAGAAGCATCTTATTGTTTTAAAACCATAGACAGGGAGAAAATGCGGCAATCCACACACGGCTGGGCTTGCACAGTCACATATACATTTAGAAAGTCACTTTCCTTGACAGTATGTATTGTTTTTGTTCTAGTGAAGAATTCATCATGCTCAACTTTCCTAAAATAATATTTCCTCTGCATTGTGAGTCCACCTGCTGCATGAGACATAAAATCTTAAATCTATGATACTAACCTATATAGCAATTTTGTCTTGGGGAAAGAGCAGCCCAAACCATCATAAGCTGTAGTCAGACACAGCTGTCTCAGGCAGATGGCTTTAGTGGGCAATATCATGAGCTTGCCAGGTTTTTTAAAATATGAAAGGGTTTTCTGCCTCATTAGTACTCCATGGTTGACCATCCACAAACACCTGGTGTTCACTCTTCTTCCTCTTGTGGAAATACAACTATACATAGTCTTAGCTCTAAAGGAGTTATGTTATATAATTTTTGTCCAAAGAATCTAATACTTAGATAATTTACAAAAACACCATTTGGAAAAACCCTTCCTCATGTAGTTTGCGATGAAAAATTGAAATCAGGACCAATAAGGAATTGGTGTACTGGCAGAAGCAAATTAATTTACTTTGCTCCTTCTCAGTACTCAAACTACTTTGTCCAGAAGGAATCCCAGGTGGCCTTCACAGTTCTCTGTTTACACCATCAATATAAGAATGAATAACACAAACAACAGTTTCTTTCCAAGAATAACTGTGTGCATCTCTACTTTTATTTTTCTTCTCACATTTGAGGAGCACTCGGTCATCATCATCTCCAACACACACATTAAGTAAACACCAACATTACTAATTACAACTTGCTAAAGGCAGGAATCAAAACATATCTACACCTTGTTCAACTCTTGTTATGAGGTAAAGCGGAAAAAGCAATAGACTTGGAGTTTGGAGAAGCAGTTTAAATTCAGGTACTGTGACTTATTAGCTTCTTAAAAGATTAAACTGTCCCAAGGTTATAAATTTCAGTGTTTATATTTGTAAAATGGAGATAACATCTACCCAAATACTTTACAAGGTCAGTAAAGAAATGTGTTTTAAAGTACTTGAAAACTACAAAACGATCTGCAAATGTAAGGTATTGATATAACTGGAGTTTAGATTTAAATTTTAACATATTATTCTGATATATTTTCAATTGATCAATAAAAAATACCTTCATTCATTTAAGAGGTTTTTATTCAGTACCTTCTGTGTTACACTATGGGGAATATTAAAAAGGATAGCTATCTCCGTTATCAAGGAGCTTACAAATCAGATTTCAGACGGGGAAATATGGAGGAAAGATGTGGTTTTGGTTTTTGCCAGTGCTGAGTACTTTCTATGTGACAGATATTATTATAGTGTTTTACATGTAGTAACTCCTTTAATTTTCAAAAACCCTATGACAAAGGTAAAGGTAATATTTTTATCTCATTTACAGCTTAAGAAGATGAGGCACAAGAAGTTTGGAAACTTGCCCAAATCTGGAATCCTAGTAAGTATTAGAGTAAAGTCACACACTGAGGCAAGTTGACCACAACGTTATATTACATCTCAAGTTGGGCAGAAAACACAGACACATATATGCATCATTAATAATAACTAATGAGGATTAATATCACTAAGGCATCAATGAGGATTAATAATACTAAGGCAGTATTGATGCCTTAGTATTATTAATCCTCATTATTATAAATACAAAGATCATCCTGGGGAGGGGTAGTCAAGGAAATCTTCATGATATGAAACCAAAACTAGATCCAAACTTGTCTTGAGGATTCAGATAAGAAAAATTAAATAAAGGACTAATAGAGCATTACTTTCCATATGTACTTTTTGAGGGTACAATAGGTATATATCCTTGATTAATATATAACATATTATATAATATATAAAATATTATAACATATTATATAATATACAAAATATTATAGCATATTATATATTATTTATATATTATTTAATTAATTTAACATATATTTATATAACATATTTATTATATATTAATATATTTATAATACATAATTATATATTAATATATATTATTTATAATATATAAATATATTAGTTTATAATATATAAATATATTATATATTTATATATAATATATAATATATTTATGTTATATATTACTTATATATAATATATTGTATATTATTTATAATATATATTATATATTATTTATATATAATAATATATTATATATAAATAATATATATTGATATATAATATATATGGTGAATGTAAAAATATATATCTGAAATATCTCATTGTATATGTACTTTTATAGATTAGATTTATTTCATAATTAAAACAGACTTAAAGCAATGTCTGATTACTTATTCATATACCTACCAGTCTTAATCCATTTTATTTAAAGAGCTACAATTTAAATATTTTCCTATAATCAAGATCATTAAATCTTGGCCTATTAAAATGGAAAATAACTTGAAATAGAATATTTGATGTCTTTTCATAATAAAATATGTCACCAGGCAAATTATTTTCAGTCTGCATGAGTAGCACTATGTCAATTTTCCATAATACAGACAGGAGGCTGCCTCACTCACTCCTCTGGATTTTTATATTTGCTATAATTATAACATTTTATATATAGGAAAGCAATTTTGAGAGCTACTTTTGAAACAGCATACAAAACAATGGCCAACAACGGTTTCTACTCATTTAAATTTCCAGCAGAACATGTACATTGATTGCTTGTTGGTCCTGCATGTATCTGATGAAACTTACCAAGTGATATGTCTGGGCCTTTAAAACGTTGAGATCAATAAAGTTTTCTTCATTATCTGTCTCTTCTTCCTTAGAAAATAAATTTTTAAAAAATTATTAAAAATTATAATTAAAAAATATATTTCCAGTTTCCACCTATATGCTATACTAAGCTATATTAAGCTTGATATAAAGACTAGTGTAGAAAAGGGTATTTAAAAGCCTAGTGAACGTGTGCATAAAGTAGGGCACAATATTATTAACAGTTCATCTGTTTTTTGAGGTTTTGATGGTACTACTACTTAAATAGAACCATTTTTGTAGTCAATAAAGAAAGGAAAAAAACTGGGGGAGGGAAAGGAAGGGAGCCATTGCTATAGAACTACAGATAAATATAAAAACAGGGCAAGAAACAAACCCAAGTGGCTGGCATATTTGGTATAAATAGAGGGAATTAATGGATATTTTTGAGCAATATAACTGAAATGGACAAAAATGAGAGGCTGACAGAGAATATTCTCACTTTCTCTGACCAATCACATTGATACATATTTTTGACATCTCATCTCTGGTATGTTCAAGCTTGATAAAATAATGGTTACCAGTACTGGTTGGTCCATGGTACTTAAATCTATTAAAAAGGATAGTATAGGTGGATGCCGAGCTAATCCTTATCTGCAGACCAATTGGATGTAGAGGGCAGGGGTAGAAAGTGACCCTTTGAGAGCCAACTCCCTCCCCAATATGCAGTAAATATGGAGTCTGAGCAGGTTCTATGAGCATGTAGGACAAAACATGAGCTCCCCTTTTCTTCATATGTCTTTGTGGTGACAAGTGCCATAGTAAGTAACAAAAATTTAACAAGGATATTTCAACCTTAAGGACACGATAATAAAGCCAATGGAACTGGGTCCTCAAGTCATGATTTTATAAGGAAAAAAGAGAATGTCAGTTGGTGAACACTTCCATATGTAGAACTATACAAAGCTGTAGTAGATTTCAAAGATAATTCTTAACTTCAACAATTTATAAATATGTAAGATACTGGTTCTCCAAGTATGGTTCTGAGAGCAGCAGTATCAGCATCACCTAGGTACTCCTTAGAATGCAAATTCTAAGGCTCTATCCCATATCTCCTCAGAAACTATGGGGGTTGGCCGGGCGCGATGGCTCACGCTTGTAATCCCAGCACTTTGGGAGGCCGAGGCAGGCGGATCACGAGGTCAGGAGATCGAGACCATCCTGGCTAACACAGTGAAACCCTGTCTCTACTAAAAATACAAAAAATTAGCCGGGCGTGGTGGCGGGCGCCTGTAGTCCCAGCTACACGGGAGGCTGAGGCAGGAGAATAGCATGAACCCAGGAGGCGGAGCTTGCAATGAGCCGAGATTGTGCCACTGCACTCCAGCCTGGGCGACAGAGCGAGACTCCGTCTCAAAAGAAAAAAAAAAAAAAAGCAACTATAGGGGTGGGGCAACTAAGGTAAGCTATGAGAACTATGCTAAACCTTGGAAAACCAGAAAGATTTTAGTAAAATAGGAAACAACATAAATGTAGATTCTATACACTCAAGTGACATTTACTTTTTTTAGAGTGGGGTAGTAGGACAGAAGTGCAGACAAAAGTGATCACTTTATATCTTAAAACTGAAGCAGAGGTATACACTTTTGTCAAATGGCTTAGTCTAGTCTATGTTTGCACTAGTAAGAGTCTACTTAACAACCAGAGTAAATGATTCAAATGTCAATGACTCAATGCTCATGGGAGAAGAGACAAGTTTCTAATGCTTTTACAATAACCTGATCAGTACTGTTTACATAAGCAATCAATAGATACTTCTTAAACTATACTGGACTGAACACCAATAGGTAAAAAGCTTTAATAGTAGTTACTAGAATGAATCAGCAACCAATATATGGTGCTGTTTCTCCTACAGCCAGGATTTACAGGTCCAGGAATCAAGGGGTGGAAATGGAGTGGAACCACTTGCTATTACCCCTAGTAGCCCACTAGCAAAATTCTTGCTTCCTGTTCCCATGACCTTATGCTTTGCTGGCCTAGAGGTCTTAGTTCCAAAAGGAAGAATTCTTCAACCAGAAGATACAACAATGATTTGATTGAACAGAAATTAAGACTGCTACCTGGCCACTTTGGGCTCCTCATACCTCTGAATCAACATGGCAAAGAAGGCAATTACTGTACTGGCTGGCATGATTGATCCTATTAACAGGACACTGGACTACTCCAAAATGGAAGGAAGAGTATTCTAAAATACAGGAGATCCTTTAAGGCATGGTATTACCATGCCCTGTGACTAAAAATCAACAGAAAACTACAACAACCAAATCCAGGCAGGTCTACTTAATGGCCCAGACACTTCAGGAATAAAGGTCTGAGTCACCCCACCAGGTAAAGAACTGAAACCAGCTGAGGTGCTTACTGAAGGCAAGGGGAATACAGAATAGGTAGTGAAAGATGGTAGTTATAAACACAAACTACAAGCATGTGACCAGTTACAGAAATGAGAATTGTGATTGTTATGAATATTTCCTAATTGTTATGAATATATTCGTATGTATTTTTGTTTTCTTTACTCTTATTCCCTTATCATGTAACATAGATGTACTGACTTTATATCACAGTATTTAAGTATTATTACTTTTAATATTATAATATTTAAGTGATATCAGGGAGAAGAGTAAATATCACTTATGGACTTTATCTCCTCTTGTGGAGAAGGAATTAGAGCAACATCTGTTGTATGCAGAGCAGTTACATTCTATTAGATGAAATTATAACCATGCTATGTATGGTCTTTATTTGAAGATTATGGTTTAAGAAGATGTACATGGATGGTAAGTTGACAAGGGGTCGACTTTTGATGGTAAATTTTATGTGTCAATTTGACTGAGCCACAAGGTGCCTTGGTGTTGGTTAAACATTATTCAGAGTGTGTCTATGAGGGTGTTTCTGGATGCGAAAAATAATTGAATCAGTAGACTGAGTAAAGCAGGTTGCTATCACCAATGCGGATGGGCTTTATTCAATCCACTGAAGGGCTGAATAGAACAAAAAAGCTGAGAAAGAGAATGTATTATCTTTGCCTCATTGTCACTAAAGACATTAGTCTTCTCTTGCCTTCTGACTCAGACTGAAACAAACTATCAGCTCAGCTCTCCTGGTCCTCAGGCCTTCAGACTCAAACTGGGACTACCATCAGCTCTTCTGGGTCTCCGGCTTGATAGCTGTGGATCTTGGGACTTCTCAGCCTCCAGAACCATGTAAGCCAATTCCTTAGTCTTTTTCTATATGTGTGTGTGTGTGTGTGTGTACCTCCTATTGGTTCTATTCCTCTGAAGAACTCAAACTAATTCATAGAAAAAGGATTAAGTTACTAAGTATTAAGAGAGCATTCAAGAGGAATTCAAATGTAAACAGGCTTAGAAAATTGTTTTGTAAACTATTAGAATACAATAGGATTCTAATCTCAGTAATTCAGAAGGCACTCAAAAATTTCCTACTATTTGTCTAATATGCCTTCTTAATTCTGACTGCCAATTACTATGGATATGATTACATACAATAGGCGGGAATATTTTGTGTTATGACCCCAACATATTTATAAAAATAATTATTAATGTGTCCTAACTTGATATGGGCAGTTCAAAATTAAAAGTTTCTAGTTTCTAGATGATTATAGCAGAACTTTGACTGTCAGAAATAATCTTTTTTTTTTTTTTTTTTTGAGACAGAGTCTCACTCTGTTGCCCAGGCCGGACTGCAGTGGTGCAATGTTGGCTCACTGCAACCTCCACCTCCCGGGTTCAAGCAGTTCTCTTGCCTCAGTCTCCCGAGTAGCTGGGACTACAGGCACACACCACCACGCCTGTCTAATTTTTGTATTTTTGTAGAGATGGGGTTTCACCATGTTAGCCAGGCTAATCTCAAACTCCTACCCTCAAGTGATCTGCCCACCCCAGCCTCCCAAAGTGCTGGAATTACAGGTGTAAGCCACCACACCTGGCCAACCTTTACCATCCTTGAGCAACGCCACAAACTCAGACAACAGAATCATGTTATCCCACCATCAAAAGTCTTCTTGGTGGTGACCCAGTCCTCCTTAAAGAGAGGAGTAGAAGTAAAAGAGGGCTCCTTAGAATAATATGATGACAATAAAGAAGAAAAGAAATTCAAGAGACTTGATGCAAGGGAATGAATAGCCTCAGGGCCAACCCCTTTGAGGAAGGCCTTCAGTTTGCTCTTATGATAGTAGAAGGTCTTTACCTCATGGCTGGGAAGAAATGTGTGAAGAGGCTGCTTTCCAGTATATTTCTCTAAATTCACACCCCCAATCATGGTGCCTTGAACTTTAAAGGGTTCCTAGCTTTAAAATGAGCTATAGTTTCTAAATGTTATACAACGATGTGCCGATAGTTTGATTTTATGGTCAAATATTTAATGAGTATGTACTATGCACCAGGCCCTGCACAATAAGCTGGAGACACAACAATAAGAAAAATTACACATGGTTTCTGCGCTTGCAGATATTTTCCTCCTGACTAGTGGGTTTGTTTTTTATTCCTCAGACTAGCAGTTCTTAGTTATATGCCTTTGAAGTTAAATGTTAATGTACTAGAACCAGGTATCTGTTCATAAACTATTCATAACTATTAAATAGTTATTAAGACGACAAGATGAGGGAATAAATAAGGTGAACAACTAGGAATATATGAGTACTTAATTTCTGAGCTTGAACGGAAAGATCTGTTACACAAAGAATAAAGCCTAAACTACTTTTCATGCCCAAAACAATCTGAACTTGGTCTATCTTCCCAGTTAATCTTATGCCACCCTCCCCCTCACTTAGGAGCTCTGGCCCCAGTAGTTTTCTCTAAGTTCCTTGATCATGCTAAGTTTCTTTCTGCCTTCAAAGCTTTGGCACATGCTACACAGTCAGGGCCTTGGCCACTGCCTGCTACATAACAAGTGCTCAATAAGTATATGCAGAATGAATGAATATATCTTTGTCTTGACCTTTAAAATCCATCACATTAAAAAACATCTTTTAAACTGATAAGTTTTACAATGGTCTTTTTCCTTCTGTAAATGACAGTCATCTTTTTTTACATATATTAAATAATGTTTATTTACATTGCTGTTAAAAATACATGTTGAAAACCTTAAAAATACAAAGCATAGAAAACAATCATCCATAATTCTCCTACCCATAATTAATGCTAATATATTTATTTTTAACGTATTTTACATAGTTAATGTTATATCAACATAAAATTTGGAATCATCTCAGTTAATTTTATAGCATATAGTATAAGTTACATTCCCATGTCAGTAACTTTGTATTTTTCTTTGTAAACTTTGTAAACATTTTTTGTAGAGACAGGGTCTTGCTCTGTCACCCAGGCTGTAGTGGAGTGGCATGATCACAGCTTACTGCACTTTCAAACTCTTGGGCTCAAGCGATCTTCCCACCTCAGCCTCCTGAGTAGTTAGGACTACAGGCATGCACCACCATGCCTGGCATTTTTTTCTTTTTTGGTAGAGATGAGGACTCACTATAATGCCCAGGTTGGTCTCAAATTCCTGGCCTGAAGCAATCACCATGCCTGGCATTTTTTTCTTTTTTCCTTTTGGTAGAGATGAGGACTCACTCTATTGCCCAGGTTAGTCTCAAACTCCTGGCCTGAAGCAATCCTCCCACCGCCTCCCGAAGAGCTGGGATTACAGGTATAAGCCAGCATGCCCACCCAACAATTTTCAATGGTGATATAGTTTGGATATATGTCCCCTCCTCTGTCTCTGGTCCTTCTCCCCTCCTCTGCTTCTTCTCTGGCCATGTGAGGTGCCTGCTCCCACTTTGTCTTACCATGATTGTAAGCTTCCTGAGGCCCTCACCAGAAGCAGATGCTGGTGCTACACTTCTTGTATGGTCTGCAAAACTGTGAGCCAAAATAAACTTCTTTTCTTTATAACTTACCCAGCGCCTCAAGTATTCCTTTACAGCAACACAAAATGGACTAATACAAATGGCTATATAATACTCTATTCAGATAGCATCTAATCTATTTAATAGTTATTTTTCAGCATTTGCTATTAAAATTATGCATATACTAACTTAAATACTATACTATACTAACCTCAATGCCAAACTTCAATTACTTACTTATTTTAAACTAATTATCTATTGATTTTAAAAATCACCTAAAAATTTTAATTGGTTTATGACAGCAAAATATAGTTGACCCTTGAACAACACGGGTTTGAACTGCATGGGTCCACTTAAATACAAATTTTCTTTCATTTCTGCCACCCCTGAGACAACAAGACCAACCCTTCCTCTTGCTCTTCTTCCTTAGGCTACTCAATATGAAGACAGGGAAGATACTTTTATGATTATCTACTTCCACTTAATAGTATGTATGTTTTCTCTCCCTTATGGCTTGCTTAGTAACATTTTCTTTTCTCTAGCTTACTTTTAGTGTAAGAATACAGTATATAATACATAGACAAAATATGTGTTAACTCTTTATGTTATTGGTAAGGCTTCAAGTCAACAGTAGGCTATTAGTAAAGTTTTTGGGAGTCCAGAGTTATATGTGGATATTCAACTGTGTGGGGGCCGATGCCCATAACCCCCACATTGCTCAAGGGTCAGCTGTATACTATAAAGTTTGTTTTTTCCCCCAACCATTTCTGCTTCAAATCACAAGCACACTTCCTAAAATACCAGGGTCAATCTAATTCTAGTTCTGAGAATTATCTTGAGAAAAAGTTATTTTGTCTCTGTCATCTTTAGCTGCACACTATGGATGGCATGTAAAACATGTAAAAAGTTGTAGATTCTGCCAAACAACTTAAATAATGTTGATCATTTAAAAGCATTAAAAAATTCCTACTCATCCTAATTGTAGATGAATAAAGGAATTCCTTAGAAATGAATGGTATGCGTATAAAGCAGAATTTATTAATCCTAAATTCTTTTGTTCTGTTTTAAATTCTTTATTAGTCACAGTCTATTTAACATCATGAATGGTTAATAAAGTATTTACTCATATAACTAGTGGTATATATTTCCCTGAACAGTTCAAGAACCTCTGCTAAAATTCAGACCTCAATCATTAGAGAATACAAACATTAACTTAACCAAAGGTCTAAATGATGATACTCAGCACTGTATTTAAAAGCTTTTCTTCTTTAGAAACAATGAAATAAAATATATTCCAGATAATGGAAGTCTGGGGGAAATTAAGAGAATGGGAAGTGGCCGAAAGGTGAAAATGAACAGAAAGTTCAGCTACACACATACCACAAATTCTTCATCCACTTTATTTAATGTTAATTCTGCATCATCTTCTGCAACGCTTTCTTCTTCTAATTCTTCTACTGGGTATATTGGCCTAAAATAATAAGATTAAACATGAGGTGATAATTTTAATATTTAGTAAGACAAAAAAATCATAATGCAAATATCATGTCCTCTATGCCAGGTTTTGTCCTTTTTCATTCCGCTTCCATAATCACTGTTAAATGTTTCATGTATTTTTCCTAAAACTTTCTATGTAAAAAGCAAAAGTGTTTATCTCCAAATTTATAAAAAATGAGATGATACTATGCATGGTGTTATCCAACTTAATGCTTCTCACTAATACACCATATTTAAATACATATGTATTTCTCATTATTTTTTACATACAAGCACTGTATTTCATTGAACAATCAATACCATAATTAATGTAATTGGCAGCCTATGACTGAACATAGAGGTTTCTAATTATTTTGCTGGACA
This sequence comes from Homo sapiens, assembly GCF_000001405.40. Lineage (NCBI taxonomy): Eukaryota > Metazoa > Chordata > Mammalia > Primates > Hominidae > Homo > Homo sapiens. The sequence goes on from NC_000003.12 coordinate 108,214,411, forward strand.
ATATTGCAAAGATCATCTTTGTACATTTATCATTACACATACCATTTAGAATAAATTTGTTCAAGTGAAATGGCAGGGTAAACAACTTTGTACAGTATTGTTTTGCTATATACTGCCAAAATTGGCTTCCAAAATGTTACCCTAATTTAGACTCCAAACAATACTGAAGGAGAGTAACTCCATCTCCATATATTCACCAATATGATATATAATACAAACTTTAATTTTAGCCAATCAACCAAGTGAAAAAAAATCTCATTCTTGTTTTAACTGCATTTCTTTAGCATGAAAGTGATTGAATATCTTGTCATATTTTAATTGCTTATTTGCACTTCTTTTTAGGTGAAATGTCTATTTATACCATTTACTTTTTGGCTTTTTGTATATTAAGAAAATTAATGTTTTGCCTAACCTCTCAAAAATTGTTCCCCTAGTGTATTACTTATAATCTTGGCTATTCAAGATTGTTATAGTTCTTCTTAGATAGAGTTGGTAACCTTTTCCTGCACAGACCCTAGCTTTAACATCATATATTAGAGGCTTTCTGTCATACCACAACCTCTATACTCCTCTGGTCTTTTAATACTTCTATAGTTTTACTTTTCATATTTACATCTTTGATCAATCTGAAGTTTATTTTAACATAGGTAATAAGAAGGAGTCCAGCTTTCTTCTTATTTCCAAAATCTAATTAGTGATCCTAACATTAAACTTTGAAAAAAATCATTTATTCATCAAGATTAATGACACATTTCCTATATTAAAAGTACTTAAATGTATTTGGGCTTATTTATGAAAACATATTTTTTTTCCTTTTTTTAATCCAGTAACAAAGCTAGAGAGAAAACTTGTATTAAAAACTTGTACCTGGCTGGGTGTGATGGCTCACATCTATAATCCCAGCACTTTGGGAGGCCAAGGCAGGTGGACTGTCTGAGACCAGGAGTTTGAGACCAGCCTGGGCAACATGGTGAAACCCTGTCTTGACAAAAAAAATAAAAAATTAGCTGGGAGTGGTGGTGTGCACCTGTAGTCCCAGCTATGCGGGAGGCTGAGGTGGGAGGATCGCTTGAGCCCGGCAGGCAGAGGTTCACTCCAGCCTGGGCGACAGAGTGAGACCCTGTCTTAAAAACGAAAACCCATGCCTCAATCATGTTAAAAAAATACAAAAATCAACATTTACTAATATGCAAAATACTATGAACTAAATCAATCATCTTAAATAATAAATTTCCTAATTTTTCATTAATTAGAATTCGAAAATATCTCAAAGGCAATGTTCTTCTAGGATTCATTTTGACATTTAGATATATAAAAAATTCATCTATATGTAACGTCTATCTCATTTACATGTTACAGAGCTGACATATTCTCTAATGTTGACTACTTTTCAGCTCCCTCCTTTTATTCCTCATTTAAACATAGTCCTTATAAGTTATCCAAGTCACAGTCTCTTCAATAAATGGTGCTAAAAAACAAAAAAAGAAAAATAAATAGTACTGGGGAAACTGGATATCCACATGCAAAAGAATGAAACTAGACCCTTACCTCTAACCACTTATAAAAACCAACTCAAAATGGATTAAAGACTTAAATATACAATCTGAAACTGAAACTACTAGAGGAAATGTGGAAGAAAACACTTCATGACATTGGTCTGGGCAAGAATTTTTTGGATAAGACCTCAAAAGCACAGGCAACAAAAGCAAAAATAAACAAATGCGATTACATCAAACTTAAGGAAACAATCAAAAGAGTGAAGAGACAACCCACAGAATGGGAGAAAATATTTGCAAACTACCCATCTGACAAGAACTTAACATCCAGTATGTATAAGAAATTCAAGCAACTCAATAGCAAAACAACAACAAAAAAACTAGTCTAATTTTTAAAATGAGCAAAAGATCTTAATAGACATTTCTCAAAAAATACATAGAAACGGCCAACAGATATATGCAAAAATGCTTGACATCACTAATCATCAGGGAAACGCAAATCAAAACCACGATATCATCTCACCCCAGTTAGAATGGCTATTACCCAACCCCTCGCCCCCCAAAATAACAAAGGCTGCTGAGGATATGGAGAAGGGGTAACCCTTGAACACTATTGGTAGGTATGTAAATTATTAGTACAGACACTATAGCGAACACTATGGAGGTGCCTCAAAAAACTAAAAATAGCACTACTCTATTATCCAACAATCCCACTACTGATGATATATCCAAAAGAAATGTAATCGGTATGTTAGAGATATCTGCACTCCCATGTTTATTGCAGCACTATTCACAATACTCAAGATACGGAATCTGCCTAAGTATCCATCAAAGGTTGAATAGAAAATGTGGTATATTTTCACAGTGGAATACCATTCAACCATAAAAGAGAATGCAATTCTGTCATTTGTAGCAACCTGTATAAGCATGGAGGACACTATGTCAAGTGAAATAAGCCAGGCACAGAAAGACAAATATCATAGAAGTAGAGAGTATAATAGTGGTTACCATAGGATGGGAAGGGTAGGGGGAAGGGAGAATAGGGAGAAGTTGGTCAAAGTGGGTGAGTACAAAGTTACAGTTAGGAGGAATAAGTTCTAGTGTTCAATGCACAGCAGGGTGACTACAGTTCACAATATTATATATTAATTAACAATAATATATATTTGAAAATAGCTCATAGAGATTTGGAATTTTCTTGCCACAATAAAATGATAAACGTTTGAAATGATGAATATGTTAATTTCACTAACTTGATCATTGTATATTGTACACATGTATCGAAACATCACATTGTACTCCAAAATTTGCAGTTATGTGCCAATTAAAACTAAAAAATAAATTATCCAACTTACAATACAGAGGCCAGGAATAAGATGTGTTGAGAAACAAAGGAAGTGCAAAATAGAATAGTGGTTGAGATATTACACCATAGCTTCTGGTGAATTTAGAATATATTAGTCTATTAATTTAGCAGTTTTTTAAAATGCTAAATACAGCAGCACATCTCATAACTTATCTTCTCTTGAAATTTAATAAAGTATTATGGACCATGTAGCCATTCTTTATATTGTACTAAATAATAATGTTTGGATTGAAGCATATGAAATTGCCATTTTTTAGTTTAAAAATAGATGAATATGAGTAATTTCATATGGCTCATCCCAATGATAACCTAATTCAAGGAAGTTATTAAACTTAATAGGGAGATTATATCTAAAAGAATATAATTGAATATACATTAAAATGTTATTAACAGGGAATAATATATATATATGTGTGTGTGTGTATATAATCTTTCTACCGAAGTTAGTTCTAATTAAAAAAAAAAAAACACTGCTTACTCGCATTTTACCTGAATAGTGCCTTCTACATTCTAACCTATTAGTAATCCCAAACTGCAAAGCATAAAATTTATGTTTTCTAATTATAATCTCTATAAATTGAGTTTCCAAATGTTCTATTTCATCTATATGCTCAATATCTATTAAACATCTAAGATACACCAAGCATTATGCTAACAGAGTACTTGTGAAGATTTCATGATTTCTAGCAAGAATGTCAGAATAGTAAAGAACAATTTTATACCATAGGATAAATATAATATAATAATAGAAATAAAGCACTGTCAGGTTGGACACAAAAGCAATGAACAATGTCTAGGAGAGTGTCAGGTAGTTTCTTCAGTATTATTCTTGCCCAGTAACTACTAGCAAAGGAGAAAATCCCACTTAAAGTACTGTATTAATTTCCATTTTTCCTTAAATCTGTAGCTATCAGTTCCCTCTGTGTATATACTATGTTTGTGTGTGTGAACATATGTACAAGAGACTTTAAAAAAAAAGTCCAGTATTTACAAAGATATGTAGTCACAGTTAAACCTTTAATAATTACATATTTGAACAGGAAAACGGCATAATAATATGTAACACATTACTTCAGAATTAGTTTTGAAGACGTGAGACATTCTAATTTTGTCTATACTGGCTTTTCTTAATTATCTGTGGCATTTTCAATTTAGAATAGTCAAAAAGAATAATTCTTTTATGTTCAATTGAACAGCTCTGTACCCTCAGAGGCAAATGCTATGCCCATAAAATTACTATCATCAGGGTGGGTAATTTTTACCTTTTCCAGGTGAAACCAATATATTTCAATGCTTCTTCAGCGAAGCAATCAAGAACATAGCATACATGTTCTCCATAACCTGACTTTAATTTTGAAGGAGGAAAATCTGCAGTTCTTCCCTGAAAAACAAAAGAAAAAACAGGGTATTATTTGTTAGTTATACTCCAAATGTCAAATATTTTAAGCAAAGAACTGCTGAATGGATGTATCACTTTTCTTTCAAATGATTTACAATAACTGTAATTACACTGCTTCATACAAATCCATTTCAAGTCTTTGTAACCCATTGATACATAAAAATACTCAAAGACTTTTATTGTTAAAAGTATCAAATTAAAAAGCAATAACATCATAGCAGCAGAACAAATTATTGATCTTATTAGAGTGAAAAGAAACCAGTAAAACTATTTAAACAACTATGTTTAAGGACAGAGTGATTCACTTGTCAAAAATTAATAACATTTGTGCCAAAAATATCTTACTGCCTGCCCAGGAAAAGTCAGAAATGAAAAAGTACAACTGCTGTCATGGTCTTAAGTACAAGTTCCCTTTCAGAATATGAAGTGTTTTGGCTTTGTAGGATTTTTTTTTAATTATCATTTTTTAGATCAAGAATTAACCACCCCAAAATTTACCTCTCAGATATATCAAGATTTTTTTAAAAAAATATTACTTTGGACTAATAAAGAGTATATACTGAACATTTTCAGAAGTGACATTAACATTATAATGTAAACTATTTTAAGGAGGTTTTACCTAAAAATAAATTCATATTTACAGAGGAGTCATCTAAATGGCTAGCATTTGTTATTAAATTACCAGTATTAAAATTCATAACTTGAGAACAAGGAAAAAGAAGGGTCGTTTACACTTACAAATGACCGAAGCTCGGATAGTATGTTAGATATTGTTGCATTAGGGTCATCATATTCTTGAGGCTGCTCAAAGGGACGTCCCGCTTTATTAATCAACCAAGCAGCAAGAGTACAAAACATGTAGAACTGTTCGCCAGGGTTGGTAGGCAGTGCAAAATAGTGTCTGTTTCAAAACAAGGAGGAATGGGGGCGGATGTGAAATAATGCAAATAAGTCTATAATAACTAATAGGGCCGAATTCACAATTGTCCAACAATCTTTCTTCCCCCCAAATGGCCATCAAAAGACCTCGATAATTCACCCTTTGAAGTTTCCAGTAATCCACAGCACTCACATTGAAGTTTTTAAATCAGCAGGATTAGGGCAATTACTACTGTACCCAAAATATTAGATCAAAGACCTTACACCCAGGAAATGTAGTGCATGTTAGAGCACAGAGCATGTAGAATTTTTGCCAAAATGATTTAAGTGTCAGTAATAATATGTAAGTACCTTATGAATGAAAATGGTAATCTGGAAGAACCTCAGAGTTTAAAAAAGACCTCAACGATTACTCATTATGCATTTTTACTGTTTCTAACCTATCACCTATGGTGAACATTTGTTTCTATGTTGGCTGCATATTCAATCACCTGAGGAGCTAATAAAAATACTGGTACTTGACCAAACATTGCTTCTTCCCTCATGAATGAATTAAATCAGAACTTCAGTGAAAGTAGGCCCAGTATGGGGTATATTTCAAAAGATTTCTACATGTTTATAAGGTGTAGTCAGGATTAAGAACCTGTGAATGTCACATCACCAGTCAAACATCTGTGGGCTCTTGCTTAATCCCCTAGTCTACTAAACACAGTTCTACGAGGATCAGTATGATTTATACCTAAACATTATAGGAATAAAACTCACTAGCAACAACATTCAAGTCAGTTTAATCAAAGATCTTATTTGTCTTGTTCATGTGTAGCTATCATTATTATGTTTACAATGTATTTACAACTATTATAACCATTGTCATAAAAATCTGTCGTGTACTCCTTCATGTTTCCCAAACTTTTTCCTGCAGGATAAATGTAAATGTTCTGGAAGATAACAGAAAGCTGGGAAGAAAAAAGGCCATGAAGTCCTTCCAGGTATATGCTCACTATCCTTTCAAAGCACCCACCCACCAAAAAGTCATCTTTTCCTTATCGGCAGATAACTCTTCTAGGGCAGAGGAATGAACACCAATAGATACTGTAAACCTAGGACAGTGGTTCCCAAACATTAGTGTCCATCAGAATCATCTGGAAGGCTTACTGAAACAGATGCTAGGCCCCATCCCTATAATTACTGAAAAGGTAGACCTGGGAAAGGGCCTGAGGAATTTCATTTCTAGTAAGTTCCCAGGTGATGCTGATGCTGTTGGTCTGGTGATCACATTTTGAGAACCATTGGACTAGGATATCCCCACACAAATCCATGATTCAAAGTATCCTGCTGAACCCCTGAGGACACAGTGCAAGAGATGACATCAACAGAACCTTAAGGACATTTTGTTTTCATTTTAAAAATATACTTGGAAAAAAATGCATTTTTATTAACATAGGAAATGTTGGTTGTCTATATTATCCTGATCAATTCACTTTAAGTAATAATCCCAGGACTACCTTTTCTAACATGGATCAAGCAACACTACTTTTTCCTTTATCTTTTCTCCGACCATGGACTAATTTAATATGAACAGTTTATATCAAGCCTACATATCTTTCAATTCAAGTTATTGGAAGACAGCAGTGGAATGAGATTAAAACTATCAAGGGAAATTATTTGAGCCTGGCTGTAGACATTAAGTACTATAGATTCTTAATACTGATTGCCTTTTATGGAATAAAATATACAAATGTAAGTATTAAAGTGAAAGAAAAGCTATAAAACTGATTTATCTGGCTACTGCTAAGCTACAGTGATTTGAGGAGAAGGTCCTAGCTGACCACTACCCTCAGCAAGTAATGGCATTGCTTTCAGGATATGTTGGACTTTTCCCCCACCGGAACAAGGGTAAAACTTTAGGTTCTATGATAGGGGGACAATTCAATAGTTGTCATTCGTCTTTTCCACTTTTCAGTTTCTGAGAGTATGGTTATTACAAAGGCAGAAGTCTTTTAAACCATAGCAAGTAGTTAACAAGTTTACTAACCGCATTTAAAGTGCTCCTTAACAGGATCCTAAGTACCCACGGTCCCCAGTTGTATGAACAGGGTCTTAAACAACAACAAAAAACCCCAAACTAGAAAAAAAGCCTTAAGTGATAATGGCATTCCTCTCTGGAGGCGAATTTTGGACGGTCTTATAATTTTTCTAGACATTTACTTGTGTTTTTCTGAGTTTTCTTCAATGAGTATTTGTTTCATCTTTACAATCAGAAAATATAGTTTGTGTTTTCTGGTAATGCGTGTGTGTTGGAAAAAAACAGGCAAGCTGTCTTCCGATCCTTTCTGCCGTTCCAAAACTTATTTATTCTCTCTACAAAAATACCAAGTCAGGGCTGCGTGAGCTCCACGGACCTCCCGGGAGTTTGGGGTGAAGTGCCCTTCCCTGGCTAGGAAGACGGAGGCAAGGAATTGCTAACCCGCTCTCACGAAACTGGTTCCCAGCAGGACCAAGGAGGGCATCTCCCTGGGGGCTAGCAGGCACCCGGGCGCTCGGGGACGCCGGCACCCACCTGGACGGGGCCTTCAGGTTGCTCTTCCGGAGGAACTCCTCCTCGTAGCGGAGCAGCTTCAGCTTCTCCACCAAGTCCTCCATCACCACGAACATGTGGTAGGCCGCGCCGGGCCCCCGCTCCAAGACCACTTCCCCGGTCCCTTCGCCACGGGACCTAGGCACCCCATCTTCCAAACCCGACGTCGTGACGACGGCCAGAGCAGCAGTCATCGCAGAACGGACAGAGTCCAGCGTGGGCTCAGGCCCACAGACCTCTGCGGCCTAAGCCGCCAGCCCTGCCGCCGCCAGTACAGCCACGACCGGTTACCAGGCGACCACCGGACAATCCGTCACCAGGGAAACTAGACTCCGCCTCCTTCCCTCCAATCAGGGCGGCTTTCCTGAATGACGTCACCTGTGGCCCTCTTCTTGCCCTGCCTCTGTGGAAATGGTGGTCGGGAAGCAGCCCCGCCCCTCATGGAGGCGTGGCGTTCGCGCCCCACTGCCGGCTGCGTCTTCTCCCTCGCTGAAAGTCTGAAGGGAGCCGGCTTACGTTTCTGCTCCGCTTGCCTAGTGAGTCTTGAGCTGGCTTGAGGTGTGTTGGACCTGGTGGTTGCTAAAAGCAATTAAGCGGGCATCTGGGTCAGCTAGTAGCTGTTAAAAAGATTAAAGGGAGGTGAAGACGTGTAGCACTGAAGGCTGCACTGGCTCACTGATACCTTTATTTTCTCAGAATTGAAAAGTTTTTCATAGTTGTAAAGATAGTCAATACCATAGGTTTCACTTTTACTGCAGGAACTTTCCAACGAGAGGTTTCTCTCGTTCTTTCTTTAATTTTATCTTTCTCTCACTAGGCAATGCTGCACTTAACAGTATATTGTAAAGCTTGAAGTACTGTATTACGTTGCCTGGCTGTTACTCCAGTGCTAGGAAAGTGGTTGGAAGGATGAGGAAGACAATGAACAAAAGGAGGCATTTGGAAGGATTTGTTTTACTTCAAAAACAAGAATACTAAGCTTCCATCCTGCTGCTTAATCTGTTTCAAACCCATTACATGTAGTATAAAGTGTTTGGGTACTTCGTTAAATCCAACAGAATAGAGATGGTCTTAAAAGGAATTTCCCTGCCCTAAAGCTCTAAGGGTGGCTAAAGATAGGGTGTTACTACTGTATTCTGCAGTTATTGACCTAGAAAATTTAAGAAAAGGTACATAACTGACCACAGAAATGGCCCAGCTTTACAGTTTTCAAAAGGCTTCTGTATTAGGCAATTTTCTTAACAGTTGCAAAAAATGAGGTAAGTGGTGGATGCCTGGCAGTTTTTGGGAAGAAAACTTAGTACAAGAGATTGAACATATGTTCATGTTTATAACGTGACTTTTAAGGGCTCTCTGATCTCTTGTATCTGCCACTACAAAATATAGAAGGGCTACATTTTTGGACAACTGAAATTTGAAATGTATCTACAATATCCTGTTTTTATTAGAAAAAATGAGAACACTTTTCATTGTAATCCGTCTACAGCTAACTTGTTTCTGATACTAATAAGGTTATCAAAGTGAAAAGTCAGAAGGGCAAATACCATTTTTTCATTAAAGAAAGGAAGTACATAAAATTACAGACTTATGTAGAGAATAACCTGAAGGGCAGCCCACTGAGAATTGCTTTTTAAATAAATAACATTGCTTGCCTACCACAAGTCATGAGCCAGCTGCTTTTAATAAAGTTGAGTGAGAAAATTGGATTTGATGTTACCCCACTACCAAATTGATCTTTCCTGGTCTTTGCCTTTTTGAAACAGTGATTCTCCCCGATAAGTCCATACCCCAACCACCACCACATGTGCAGCTTGGGGGTGTTATATGTATGTATAACAGTCACAGTAGTGTAAGATAGATGTATGGCTTTATAAGACTGAAAAATGAAAGCTTAGATATGTTTTGGGGTCCTAAGTTAACTAACAAGCAAACTGGGGCTTTTTACATGACTCTGAAAAAGCTCTCAGACTTTGGAAGTAAATTTATTACACTCAGGGAGGGAGATGTTCCTGCCAGGCATGCTGCCTACTTAAGATGTTCTGACATTTTCAGGAAGTTACGTAACACAGTATGAAATAGTCAAACGTTGCTTTTTAGCTGATAAATCCTCCAGCAACGTATGTATTTTAACTTGGGGGAAACAAAACGACTCCCAGGGTCTTAGCCATTTCCTTCCCAGGTAAAATACTGACACAGCCTGGCCTGAAAGCAGTATACAGAATAATTTCCCCCCTTAATTGTGAAGAAGAAAAAAACCCAAAAATATAAAGTATTTCCAGTAATTGTGGCACAAAGAGAACAAAAAAGCTAACTGTTCAATACTGCATGTTTCCCCAATAAAAAGTTTTAGAAAGAACACTGAAATTTCATTGTTTTGTAAAGCCCAGGGATTATTTTTGCTGATTCCTTGTTTACCTGTAATAGTTTGTAACACATCAAAAGATCTTTTCCTTGATAGTTTTCTTCGTGTGTGTGAAAATGCACTCAAATCCTCTTCTAGCTGTTTCAGCCACTTGGAAACTTTGGGGAATACAGTTGTATCAGGTTTTTTTTTGTTGTTTTGGTTTGCAGGACTAGTTTATTTGTTGACTAAGGAGTTAGAGCTTGAAGAGAATGAGCCATGTTCATTCTTCCTGTAAAATCTCAATTTCATCCCTGGTTTTACTGTATTCGCCACTATTAATAGCTGGCCTTCTGACTTTGACTTTTATTTCTTTCAAACTATCTGTGAGGTAATTGAAAGTAACTTTTTTTTTTTTTTTTTTTGAGACGGAGTCTTGCCCTGTCACCAGGCTGGAGTGTAATGGCACGATATTGGCTCACTGCAACCTCCGCCTCCTGGATTTAAGCGGTTCCCCTGCCTCAGCTTTTTAAAACTCGTGGATCTTTCTGTGAAACTCTGAAAACTAAATAGCATTCCAGGCCGGGCACGGTAGCTCATGCCTGTAATCCCAGCACTTTGGGAGGCTGAGGCAGGCGGATCATTTGAGGTCAGGAGTTCGAAACCAGCCTGGCCAACATGGTGAAACCCCCGTCTCTACTAAAAATACAAAAATTAGCCAGGCGTGGTGATGGGCGCCTGTAATCCCAGCTACTCAGGAGACTGAGGCAGGAGAATTGCTTGAACCCAGGAGGCAGAGGTTGCAGTGAGCAGAGATGGTGCCACTGCACTCCAGCCTGGGCAACAGAATGAGACTTTGTCTCAAAAAAAAAAAAGTATCCCAGTCAAAGCCAATTTAAGCTCAATGGATTTCCCTGAAAGGTGCTTAGCAAGGCTGGGGGTGAAAAGGAGGCAGATTCTAGAATGGAGGAAGGCTTTCCAGCTGCACCTTCAAATAGAAGAGCAAATCCTTCAGGCAAACTGGGTAGGCTTAAAGAACAAAGCTGTGCTGTGTTATAAATGGCTTAGTACCACCCATTTGGGTTGTTAAAAACTTAGAAAATCGCTAACTGAATAAATCTTCCTTGAAACTATAGAGAAGGAAAAACTTTTTCTGCCCTCTTTGGTTCAATAGCTGGGCCTGTGAATTAAATGAACATAAGACAAGTAAACAGGAAAAAAGCACACAAATTTTATTTAATATTTTTACATGCACATGGGAGCATTCAAAAGAAAAATGAAGCGGATAGGACCAACAGCTTATATGCCTTTTTTTTTTTTAAAGAAAACAAAGAATGATACATTTGTAGGGAAGTGACAAGACAAAGGAAAAGGGATTTAAGGTTGACAAACTGTAGACAAGTGACTAGGAAAAATATGGGTAAAATTAGTGGAAGATAAAGATTATTTTAATAGGTTTGTTTCTGCAGACCCATTTTAGCATTAATTTCCAGGCTCCCATCATAAAAATGTTATTTCCTGGTACAGGGATGGCTTCTTTCTCATGGGAAATTTTATGACTTGCTTTTAAGTAGGAAGGGGAAGGTCAGAGAGCCCTTCATATATCTGCTGTATCGCAGGTGCCTTCATATCACAATAATCAGTATGCAACAGCAGCATATTTTGGGGTGGCATGTTCTAAGCCCCATTCAACCTCATCAAAAGTGTCTGCCAAAAATCTAGAAGGAAAAAAATCATATTTATATGTAAATCTTTAAAAGCGGTGCCTCGTAAAGCAATTTACATTACCTCTTCAAAACTGCCCTATAGACCAGAACCAGTGCACTCAGACAAAAAGATAGGAGTAACTATTGCAGTTGCTGTGATTAATTAAAATATCCAAGAGAATCTACAGACATGCTATTAAGATAGCTCAGCAAGTTTGCCATATATGAGGTCCAAACTAAAAAGAGTTATTGGATGCATAGTATTCTATTGACTATTTTGAATTAAAAGCACTTAAAACCCCAAAAGTTACTGGAGATGATAGTTAGAAAAACAAACCTCATAATAAGCAACACACAGCACCCAGGAACAAACCTATCATTATCTTTATAGAGAGATTGTTAAACTTTACTGAAAGTTTTGGAAAAATTCAAATAGGAATACAATGTTTATAATGAGAAAAGTCAGCATATTTGCCCAATCTATAAATTTAGCATAATTTCAACTATAATTCCAGGAGGGCTATTCTGAAATTCATATGTAAGCATAAATTTTAAAGAAGTCTGAGGTAGGAATTACAATATATCAGATAGCAAGATTCCTAATAAAAGTATAAATTAATGATATTATCAGAATATATACAAAATAGCCTGAAAGCAGATGAGCATTCATATGGAAACTTAGTTTGCGGCAGAATCAGTGTTACCTCCTAGTGGAGAAAAATGAGCTATTCGCAAAATGCTATTAAAACTATGGGCTATCCATATGGAAATAAAATTACATCTATGATTTCCATCACATAAATTTCAGATGGATTGAAGACAAATGTAAAATATTTGTAATGTGTAGAAGAAAGCAGTATCTTTAACCTCAATGTAGGGAAGGAGTTCGTAAAAGACTTAAAAAGAGAAACTTATAAAAATTTAAGAACCCAGATACAAAATAGGGCTTTATAAACAGTGAATAAAGAAGATACTTGTGAGCCCTGTAATATCAATGGATTAATCTCCAGGATACACAAGTAGGTCACTGCAAAGCCTCTGCCATTCTAGAGGATTGTAGGTGGGTTCGTTTAGGTTGGAGTTTCTCATTCTAAGCACTATTGCCATTTCAGGCTGGATCATTGTTGGAGGACTGTGCGTGCATTGCAGGATGTTTAGCAACATCCTTGGCCTCTACCCACTAGTTGCCAGTAGCACCACCCCTAATGGTAACAACGAAAAATGTCTCTGGACATTGCCAAATGGCCTCTGGTCGGGGGTGGGGGTGGGTGGCGGGGGGCGGGGGTGGGAGGGCAAATCACCCTGATTGAGAACCACTGCTCTAAATTCATGAATGGAAATTGCAAATGCCTTTATAAGGACCAGGCACGTAAAGGTAAATGAGTGACATGTGTGTGAGAGACTTATGGGGACCCTGAAAATTCATGCACCATCTCAAGGAGGGGGCATTTTTGTCAGGCAAGAGTGCAGCCCAACTTTGCAATGTGTTCTGATTTTGCAAGGATCTGAAGCTAGATTTGTATGTCAGTGTGAGATCCTAATGCTCTTGAGGGTGACCTTTTTGCACAGAAAATATTTCATGGGCCACTTTAGTTGTTAAAGATATTTATTAATACATTAAAGTTCAAAATGTAGAGGCCTTGTTCTGAACTTTTTAGTTTGACATTCAAATCTTGTTCAATTTATAAATGTAGTAAATTTGTTACAGCTATTTAAGGGGGTGGGGGGTGGTTTACAATTTAAATTCCTGTAGAGGTTTTACTTGTTTATAAACTCATTATATTCTCTTTAATGGCTGACAAACCATTCCAGATACTGATAAATTCCCTAAATCTAAAAGTAAAAGAAAAAGAGGTGGTGGAGGGGCGTAGTAGTGGCGGGGTGGGTAATGCAGTGGATAAGCTCTATTAAGTATTCCAATCCTGTTTGTAAACATAGCTTTCAATGTAAAACCAAAAGTCAAAGTTATTCAATTACATGTTATAAACTGGAGTCACAAGTCAGCCTGTTTCTTTAATAGGCCAAAATTTCAACCTTTAGATACTTAAATATCAAATATGCACAGATCATTCTTCAACAGAATTATCACTGCTATGGGCTTACTTTCATCATTGCTGTACTTCATGTCAAAACATTCCAGGATTAAAATATATTCAGCCTGGGAAAGAATTATCCCAGTCTAAGACTAAGAAGTTTCCCCATCCAATGGATTAATACTGCGAGATTCCTGAGCCAAGCATAGAAGGAATTCTTGTCTAAACTGCAATTACTTTTGCACTGACCTAATAGTTAACTGCTTCAGCTGACTTTTGCTCTCAAGGTAGATAAATGCCATCCAATTATATTGTACATATTACAAGGCTTTGTTTGGCTCCATGGTGTCATTTTCTTCAGGGAGAAACAAAATGTATGTATGAAGTGACTTCAGGTTACTATCCCTGGGTAAGTGATGTGTATGATTATTTAAGGGTTTCAAGTAGGTGTGTGCTGGTGGGGGCTGGAGTAGATGACATTCGAATTTGCATTTTAGAGTTCTGGCAATAATATAGAGAAGGGACTACAGAAAGGTGAAAATTGATTCAGAAGGTGATTTGAATAGTTCAATGAGAGATTGTCCTAAACTAGGATGAGTGGCAATTACAATAGTGAAAATATGATAGTTAACAGACTTTAGGAAGCAGATTCAACAGAACTTAGTAACCGACACCATGAGATATTCTCTAAGGCATGAAAGGCACTATGAAGTTGGCCCACTTTGGGGTAAGAAAGGTAGTCTTTATACCACTGTATCACTGGAAACTGTGAGCTTCCCTAGACATCTGTGGTTGGGGTGGCTCTTATTGGCCAAAGGTAATTTTCTGGAAAAAGATGCAGCTGTGAACACTGAACAGCCAATATTCATAGCAGCTGGAGAGTGAGTACAGCAGCCTGATGAAAGAGGAATCTGGGCAGGCACCAGCAGCTTTGGCTACAGTAGTTGACGTTAAAATACGGTTCTTCTGAATTTCTTTATGTGGAATATGTACTGAAGTAGTGTAACTTAGATAAAAAAAAAATAAGGTTGCTAAAGGTACAAACCATACAAACTGTCAGATAGGAAAAATAGCATATAAGTAACTGCAAATATTGAAACATTCAGCCTAGTTTCCTGATAAGAGTTCTATTGCATCATGTATATTAGTAACACTTTGATTTGATACATTTTGGGTACTAACAAGAAGGATTGATGTGATCTGTCAGAGTTTTGAAGGTTAAATAGAAATTGGTTTATTCTTCAAGGGCTAGATTTAAAAGATTCAATTTATTTTACAGTCTGGCACAACATTCTTCCCCTAAGGAAAAATTAGATTTAAGACAGAGAGTAGTGTTAAAAATAAATGTCATAGGAGAAAGCTCTCTTAATAGGGCTCCCTAGAGCCTAACGAAAGCAGAATCTGCTAGATGCTACCTCCTGTGTAATTATCATACTTTCATGGTACAACTCTGAATCTGAATGCACAGTATGCCAGACTTTCTGATGGCCTGTTTCACAGATAGTTATTGGCGCCTTATCTTGAGGTTTTGGAAACGGTTGCCCAAACCATTACACGGTAATAAAATGTTAAGTCCAAATGCCTTATTTTTATTCGTAGCTCCTTCCTATTTGTGGAGACGAATTCCTACTCCACACCTGTACATTTTGCTTCTGAAGAGAAAAAGTAATCCATTTTGCATTTGCATCTAGTAAGATTTTAATGAGAGATTCTTTTCTTTCTGAAGGTAAGAGTGTGAAAAACCAAACTAATAGATCCAGGGATCAGATTTTGGCTTTTTGGCAACTACAGAGAGAGGGAGAAAGTATTTTCTAAGATTTATGTATTTATGTATTTATTTTGGTACAACAAACACTTTAGCACATATAATATGTTAGGCACTGGGTTTTGGATGGTAATGCAAAGACTCATGGGCCTGGTGTCTATGCCCAAATAGCTCATGCTTTAATGCAGAGACACATGTACTTGGCAACTGAAACATAGTATGTTAGAGAAGTAGAGAGTGTTTGGGATGAAAGCTTTCCAGACATTTATTTAACCCCTCCAAAAAACAGAATTGATTTCTTCCCCTCTGTACCCCCATAGCCTATGGTACTTCCTCTCTCTGGAGTCTCATTTTTATCCTGTGCATGGAAGGATCAGGAAGAATTAGGCAAGGGAAATTAGTAGAAGAAGCAATATATTTGAAGTAGGTATCCTGCCTTGAGAGGCAAACTTCAGAGCAAAGTGATGGTTCCTTTCTTTTGTGTCTAATATGGAGGCTGGTGCTGTTTACCATTTTGCCTAGGTGTACAGGGGTATAAGCTGACTCTCTTTGGCTAAGAACTTCAGTAAGGGGTCTGCCAGATATAGTCATGTATTTCCAGGATCTAGAAGCAACATGTCTATCCAGTAAGAATTCGAATTGGAACGTGTTTAATTTCATTCCAAAGAACTCACCCCAAAAAAGTCCTAAATCAAAGGCATAAACTAAAATATTTTTAGTGACTTCCTAACAACTTATAATTTTTACTAGATCTTTTGCTTGATCTACATGCCCAGTGTATACTTTTTCTTTTAATTGTTACTACAGACTTCAGAGGAATACTATAAGCTCTGTAAAAGCCTTTTCTTCCTTCTACCCAGTACCACAAGGCAGAGCATGGATTTATAATAGCAACTTTCTGAGGAAGAGTAGACAATTGAATGTAGACTTTATGGTTATCTAAGCCTCAAGAAAGAAGGGGAGATCCTCCCCATAGTTTAACCATAAAGTAGAAGTCAATAATGATTTTCCTTTTACCTCATAGAGTTGTGCAAAAATGGCTGACCATCTACCAGCTCATTCTTTCTCTATTAATGTGAAATGTTTATGCTTATGCTATGGTGTTAATATGTGACCCCTCCAAAAGTCATTTTGAAATTTAATTTCCATTGTAATGGTATTAAGAGGTAAGACCTTTAAGAGGTGATTAGGCTGCACGAGGCTTCATCTTCATGGGTGGGATTGGTGTTGCTATAAAAGGATGGGTTCAGCCCTCTCTTGCTCTATCTCTCCATTTCATTTTTTGCCATGTGAGGACACAGCAAGAAGGTCCGTGCTAGATGCCAGCACCTTGATATTGGATTTCCTAGCCTCCAGAACTCTGAGCTAATAAATTTCTGTTTATTATAAATTACTCAGTCTCAGGTATTCTTTTAGAGCAGCACAAAATGAACTAAGACAGCTCATGTGGTCCATTTCTAGACTTCAAACTTCAAACTGACTTCAGTAGATATTTTTGCTTATTTTTATGCTGTCTAAAACTGTTTTTGTGGCTTTAGAGTAAGATTTGCTCTTTGGTAGAACAACCCACCTTTTCCTTTCTCTCAGTCTTCTTGATTACTGTACATTTATTTTTTAAGATGAACTATAAATGTATTTAATCTTGAAATATATACTCTAAATATACTTTTAATAGATAATATTGAGCATATCATCCAGGGATACAGTGTGTACTATCTGAGTCTCTTATTGGGCTAAGAAGGTCACAGAAGAACTCATTTTTTTTATTATTACATTGACATTTTATTTTAAAACAAACACTTGCTATTTTCCTTATGCTAGTAAGTTAGCACTGTAGAGTATGAAAATTTCATATTTTACTTTCTGAAGGCAAGAACAGACTATTACACTGTGAAAGATTTTAATCTCCTCAGCTTCTTGAAGGAAGAATAATACTTCTGAAATGGGAAGAGGGAGCTTTTATAAGTAAAATTAGAAATGCCTCAGAGGATCTTGCTCTTTCAAAGGAAACACCAACTTTTTTTATAAAATAAAAAGCAAAAGATCTTTATTCTTGCTTGGAATACAATGACGGCTTCCTTATAGTTTTCCCTCCAGATCTACCCCTCTTTCAGTCTTTTGTCTACATTGTTCCCAAAGTAATCTTCCTGAAATGCAAATATGGACATGCCTCTGTACTACCCGACATTCTTACATGGTTCCCCTATTCAGGACAATATTCAGTTTTCTTAGCTTGCTGTGTAAACGCCAGGGACAGATTCAGGCTTTGTGGGGCTTGAAGCTTATACAGTTGGTAGGGGTGGGGGTGAGGGAGGCATAATTTTTAATAAAAAATACCAAATTTTGAATTTGAAATCAGCTACAGTACTTTGGAAGGGAGCATGCAAGTAAAGCTCCCTGGAACATAAACTGCGCTACTCTCTTGGTACATCTGCCTCTACTGGGGAATTGTTTTATCATCTGAAATGAGGTGAGGTTACCAGATCAATAAATAATGACCAAGATAGGCTGGGCATGGTACCTCATGCCTATAATCCCAGTATTTTGGGAGGCTGAGGCAGGAGGATTTCTTGAGCTAAGGAGTTCAAGACCAGCCTGGGCAACAACCAGTTAAGACCAACCAACTCTGTCTTAAATAAATAAATAACAACCAAGGTAAAGTAACTATCCAACAAGCTGACATTGCTTATAGCCCAGAGATCTCTGACTAGAATTCAAGAGTTAAGGTGGCTGCATATAGCCAGGATGGTGCTTCCTATCAAGAAACAGACTTGCTGACCCTTTATTATAGTCATCATTAAAAGGAGAATATTATGCTCATAGTTTTAAGACTAAATTGTTTTCATATAGGTTCAAGTTTGGCCCTTAAATCACCTAATTAAATAAAATTAGTTAAATTACTTTCCTGTGATTTGAGATTGCAACCCTCTACCCAGGCAGCAACTAACTTCCTGTATTAATCCTTTATTATCTGTTTGAAACATTTATTTAACAATCTTCCTGTCTGGCTGAGTCACAATTCTTAATGATATTTTAATGGTGGCTGATTGGATTCTGTATCTTTTACACCTTTGTCTGGCTCTGCAGTCAATACCACTAAAGTCATGCTAATGGCCCTATGATTAACCCCTCATGCCAGACAAGGGGTCTTCCCCAGTTGAAACTGGAGAAAATTTAATGATAGGAATGCTACACATATTCTGTCGTCATTTTGTCCTACCCTATATAATTATCCTCTCTTCATACTGTAAATTTTAGTCCTCCCTTTTGTTTCCTCTATAGCCTCTTAAAAAAAAAAAAAGCAGTGATTTCTTATTCTTTTATCTTTTGTGACCTTTCTCAAAGTATTTATGTTAGGTTGGGTCCTCCAAGAAGCAGAGGCCAAAATGGGATTAGATATGTAAAAATTTTATTAGGCTATTTGCCTGGGATAGAACATGGGAAGGGACCACAGTCAGATTTTGATGCAAGGCTGTTCACAAGTGAAGAGTAAAGGGAAGCAAGCTTGGGTGGAAGTGCTTGCTTTATGCTGCCATGCAGTCTAAGGGCTCCCACTTAAAGCTGGCAGCCTTCTGCATCATCCTATATATGGGCCAGATCAATATTCTTAGGTTTGGAATCTGTTACCTCCAGAAACCAGAAAGGCTTTCAAAATGCTGTGCTTCTTTCTTTGTGTAGGAGATGCAAGATACAATAGTTTGTCTTTTATTTTGGAGAGGTTGTCTCAGCAGGCCCCCAATCACTGCATCCCCAAAACTTAACTGAAGTGACTGCACCTGACTCTTTGTTGGGTTAATTTCTCATGCTCTAGAGTGCACGCGTCTTACCGAGGCCTCTAGCATACTAATCACCTCTTGCTCCCACTCAATCAGCATCATGTCACAGATATAATGGGGCAGTGTCATGTTCTATGGAATGTCCTGGAGGTCCAAATCTCTTCGGACTCTGTTATGACAGAGGACAGGACAGTTAACACAGCTCTGAGGAAAACTTTAAATAGATAGTGTCTATTCCTGTGAATGCAAACTGTTTCTGATCCTCTTTCCTGATTGGGCTTAAATAGAATGCATTCACTAGATCAGTGCCTGCATAATGTGTATCTGAGGACATATTTGTTCTATCAAGGATACCACGCTGGGCACAATAGCTACAAACTAGGATACTTCTTGGTTGATTCTGTAATAGTCTACAGTCATTCTCCAGGAGCCATCTGGTTTTTGAAGGAGCCAAAGTAGCAAATTGAATAGAGATACAATAGGAACCACGATTCCTGCATCCTTCAGATCTTTAATGCTGTCACATATATTTGCCTTGCCTCTCCAGGTGATACTATATTGTTATTTATTCACTGCTTTGGGATGGCAGTTTCAGAGGTTTCCATTTGGCTGTTCCCGCTGTAACAGCTCTTACTCCACAGGCTAGAAACCTAGTGTGGGGATTACTTTACTTGCCAAATGTATCAGTTTTATTCATGCATTCAAGGACTCTGTTGTCATGAAACATAGTTGCTGTGGTGAGGCAGAGTTCTTCTAAGGCCCCAGGCCCTTCTTTAGCCTATGGGTTATAGATGTGAACATTTGTTGTGGTCTGGGAACTGACCAAGCAAGCAACTGTGACATTGTTGGGCAGCCACCCAGCATCCTGCTCCTCCATTCTTGTCTTTATTTCATTGTAGTGTTAAGCAGCACCCTTGTTAACTGCCCATCTGTTTTGCCCCTAGAACTATGATGCTCTGTTAACCATCTCCACAATTCCCTGTGGGTCAAGCAGCCTTGGCCGCCCCCTGGCCTTGCCAGTCATTATGGTAATTACAGCCTCCTGCCTCCTGATAATAAGTGCTGCCATCTGGCCTCTAGTACATCAAGGCCCCATCATCTTAATGATATTAATCAGGCCAGCTATGTGACTGCCTCTAGTATCATCATCCCTTGCCTACAGAGGGAACCATCATAGAGTTCCTTAGTGGTGCTAGTGCTCCTATCACCAATATATTCCTGATGGCCTTGGGGAATGGTGTGTTCTCTAGGCCCTTCTGAGGAACATAATCTTCTGGTGGGTTTTCTGGCCTTATGGCGTATATCCATTCTACATGTCTGCTTTCCTCAGCCTCAACTCCTTCATCTCCCTACTTCTAGGGCACCTTGAACATTCCCACTTTATTGAGAATTGGCTAGGCTTCTAGAAGCTACACCAGCTGTAAGTTTACCCATCCCCTGGAGTCCTTGCTAGGGTGTTAAATCCTGGGTCTTGAGAAAGTGCTCCCAAGTCAATGAATTCTTTTTATGCAGTTGTACTTTCTGGCCTTTTTGATCAAGCACTTCTAAAATCCACTTTCAGGAGGAATTCACTGACTCCTGCTCATATATGCCCGCTCATTCACATAATTCTTTAGGTATAAAGTCTCTTTCCTTCTTTATAAGGCCCAGCACATCCCCAGGTGGGTTACACTGGGATTTAACCCTAGTTATTAGCCTGGGAGCTAAGGAGAGGTAATAGAGGTAGCCTTCCAGGGCATCATCTGTTGCCTTATATGGGCAAGACTCCTGCTGTGCTGGGAGATGCTCCAGAAGTACTAGTTCTTACTAAGGAAAGGTGGGCTACCTCTGCAATCTTACAGGATCTGGAAGGTTGTAGAGTCAACCTCCTCAGAATATTCAGTCTCTTTTTTCAGTTCCAGGTTTTCTCCATCAGGGAACTGATACTTACAAAATTGATTTGCCTTAGCTTAGCATTAAAATATCTCTGCCTACTTCAGGGTAGTGAGACTTCTTAGGGCTTCAAGTTTAAGCATTCCAGTGAGAAAGGAACATCATTTATGATAGCATCCACTGTATTGTATTGGTCATAAGCCTACTCAGTCTCAGGAGGAGGGAACGAAAATACCTTTTTAAAAAAACTTTTATTTTAGGCTTGGAGGTACATGTGAAGGTTTGTTACATAGGTAAACACATGTCATGGAGGTTTGTTGTATATATTATTTCATCACCCAAGTATTATTGTGATAACACAATAGTTATCATTTATGCTTCTCTCCCTCCTCCCACCTCAAGTAGACCCCTGTGCCTGTTGTCCCCTTCTTTGTGTTCTTAAGTTCTTATAATCTAGCTCCCACTTATAAGTGAAAGCATGCAGTATTTGGTTTTCTGTTCCTGTTTAGTTTGCTAAAGATGATGGCCTCCAGCTCCATCCATATTCCCACAAAAGACATGATCTTGTTCTTTTTTATGGCTGCATAGTTTTTCATGGTGTATATATACCACATTTTCTCATCTAATTTGTCCTTGAAGGGCGTTTAGGTTGATCCCATGTCTTCGCTATTGCGAATAGTGCGGTAATGAATATTTGTGTGCCTGTGTTTTTATGGTAGACGCGTTCCCTTTGCTCCACTAACTCACCAGCATCTGTTACTTTTTGACTTTTTAATAATAGCCATTCTGACTGGTGTGAGATGATATCTCATTGTGGTTTTGATTCACATTTCTGCTTCAGCCCCCAGTCACCTTAGACACTTCGAAGCCTGAAGACTGGAATGGCTAAGTTGTCCAAACAGCAAAGATAGTGGCCTGCTCCTCCCTCTGGGAGCTCTATCCCAGGGAGGTTACAAATCTCTTTCAGCCAGAGAACACCAACAGGGGTGGCAGGAGGCTCTGGTTGGGAGGTCCCACACAGTGAAGAGGAATGGGATTGGGGACTCGCTTAAAGAAGCAGTCTGGCCATGTTTTTATACAGCAGCTGTGCTGTGCTGGGGGATCCCTTCCGCCCCTGGTCTGCTCAGACACTGCAATGCCCAAAAGCTGAAACAGCTAAGTCTCCCAAACAGCAAAGATAGCAGCCCACCCTTCCATTTGGGAGCACTGTCCCAAGGAGAATTCAACATTCTGTTGGCTGGAGAACACCAGTGGGGCTGGCTGGAGGCCCCAGTTGGGAGGTCCCACCCTGTGAGGAGGAATAGGATCAGACACCTACTTAAAGCAGCCGTCTGGTCACATTTTGGTAGAGGAGCTGTGCTTTGCAAGGGGATCCCTTCTACCCCTAGTCGGCTCAGACTCTCCAAAGCCTGAAGGCTGGAATGGCTAAGGCACCCAAACAGCAATGATGGAGGCCCACCTCTCCCCACAGGAGCTCCTTCTCACAGAGGTGCAATACTGCTACTGGTGGGTGGCTGAAATTCCAAGACAGTGGGTCTGATTTTCTGAGGCACAATGGAAGTACAGCCTGCAGGCTGTTACTGCTCAGCCCTCTGGATTCAATCTTTTCCACTGTATGTACGGGGGTCTACCCTCCCACTTTGCCAGAGCTGCAACTACTTTTGCTGGAAAGTCTGAGTATTTAAGGCTCCAGGGTCTCCACACATGCTTGAGCAGCTGCTCCACCAAGACTCCACATAGCTTTGTGTGTCAGACTGAAGGCCCTGGTGGGGTGGGCTCACAAAAAGATCTCCTAATCCAAGGGTTGCAAGGATCCATGGGAGAAGTGTGGTTTCCTGGGGTTGCACATTTTCTCAACGCCTGCCTGGGCAGAGGCAGTTCCCCTGGCTCCATGTTGCTCCCAGGTCCTGTCTTGCTTTTCTTCATTTTCCATAGGTCAGATTGTTTTCTTGATTAGTCCCAGTGCAAGTACCTGAATGTTTCAGTTGAAGGTGTTGTATTTTCTCACCCTTCCATTTCTCTCCGTGAGAGGCACACACATTAGCTGCTTCGAGTTGACCATCTTGGCCACTCTCTACTCACCTTTTGATGGAAGGAGTACCAAATAATTTCGTGGCAGTTTTTTTTTTTAAGGCAGCACAACCAGCCAACAGTCTTCCTGTAAGGAAGGTTTAGAAAACCTGCAGCTTGATTTGTTGCTTCTCAGCTCTCCTGCCATTGCTAGCTTCCTGGATTTATACTCATCATAACCATCTTCAACTTGTATTGAAGATACAATACTATTGTATTGTATTGTATTGTATTGCCTATTTACTTCTGTTTCAGTCTTCCTTCTTTCCCTGCACCTGGTACACAGGTGCTTAATAGGCCCTCAATTGACTGTTCTTCTCTTAAATCTACTTTGGACACAAAATTAACATATATAATAGTGTATAAGGTAGAAAAATAAAATCTAAAGTTCATGTGGACCAAATCATACCATAAGAGCTAGGATTTCTTTGATCTCTCATCTATTATAAATTAAATCCAGGTTAATGAAATCCAGGAATTATCCAAATAACAAATTATAGGGAGCTGTTTCAGAATTCTTTCTTTTTCTGAGGTGGTTGATAAACATTTCAACAACAATCTGACATATAATTCCAAAATAACAAAACCTAAACTTGCCTCCAGAAATGGCCTTTATGAACTGGGAATTAGGGAACTGAATTCTTACCCAAAAGCAATTAAATGGCCTTGAATAGGTAAGCTATGACTTCGTAAGGGTGTTCTCAGTGCAATCAAGAGCCATGTGTTTACCACGGTAAGAGAACTGTAGGAGAGTTAGGAAGAATGACAACACTTTGTCCTGAAGGATGTTCAGAAAAATTATTTCACATTTTACTAGTCATATCTCTCTCTCAAAATCTTACCAAAATGTAAATAAATATTGAATTATAGATTAAAGTATTTAATTTCTATCTGCACGATGGATAACATGCAAAGTAACAAAAGAAGCAAAGGGAAATGAATGAAACTAAAGCAAAATACATCTTATGGCTGTGCATCAAATTACCCTTGAGTTTGTTTAATCTCCATATGATTTATACATGAAGAGCTAGCTAATTTGTGATATTGTTTGGAGAACTCAGAGGTATCAGAATGAAACCAGTTTTTCCAAACTAAAATGAGTTGGGAAAATAAGAAAATCCACCATTTAAAATAAATTGGCTCAGGGACTAGCTAAAACTCAGGACAAAGCTATATCACAATGAAATCCTTATTGGCAACTTAGCTTTGACCTATCAGTAAATACAAAATTCTCACTTTAGTCCTTTGCCGCAATAGATATCATTTATTTATGAAGTTGATTTTGCTGTGACAATTTGCATAATTCAGTAATTTAAGAAATTTACACAATTTTAAAGACAAAACAAGGATGTATTACAATTAGAAAAACAGATTTTCTACCAATCTATACTTTTTGTAATTGATTTAATAAAGCAATAGGTTGGCCTTCAATTGTGCAGAATCTAATTATTGGATTTAGTCCTGTAATTCTTGAAGATTGGTAGGATTACACCTTTATCTTTCTTGTATTCCCCTTGTTTTTGTAGTCAGACTGGAATAGAGCCAAGTGGCTTGCTATCTCCATGATCTTCCTATCTCACTTCTGGCAGGCCTGATCAAAGAGAGAATATATATGTGGAGATGGGAGATAATAGCTCTTCTACGTTGCTTTAGCATAAATTCTACTGGGTTGAAAGCTTAAAATAATATTGAAAAGTATTATGACTCCAGAAAGCATCTGGTTGGGTAGCTATATCCCAACTAGGGGCCAATTCTAAGAATTATGGAGAGAGGGGAAGCAGGGCAGCTATGTCTGACATCAATTAAGACTGCAAAAATAAAGATTTTTGTTTAGTTTGAGAAACTTACTGAATTTACCCAAGTCTTAAGAGAATACAAACATTCAATGTATATTCAGAAATACATGTATTTTGTGATACCTATTTGTCCTTGGTAGTTTCTAGCTATGAAGCCCATGTCATTAATTGAGAATTAATTAATTAATCCTTTTAGGGACGAAATTTACCATTTGATGGGAGTCTTCTCAAACACGTGGTATAAATGATCCTGGTCCATTGAAAACTGGTTCATCAAACAGCAGTTGTGCTGCTATGCAGATGCCCATCCTCCACCATGGGCCTTCTGACGTAGGTGTTTGGATGGAGGCTGTACGTCTGTATGTTTTAAATTTCCGCCATTGACTCTGAAATGCAGCTAGGAGTTATCCTCCAAGGAAAGTCACTGCTCCTAGCTTGCATCTTGTTGCTATGGATAAGAATTCAGAGCCACCTTATTTCTATTTAACAAGCTACTGCTTGTCAGATTAACTACACTTCCCTGTGACATTTTGCAATGTGAATTTTGCTCCCATAGTTTTCACTTCATTCCATTCATCCTGGGCTTTGACTTCCTATTCATACCATTCTACCTTACAGTAAAGATTTTTCTCCTTTATGAAGAGAAAATAAAATCAAAATTAAACAGTTCTACTTTCTTTCACTTGATGACTTTTTAAAAATATTTTTCAAGCAGTAAAGTCTATTCTGTCTTTACTGCTGTCTTTTTCTGCAAACCTAGTTTCAACTTCCTAATGCAAATCTTTATTGTTTTTTGTTATATCCTGTTCCCTGAAACTATAATCTGAGTTGTTGAATTTGTTTACATGTTTCTCTTTTTTCTTTCCTCTTTTACCTGCTAAGTGATTCAGGTGCCAGAGTTTAGTTTGAGTCTCCCATCAGGACGGAACTGCCTTTCACAATAATAGATTATCTGGCATTTCAATGTTCTTAATGTTTTGAAATAAACCTTTCTTATATCTGGCACATTTTTCACAATGTGCTTGACATTCTTTTCTTTGCTTATAATAGATTGTGAGGTGTTTTCACTTTCTCCCAAAGTTTCTATTACTTCTACTTCAAAAAACATTAATTTATGTTGGTTAGAGTGAAATTAATTCAAGAGGAACAAATGCTTTCTCCCCAAAAAGCAGCTTCTTAAAAACCTTGCTTCATCCTTTTGTAAAGGATTTGCTAGGCAAATCAAGAATTTTAGAGTATATTGTCTTTTTTGATACTCCCTCTATACAAACATTTCTATATCAATAGTCAACTCAGACAAGGTTTTATGTAAATAGAATTTTTAATTAGTTTCTATAATAGAAAAAAATTGGAATCATCTAATGTGTCCAGTGGTCCATAGTTAATACTTAACAGTATATATGGGTGCTAATTTAGGCAACATTGAAAAAGGTGTTTTAAGATATGACATGGAAAAATACTTATGTAATACAAAAGTAGATCCGAAAATTGTTAAACAACATGTTCTAAAAATATATGCATACAAAAATCAGATTTTTAAGAAGTTATTTTATTATGATTATTGCATTATGTTTTTCTTTTTTAATTTTCCAAAGTCTCTATCATCATATACTATTGTAAAAATAAGGAAAATTTATTAGATCATTTTTATCATATACATATTCTGTCAATATCTGCTTGTAGTTGCACCAGACCAATCTGCTTCAACTTTTATCTAACAAAGTTGTAAATTGTTTTTTCAGTTGCCATGAACTCTTAGGTCACATAACCTTAGGTCATATGCCCAGATGAACCAAGTGTGCAACCACAGGGGAAGCCTAAGTGCGTAAAGAGTGGGAACTGAATTCAGAAGCTGACATTGCATGACAAGATCTAGGATCCAATCAGATAGAGCTCTGGCATCATTCCATGGCAGGATCCAGTCAGATCATGCGTCCTGGCATCACCTCATTGCAAGATCCCATCAGGTCACAGCTCATTATCCCATGCTTATAAAACCTGACCCAGCCCCCAGCTTGGGGGAACATTGCTTTGAGAATTATCACCAGTGTTCTCCTTACTTATTACAAGTCATAAAATCCCCTTGCTAAACCTTCCTTCATTGTGGTCATTGGTTGATACCTGCTAAGTGTCCAAACCAACCCACTATGTAGGTAACAAAATTCTGGTGACCCAGATGGAATTGGGACTCAGGTCCTGATCCCAAAGTCCTTTAAGGCTCCTTACGAATGAAACAGTAGGCAGAGGCAGCTTGCCTGGACTAACTGACTTACGTTGCCTGAGAGGGGTTGGGTGCCATTCCCACCGACCTCCAGCTTGGTGTCCTGCCCACTGGATTGTCGCTTGGACCTACCCTGATGGATCGCTGGGACCTTTTGTTTGACATTCCTTTGGGGCAGTAAGTGAACTTTGCCCTGTGGGCTGACTAGAAAGGTAATTCTCTGGACCAAGCATAGCACATCTCTGATTGTGTTTCTGTCCCTGGCTGCTTTGTGATCTGGGGGATTCAGAGACATTCCTGTCCTGATAAGGGCAATCTGGAGCTAGATAGCTGACTGTGGGACTAGTTTTAGGAATTAGTTTTGTCGAGAGACAGGCTTTCATAGGAGGCGGAAGGGCTTGGTCTCCCTAGCGCCCTGTTTGCCATAACCTGGATCACCCACCAGAAACTGGAGCTCTGGCATTTGATGCAAAAAAAGAACAAAAACAAAAAAAAAAGGCCAGGTGTGGTGGCTCATGCCTGTAATCCTAGCACTTTGGGAGGCCGAGTTGGATGGATCACCTGAGGTCAGGAGTTCAAGACCAGCCTGGCCAACAGGGCGAAACCCCGTCTCTACTAAAAATACAAAAATTAGCTGGGCATGGTGGTGGGTGCCTGTAATCTCAGCTACTAGGGAGGCTGAGGCAGGAGAATTGCTTAAAACCGGGAGGTGGAGGTTACAGTGAGCCAAGATGGTGCCATTGCACTCCAGCCTAGGCGACAGAGCGAGACTCTGTTTCAAAAAAAAAAATAGTTGAACCCAGAGTGGGCCAAGAGTTGTGGGATCTGTGTCACCACCAATCCTGCCTCTAAGCCTCTGGTGGCTTGCACTAGACCCTGAATAGGTATCCTAGGAAATGAGAAACATTGTAAAAGGACTCTAGCAGCACAAGTCATACAAGTAAACTACAAAAAGTAGAAGGGTAATTGGGAATGCTGATATGTTAATTGGTCAAGATTGCTTTTAAGGCATTTAACAGCTATGACCAAGTCCAAGAAGGGCAAAAACAACTCGAGATGAGAAAACAAGCTATGCTGCTTACCACAGTTCTTAACTGCAACCAGCCAGCACACAAGGAAAAGACAAAGAGCCATGGGTAAGACCCCCTAAGGTCCCCACTGCCTAGCCAAAAGGGTTATCCACCCTTGAGGCCACAACAATGTGCATATTGTAAACTAGAGGGCAATTAGAAACAGGAGTATTCTAACTGTCTCTGGGAGATAGAAGAGGGAGGAAAAGAAGCTTCCCATCAATCAGCCCAGCAGATGTCACAGTTTGCTGATAGTAACCAGAAATAATGAGACCCTGAGGGTCAGGGGCTCCTCTACAATCTAGGAACCCTGGGTAACAATTGCTGTGGGAAAGAGACTCATGGGCTTTCTGACACTAGAGCTAAACTTCTTCCATTAGCCTCCCCTTCCTGCTGCTCTGCCTCTTTACTTTGCTACCTTGTTCTCTCTAAAATTTGATGAAGGGCTTCAGCCATGTGGGATAGATGAATTTCAGCTAAAATTTCTAGTCTGACAGAGACACAGTTTGAATCTAACTGTCCTTTAAAGTAGGGAGTTGTACCAACCCATGGTTAAAGTTTTTAAAAATTAATGCTACAAGATCATTATTTACATCTGGTGGTACGTACAGCTCCAACTGTATTTGTCTATGGTACCAAATTGGCATATAAAAAAATGAGTACTTCTAAACTAAGCAAATAAAAGCCAATGCTTTTCAAGTTCACATGCCTGAGTCATCATTTAGAGAATAAGACTATTCTTAAGTCTTAATAAAACTGTTGGTTTGATGGGGATGTTTGTCTTTTGAAATTTAACTTTAAGGTTCTTACTTTCATGACACCTACCTGATACGCAGTTATATAAGGTAATTAACAGATAATTTGTAATGATGACTAGCTTTGTCTAATGTGTCAGTTCTCATAAGTAATCTAGGTAAACTGCTAAAAACAAATAAATTAGGTAAAGGTAAATGGGATAAATATCTATAAATAAATTTTTTATGTAATTTGAAATCCTAAATTAAATAATAGATACTCGTTGAATCTATGGCTCAGTTCCAAATTAGACAAAAACCAGAACAAATTGCTGATTGGCTTCTTATATTTGATAGACTGATATGATTTGACTGTGTCCCCACCCAAATCTCATCTTGAGTAGTTCCAATAATCCCCACATGTCACAGAAGGGACTCAGTGTGAGGTGATTGAATCATGGGGGCATACTGTTCTTGTGATAGTGAGTGAGTTCTTATGAGATCTGATGGTTTTATAAGGGGCTTTCCCTGCTTTTGCTTGGCACTTCTCCTTGCTGCTGCCATGTGAAGAAGGATGTGTTTGCTTCCCATTCTGCCATGATTGTAAGTTTCCTGAGGCCTTCCTAGCCATGCTGAACTGTGAGTCAATTAAATCTCTTTCCTTTATAAATTATCCAGTCTCAGGTATGTCTTTATTAGCAGCATGAAAATAGGCTAATACAGTAAATTGGTACTGGTAGAGTAGGGTACTGCTGTAAAGATACCCAAAAATGTGGAAGTGATTTTGGAACTGGATAATAGGCAGAGATTGAAACAGTTTGGAGGGCTCAGAAGAAGATAGGAAAATGTGGGAAAGTTTGAAACTTCCTATAGACTTGAAGAATTCAAAAGACAGGAAGATGTGGGGAAGTTTGGAACTTCCTAGAGACTTGTTGAATGGCTTTGACCAAAAAATGAAATCTAGCCTAAGGTGGTCTTAGATGGAGATGAGGAACTCGTTGGGAACTGGAATAAAGGTGACTCTTGCTATGTTTTAGCAAAGAGACTGGTGGCATTTTACCCCTGCCCTAGAGATGTTTGGAACTTTGAACTTGAGAGAGATGATTTACAGTATCTGGTGGAAGAAATTTCTAAGCAGCAAAGCATTCAAGAGGAAGCAGAGCATAAACGTTTGGAAAATTTGCAGCCTGATGATGCAATAGAAAAGAAAACCCCATTTTCTGGGGAGAAATTCAAGCCTGCTGTGGAAATTTGCATAACTAACAAGGAGCTGAATGTTAATTACCAAGGCAATGGGGAAAATGTCTCCAGGGCATGTCAGAGGCCTTTGACACAGTCCCTCCCATCACAGGCCCAGAAGCCTAGAAGGAAAAAATGGTTTCCTGGCCCAGGCCCAGGGCCCCTTGCTGTGTGCAGCCTAGAGACTTGGTGCCCTGCATCCCAGCTGCTCCAGCCATGGCTATAATGGGCCAAGGTAGAGTTCAGGCTGTAGCTTCAGAGGGTGCAAACCCCAAGCCTTGGCAGCTTCCATGTGGTGTTGAGCCTGCAAGTGCACAGAAGTCAAGAATTGAAGTTTGGGAACCTCTGCCTAGATTTCAGAGGATGTATGGAAATGCCTCGATGTCCAGGCAGAAGTTTGCTGCAGGGGCAGGGCCCTCACACAGATCCTCTTCTAGGGCAGTGCAAAAGGGAAAAGTGGGATTGGAGCCCCCATACAGAGTCCCCACTGGGGTACTGCCTAGTGGAGCTATCAGAAGAGAGCGACTGTCCTGCAGACCCCAGAATGGTAGATCCACCGACAGCTGGAACTGTATGCCTGGAAAAGCTGCAGACACTCAATACCAGCCTATGAAAGCAGCTGGGAGCGGGGGCTACCCCATGCAAAGCCACAGAGGCGGAACTGCCCAAGGCTGTGGGAGCCCACCTCTTGTATCAGTGTGCCCTGGATGTAATGCTATCAAAGGAGATCATTTTGGAACTTTAAGGTTTAATGACTGCCCAGCTGGATTTTGGACTTACCTAGGGCCTGTAGCCTCTTTGTTTTGGCTAATTTCTCCCATTTGGAATGGGTGTATTTACCCAATGCCTATACCCCCATTGTATCTAGGAGGTAACTAACTTGCTTTTGATTTTACAGGCTCATAGGCAGAAGGGACTTGTGTTGTCCCAGATGAGACTTTGGACTTAGACTCTTGGGTTAATGCTAAAATGAATTAAGACTTTGGGGTACTGTTGGAAGGGCATGATTATGTTTTGTAACATGAGGACATGAGATTTGGGAGGGGGCAGGGGCAGAATGATATGGTTTGGCTGTGTCCTCACCCAAATCTCATATTGAATTGTAGTTCCCATAATCCCCATGTGTTGTGGGAGGGACCTGGTGGGAGGTAATTGAACCATGGGGTTGGTTACCTTCATGCTATTCTCTTAATAGTGAGTGAGTTCTCATGAGATCTGATGGTTTTATAAGGGGCTTCCCCAACTTTTGCGCAGCACTTCTCCTGCTGCCACCATGTGAATAAGGATGCATTTGCTTCCCCTTCTGCCATGCTTGTAAGTTTCCTGAGGCCTCTCCAGCCATGCTGAACTTGAGTCAATTAAATCTCTTTCCTTTATAAATTACCCAGTCTCAAGTATGTCTTTATTAGCAGAGTGAGAA
The DNA here is from genome assembly GCF_000001405.40 of Homo sapiens. Classification (NCBI taxonomy): domain Eukaryota; kingdom Metazoa; phylum Chordata; class Mammalia; order Primates; family Hominidae; genus Homo; species Homo sapiens. Next base: position 108,246,172 of record NC_000003.12, read on the forward strand.
CAAACTAATACAAAGACTAAATATGTTTGGGTCTATAAATATGTGTAAAAATTATGCTAAAGGAAAACATGTTTTTCTAAAAATCATAAAATGGTTTTTGTGTATAAAATACTAATATATTACAGACAATGGAAGTTTTTGTGCTTACTGTGTTTTAAATAAAATTTAGGAGTACTGAGAGTTTAAAAAAATTCTAACTAATTTGTGATTCTATATATGAGGTATGCCAAAAGTAAGATGTTATTAATAAGAAAAAATTATGAGAAAGACATAAAATGTGTTCTTTATTGAGAAAAAGAGTAATTTTGTCTTATTTGGAAGTTATTTAAAGGGAGGTCTAAAATATGGATTTAGGAAGAAATTAGAAACAAGATAGAAGGGAGCCAGCAAATAGGAGAGAGAGAGACGTGAAGAAAGTTATAAATGTGAAGATGTATAGTTTGTATGAGGAAGAATCATATGTAGTAAATCTTTGTCCTAGTGTGAAACGACTCATTACTGAAGAAAGATAAAGTATAAGGCAAGGCAGAAAGTCCAAGTATGTTGTTGACCATGTGAGTAAGTAATGATAAGGTTTATAAAAAGAAAGTTTCTGAAAGAAATTTCAGGTTTGATTAAATTGGCTATAAGTAAAATAATTATTTTTAACAGTCTTACTAAACAATGAACTTTGATGTTAAAACACACTGATACAGAACTTAAAATTTTGGCCCTCCTATATTAAAACAGGGGTTTCTTAAAATATTGGTTTGTTCTTAATAAGATTGGGAGAGGTTTTGATTTTTAATTCTGAAATCTGTTTCTTTAACAGCCTTTCTCTGAATTATGAATTAGTTTCTATTTCTGTCACATTCCTTCCTGAGAACTGTCTATTTTCCCTGGTTTCAGGTTTATCTTGAAGGTCTTAGAAAAGCAATGTTTTACTCCAGTATAACTTGATTTTGTATTAGTCTTTTCTTAATGTGTCTGAACTGTTTCCTGTAACCAGAACTTCTATGCTATTACTAAATGTATTCCCCTGCTCAAGGTTACTGGCCTAAAAAGCAAAGATTGTTTAGGAAAACTGAGCTTTGAAAGGGTTAAGGTTTTTACATCCATGTAATTTCCTGTATTGCTATAGAAGTCTTTTGATTGTCACTCTGGTTCAATGAGTAACTATTATGTAGGAGCAACATATGATTCTGTTGAAGGAAGTACTTTGATTTTATTTATTTATTAATTTTTTACATCTTTGGCAGATTTTCCAGGATCCAAATCTGAATTCAAGCCTCTTAGCCTAAAATTAACTTTGAGATTTTTCCAGGTGGGCCCCCTGGAGAGCATCAAAGAGTATATTTCTCACCTTGTGGAGGTTTTAAATGATTAGACTTATTTGGTAAATAATATGCAAAGTGCTGTCAAATAAGGAATGATGCTTAACTTCAAGTTATATTTATGTAAGTGTGTTATTAAGAGGTGTGAAATTGTATGAGATTCCTAAAATACTGATATGCCAAGATACATGTCATAATTATGATTATGGTATTGGATGGTTGCATGCCAAAGAAATATGTAAATTTCCTTGTCAATTGTAAATTCTCATCAGATCTCTGAATATGTCTGTTCTAGGTTTTTGTCAACCACAGTTTATTGTTTTAAATTCTTCTCTGGAAGCATTTGCAATTGGCTGTAGTCCAAAATTGCCAAATAAGATTGAGCAAAACAAAATTAATGACATGAAATTAAGTAATTGATAAGGATAATGTTTTATGACTTAAATGTTTTATTTTCTAGATTCAAGGAAATTTTTTGTCATAACCTCTCTATAGTTTGCAATAATTGGATAAAGTATCCTTTGTGAACAATGGTGGAAGCATTTTTTTTTCCTCTACCTGATTTCTTGACTCCTACAAAATTGTGGGTCTTATTTTTATTTAGTAAATCCAGTAAAAAAAAAAAAATCTCTCTTTATAAGCAGGATACTATTGGAAACATTGGTTATATTACTAAAGTTTGGACTGAAATGTCACATTTTAAAATGTACATGAAATGCCTGGTTTCAAGAGTTCCCAGCTTTACAGTGAGTGAATGAAAACTGTCACTTCCTAGCAGGCCCAAGAACCTTAAGACGGTAAGTAAAATCTAAAGCTTGCCTTGGTTTGGATTTCCAGTTGCAAGAGGTCCTAAATCTGAGATTTCCTATATGATCAATGTGGAGAGAAACAGTTATGTTTCTAAGGAAAGCAAAAGTATACTTGTTACTAGATTGTAACCCTGTGCATTGTCTTCAAGTCCTTGTTATCTGCCTGTAGACTGGACTAGATCCTGAATTCTTCTCAGTTCCCCTAATATTTGGTTTTAACTAATTCCTGATGAACTCCCCCAGCCCTCTTCCCTCAATCCAGGCTAGGAATGCTCTAGGGACATTCAAGGGATTTCCCCTTTTTAAATCTGACCAACTCTCTAATTAGATTTCAGAACTGGGGACAAGCTAGACTCAGGATACTAGGGTCTCCTTGTCTCAAAGCAGTTGATGCTGTCCCTTCCTTTGTAAAAGCCACAAAGATAGTTATGGGGCCACCCCTGACTGTCTACGTTCTATGCTCTGTTGAGGCACTCCTCAATTTACATCACAAGCTTTCAAGAAAACTACAGGGATTTCTTTCTATCCTCACTTTGCCTTACCAGCCTCCAATGTAACTTGCTTAATCTGACCACTTTATTTAACTTTCCTCATGCCCACTCTGCCCAACAAGCAGAACTGCATGCTCTTACCAGGGCATGTCCTTTAGCCAAAAGTAAAAGGCCAGTATCAACAAGCCACATCCATGGCAGCAACTAAGACCCTATTGGAAAAATTACACCAACCTGGTATAATTGTTGAGAGCTTCATAGTGACTGAGAAACTTATTTTACAGGGCAAATTATTCAAATGTTGCAAAATGTGGCCTATTTATTGACATCTCCATTGTGCTTACCACCCCCAGTCCTCTGGACTGAAGAAACAGACCAGTGGACCAGTGGAATAATAAAGCCCTATTGGTGAATATCTGTGCAGCATTCAGCATGCCATAGCTAAAAGAAGGAGACCCTTTGTTTAGTTTTCCTTCACCCACGCGAACATTCTTGGAAAACTGCTAGGCCCACATTTTCTTCTCCCAAAAAGGGGGAAGTAATAAGTTATCCTCACCAGGAGATTTGGCCATAGAAATAGCTCTTACCCAAGTTCCTATCTATTCAGTTGACCTCACCAATGCTACCCACCCTACTCTCCAAGAGCTGCGTGAGAGTTTTGGGGCACAATCCAACACCAATGATAACCCTGCAGATTATAATTGGGGCCACTTTCAAGGATGTGATTTACCCAGAGAGGTTAACTCTAGTGAAGGAGCTAGATTAGGAAGGCTTCTGGGGTCCTGGTTTGTACTAGGTTGTGTTTGCAACAGATACATGGTCAGAAACGTTTCCCACACTGTTAATAGGGTTGCCCACTTCACCACCCAAGCCATCAGGACACAGCAGAGTTCCTTAGACAACCACATTGCTATCGACTATCACCTCACTGCACAGGGTGGTGTTTGTGCTGTTGCTAACACTTGCTGCTGTACCTGGGTAAATATTTCCAGTCAGGTTTAACTGGGAACACCTAAGGCCTACAGCGAGCCAAATCTCTGAAAGGGACACCTTCAGGGAGCCTCCTAGCTGAACCTGGTGGGTACAATTTCCAATGTCGAGATATTTTCAGAGGATTTCTCCTAGTATAGGATTTCTTCTGTGTTTCACCCTGCAAGTCTTAATGATTCCCCTTATATTTGAGCTAAGCATTTAGCTCCTCTTTAAAATTGTTCTAGCCTGTTTTAACAGATGTCTGTAAGAGACCCCCACCGGGATCTTGCTCATGCAATCTTTGAGACTTTAAATTCACTCCAGCTGGAAATCAGAACAACCCAAGAGACTTTGGCTCAAATTTAATAGGTAGCTTAGTGCCTCTCAAAAGTAAGTGGGTCTAGTTGTTCAATTGGCCACTGCCCTGCCTCTAGGATCCCTGAAAGGGACCAGATGGACCTGAAGCAGGTAGCCAACTACTTCTGCACTGTCGTACAATGCAATGTGGTCCACCAACAGATTTACGCCAGTTCTTCAAGATGGATCCTGAGTGGCTAACTGGGACTCCATTTAAAATAGAGCAAAGCAGCCATTTGTTGAGTAGGGGTGACATACATGCCCTGAGTTCCAGGAAAGCCTGCAGCATTTAACTTTGAGGCTTTCAGGATTCACCTGAACCAGTCAATTAAAGCTCACCCGAGTTGGCTAATCAGGGCTCAGCTATATTGACCAATCAGAACTAAGTCAGTTTCAAGTTTCAACACTACATTTGCGTAGACAGTCTTGATTTGGAACCTGGGTGGAAACTTTTGCTATAAGACCTGGGGTTCTGTTTGTTCTCTGGAACTGGTAATGTTGTTAACTCTTTATGCCTTTACCTATAACCAGATAAAAACAACATCTGAAATGTAACTCTGACACCAGGGCACTAAACAATTTCATTCCTCTGACCAAGGTCTACCCCGCTAATCAGCAGGAAGTGGCTAAAGTAGTCATAGCTCGTATTCCCTCAAGATTGAGGAATGGATATAAAAAAGGGAGGGATGTGTAGCTGCACCAGACCAGTCTGGTTCAACTTTTATGTAACAATGTTGTAAGTTGTTTTTCAGTTGCCATGGACCCTTAGGTCAATCAACCTGAGCAGGCCCAGATGAACCAAGTATGTAACCACAGGAGGAACCTCTAAGTACTTGGACCAAGGAGTGGGAACTAAATAAATAAGCAGATCCAGGATCCAAACAGATCAAGCTTTTGCATCACCCCATGGCAGGA